>NC_000016.10:69714015-70017045 GCF_000001405.40 Homo sapiens | reverse complement strand
TCTATCCTTGGATGAGGAAGTGGACCACTGGAGAAGCGGAAGGGATGAATCTAAGTTCAGAGGCCTGGGCTCTGCTCTGAGCAGTGCCACAGGGTGGCCCTGTGACATTGAGTCATTTTCTTTCCAAGCCTGACTGTCAAATGAAAGTATGCTGGTTGGTCTCCTCTGATTGCAAACAGAGAAGCAAATTATGGCCTAGATTGAGCAAGCTGTTAAGAATCCAGGCGGTGCTGGGCCCGTCTGCTTTCCTGCCCCTGCCATGTTGAGCGCACTTGGCTTTTCCTCAGTCATTGCTGCTCCCTTATTCTCAAATTGGGGGACCCAGTGGTGCTAGTTAATCACCAGTTGTTTTGGAGCATCTCTGTAGGCCACACTGGCCCAGGCAGAAAGCCTGCTCTGTCCCTTCTTCCAATGGCTGTTTTTTCAGTAGAGGATACAATAATTGGCTAACACCATGAGGCATTATGGCCTGTGAGTCCTCATCATCACCATCACCATCACCATCACCACCATCCCAGCTGCTGCTTGTGAAATTCATGTGTGGTACTAAGTACCTTACATGAATTATTTCATTTAACCCTCCCAACAGTCTCCTTTGTACGTGCTGTTCTCTCTGCCTGGAAACACTGTTTCCCACCCCCAACCCCCAATTCTTCTGTTTATTTTTTTTGAGACAGAGTCTCACTGTGTAGCCCAGACTGGAGTGCAGTGGTGCGATCTCGGTTCACTCTAATCTCCGCCTCCTGGGTCCCTGTTCAAGCAGTTCTCCTGCCTCAGCCTCCTGAGTAGCTGGGATTACAGGCACATGCCACCATGTCCAGCTAATTTCTGTATTTTTAGTAGAGATGGGGTTTCGCCATGTTGGCCAGGCTGGTCTTGAACTCTTGACCTCGTGGTCCACCCGCCTCAGCCTCCCAAAGTGCTGGGATTACAGGCGTGAGCCAAAGCGCCCAGCCTCCCCAGTCCCAATTCTTCTCATGACTGGTTTCTTATCTTTCAGATCTTAATTCAAATCTCACTTCTTCAGAAAGGCCTTTCCTGGCCACCCTAAGATCATCTCCCACCGTCAGACATCACTCCATCCCCCTGGGTCGTCTTCATCACTCTTACTACTATCCGAAATCAAATCTGTTTGTTTTTTCCTATAGAAGCTTTGTAAAGGCCTTATACAGACTCACCACTGGGCATTAACACCCAAGACCCTAGCCCTGAAAGCCCAGTGCCAGGCCCCAGACATGCTCCCATCCCCTGCCATTCAGCTTACAGTCGTCTTTCTGTTTCCTCTTCTTTGTGGATTCACCTTTTTTTGGGTGTGAGCCCAGCCATGGTTTAACCTTTTTTTGGTTCTTGGTTATATTTAATCCAGTATTTCAGATATTCAGAATTGACAACTTCAGTGTTCACTCAGTCTATCACGTTACTAGAACCAGAAGTGTCTCTAACCCTGTATACTATTTCTTACACACTTTGACATTTGAGACCACTGAGTTCAAAGAAAGAAAAGATGATGATAATATTCATAGCAGTCTTGGCACTCACCTCATTCTGCCATCTCCTAGCTGAGGATGGGAGAGTGGGCGGATTATTTTGTTGCCTTTTTGTTCCTCCTTGCTTATTGGGCGTGCTCCCCTATTTAAATATTAAGCATCGCCCCCCTGCCGCCCGCCGCCATACCTTTAAAAGTATCACGTTTTATTTGTCTCTGTGAAAGTTAAAGATGATAGATGTGAAGGCACTTAGCACAGGACTGGCCCCGTGAATAATTGGCAGATTTGAATTCACATCCTGCTTGGTATGAATACTGTCCACACAGTCCTTTGAAAAGTTAGTAGAAAAGATCTTGGGCCACTGCTTCTTGTCTTTCCAAGTTAGCATTTCCTGTTGCGGCCCTACCAGTGAGTCATCACACTCAGAGCCTTGGAACATAAGTTTTATTACTAGAGCTATAGTACTGGGATTGTTAGATGCTTAGAGATCTTCCCCACCAGGGCCGCCCACACGCCCCTACAGTACCACAGAGCCTGCCAAGGACATGGATGCTTACGGTACCCTGACCCCATGGCTTGACCAAGTCAGGGTATACTATTTGATGCAAAACAGGAATTTGCTGCTGGATTATCGTAATACATAACGCAGTGGATATTTTCAACTGTTAGGAAACCCACTAATGAAGTTAGTCGTCTTCGGCCTGTCTTTAATAATAATTAAATATATTAGAAAATACACAGATCCAGTTCTCAGCTGTGCTTGTCTACATCACCAGCAGGACTTGCATCTTGTTCCGAAGGTTTTGCAAAGGGGAAGAAAGTAGTTGTTCCCCCCTCTTTTTTCCTATGAGTATGAAAAATTCTAGTTGGCCAGGCACGGTGTATCACGTCTGTAATCCCAACACTTGGAAAGCCAAAGTAGGAGGATTAATTGAGGCCAAGAGTTCAAGGCCAGCCTGGACAACATACCAAGACCCCATCTCTAAAAAAAAACAGTTTAAGTTTCAATAAATCCTGCATAATTTCTGGGATTCTTGAAAGCATGGGCTCTCTCCGCACTGAGTCTAGTTTCACTGCTTCTTACTGGTTTTAATCTTTAATGTTAGACCTATGTTTATCCCTTATTAAAATTTCCCCCTGCTTTAATTTCAATGTACCAGTGTCAAACATCTTATAATTCACAGTGTACTCTCAAGGCTGGCTCATAGTTATTTTTTAAAATTTTACTAAACATTTGATTTTTCTCTAGCAACTGAAATTAATCTCTGAACTTTTTAGTGTGTTTATTTACAAATAGAGCATCTCTAAGCGAGTTTTTGAACTCAGCATTTCATTTTGAAGGCGTCTGGAGTTTAATGTTACTTGGTGATATGAGACTTCCATTCTTCCAGGTGGAAGATGAGCTCAGCTCCCCAGTGGTGGTGTTCAGATTTTTCCAAGAATTACCAGGCTCAGGTGGGTGAATTTTAAAAGAGGGTTATTTTCATATCTGTGTTAAAGGCTTTGAATTTGATACCATTTCAATTTAAATATTTCAAAATATTTTTATTGCTGACAATCTTCAGTCAGCATTTCAGAAAAATGTAATAATTTTCATGAAAACTTCAGTCCGAAATGCCTTAGCAATTTGCTGATAGTTTGCGGTGATTAAACCAGGGGTTCCCAAATGCCAGTCCCTGGACCAGTGCTGGAATGGCTAAGAAAGAGTTGCTTGAACATAAAGATTTGTGGGTCTTACTTCCCACATATTTTGAGTCAATAGGTTGTGCCCAGGAATCTGTATCTTTAAAGAATGACCCAAGTGCCACCAGTCTAGTCCAGGGCACTACTTTTTTTACCTGGATGGCCATTGTCCCCTCTCAACTGACCTCTGACTTTCATACATTCTACACAGCCCATTCCAGACCATTCTCCACCTGGCAGAGTGAGGGTTATAAGTGGAAGTCACATGGTGTTGAAACTGGAAAGGTTCCCTTGTCCCCCTCGCAGGGCATGTGATGGGGGTGTGGCTCGCTTCTTCAGTGCCCCGCTGCTGCTCAAACCTCTAGGAGAGCATACAGACGGGCAGACTGTGGGGCTCCGACCCCATGGCAGCATCTAGGGGTGAATGTTTTACAGCTCCTAAGGCTCCAGCGGGCATGTGTTACAGTGTGCTCTTTTAATTTAGCCGTCTGTAGGCAGCTTGTTTTAGCTCACTTAGACCCCCTTCCTTATCACAAGGACAGAGGGATTAATGTATCCCAGGTTCTTGTCTTGGTGTACCGGAAGAATGGGATCACATGTGGGCTTGGAGAATGAGTGCAAGGTTTTATTGAATGAAAGTAGTTCTCCCCTGATGGGGGAGCCAGAAGGGAGATAGATTTCCCTTGGAGTTGGGCCGCTCAGCGGCCCTGGCCAAACTCCGCCTCGTCCCGGTGGTTGATGGCCTGCTGGCTTGCCGGTGCCTGTCGGGATGCTCTTCTGCCGGCCTGCTCTCCATGACCAGCCGCTTGTGTCTTTTTCCACCAATGTGTTCCTCTTGCCATCCAGCCACTTCTGTCTGCCCACTAGGGTCTCAGGTTTTTATAGGCCCAGGATGCTGGTGTGGTGGGCCAGCGTGGTCTTGGGAAATGCAACATTTGGGGGAAGGCAGGAGTGCTTGTCCTCACCTAGGTCCGTGGGGGTAGAGTCCTAGCCAGGGACCCGCCTTTCTCTCCCCAGCACTTCCCTTCCCTGCTTCTGTGTCATTTAAAGGGACCACGCTCTTCCCTTCCCAGCACTCCTGTATCAGTGTCACTTCCCTGCCCAGAGCCCCTGGGTATCTTACCATTTCGGTCGAACAAAGGCCAGGCTCTCCCATGCCCCATGAGGCCTGCGCACTCTGCCCCGAATTCACCTCTGCCTTCCCCTCTTCCACTCTCCCTCTTGTTCGTTGTGCCTCAGTCAGACCAGTCTTCTCCGCGCTGCAGAACACTCTGCCCTTTCCTACCGCAAGGGCTTAACACTCGGCGTTCCCTCTGTCTTACACACATTTCTCTCTTCTGGTGCCAGCTCCTCCTCACCATTTCGGTCTCCACTAAGTATCCACATCCTCAGCCTTCCCTGCCTATCCTGCCTGAGGGGACTCCATCATTTTCTATCAGAGCCCCCAGCTTCACTTGTGACACTAACAACCACATGGAGTGATTTTCTTTCTTTATGGTCTGTTTCCTCAACTAAAATGTAAGCTCCAAGATGACAGAAACCTTACCTGCCTTCTGTCCCAAGTGTCAGGCTCTGTGCCTGGCATGGGTGGGCACCCACTGTGAGGCCTAGTTGGATGATCGTGGCACTCACAGACCTCGCACGGTGCTTGGTAAACTAGTTAGTAACTTACAACAATTGCTGTTTCCTCTTGAAATCCCTTGAAAGCAAACCTTTTCAAAAATGAAATTAATAATTCTGTCTTATGTGAATGTATTCAAGTGTTACATAGATCACGAGGAGAAAGAAATGTAGCCCTTCTGTCAGATAATACATGAGAATTCAGTAATACGAGTCAGTGCCCTGGGGCTAATATTGGGATGGGAATGATGTGGGGTTTGGAGGGTGTTTTTTTTTTGGTCAGCCGTGTTTCTGGGAGTGACTCCCTTTCTGTGTTTTGGTGTCAGATCCAGTGTTTAAAGCCGTCCCAGTGCCCAACATGACACCTTCAGCAGTCGGCCGGGAGAGGCACTCGTGTGATGCGCTGAATCTCTGGGTGAGAATGGCAGTCGCCCGCCTTTCCTTTCAGGTCCCCGTCCATCACCATCCGACCTGCTGGTGAGGGTGACGCCTGCTTGTGTATGGGAACTGAGGCCCACAGGAGGAGCCGCCCTGCCAGTGCTGGGCCTGCTCTGGAGTTCTGTTCCCCGTTGCGTTACCACCTCACGAGCTGGGTCACCTCTGGCAAGTCCTTCCAGCATTGCTCCCTCACTTTCCTTGCTGCTGTATAAGGCTGTGAGACAACAGGCAAAAGGTGGGCTGCAGGGCAGCTGCAGTGGGTTCTGGTGAGCCTGGGCAGCACAGCCGGGAGCCCCAGGCAGAGTCTGCCGAGCATCTGCAGCTGGCAGTGTGGAGCCAGGCCTGCACTTTGATAGCGTTTTGGGCACTGAATAGCAGCTCTAGGATTTGAGTCTGAAGGGTCTTGTGAACAGTGTGGGACGGCGGCAGCAGCGGTTCTAGCCAATGCTGGACACGCCCAGCCTAGCAGGGTTGGCGGATAAGTCCTAGTACATCCGTGCTGGGGCTCAGCACAGCTGTGAGAGACCACAGAGCTGAGTGTCTCAAGCAGAAAGGAACTGGTCATAAACGAAATGAATCAATGCAGGTTACTAAGCAGTGTCAAGTAGCATGTTTTATGACAACAACTACAACTCCCTGCCTGCCACTAGGAGAAAAGACGCTGGGGGCAGACCACATGTCAGCAGTGGGTGTCGCTTAGTAATGTATTGTGGGTCATTGTTATTTTCTTCTTTTTGTTTACTTGTATTTCCTAAATTTTTCTACAATGAACTTGTATTAATAAGAAAAAACCATAAAATTTACTGTTTTTAAAAAGCTGCTCTAAGTAATCAGACAGTCAAAAGAGCATGAACCAGCTCTCCAGGAGGCTCTTTGGTCTGGGGCCGAGGGGATGAGGATGGGTCCTGAAGACGTCTGAGTCCCTTGTTACAGGAGGGTGTTCATTGTGTCCTCCTCACAGCTGGGAGAACAGCTGAAGCAGCTGGTGCCTGCGAGCGGCCTCACAGTCATGGATCTGGAAGCTGAGGGCACGTGTTTGCGGTTCAGCCCTTTGATGACCGCAGCAGGTAACCAGGCTCGGTGGACATCCCTTGCTTTTGTTCTGGGGCTGCTGGGTAGATTAGCTTGCCCTTATGATACTCCATTCTCCTAGAGTTATTAGCAGCTCTTTTTGGAGGGGCATTTTCTTTTCTTTTGGGCTAAATTTAGGTAGATTAGCATTCCCATGTAACTTACCAGAATCAGAATGAGAATTCAGAAGTCACCTGAATTGGCCGGGCATGGTGGCTCACACCTGTAATCCCAGCACTTTGGGAGGCCAAGGCAGGCAGATCATCTGAGGTCAGGAGTTCGAGACCAGCCTGGCCAACATAGTGAAACCCCGCCCCTACTAAAAATACAAAAAATTAGCCGGGCATGGTGGTACACACCTGCAGTCCCAGCTACTTGGGAGGCTGAGGCAGGAGAATCACTTGAACCTGGGAGGCCGAGGTTGCAGTGAGCTGAGATTACACCACTGCACTCCAGCCTTGGGGACAGAGGAGACTCCATCTCAAAAAAAAAAAAAAAAAAAAAAAAGTCATCACCTGAATTCCTTTTTTGTTGTTGTTGAGACAGGGTCTTGCTCTGTCACCCAGGCTGGAGTGCAGTGGTGCGATCATGGCTCACTGCAGCCTTGACCTCCTGGGCTCAAGTGATCTTCCCACCTCAGCCCCCGAGGAGTTGGGACCACAGGCATGAGCCACCACACTGGATTAATTTTTGCATTTTTTGTAGAAATGGGGTTTTGCCACGTTGGCCAGGCTGGAATTCCTATATTTTGATGTCTTGTGACTCTCGGTTTTCCACTACAAGGGTTCTCACTCCCCACTGCACATTAGAGTCATCCGGGAGCTTTACACACAACCAGTGGCCGCCCAGAGGCGGGCGGATCAAGAGGTCAGGAGATCCAGACCATCCTGGCTAACACGGTGAAATCCCGTCTCTACTGAAAATACAAAAAATTAGCCGGGCGTGGTGGCGGGCACCTGTAGTCCCAGCTACTCAGGAGGCTGAGGCAGGAGAGTGGCCTGAACCCAGGAGGTGGAGCTTGAAGTGAGCCAAGATCGCCCCACTGCACTCCACCCTGGCTGACAGAGGGAGACTCTTTCTCAAAAAAAGAAAAGAAAAGAAAAGAAATGCTAAGCAAAGTGTTCCGGTGTGTTTTGCCTGTTTTGGTAGTGGAAGGGAAGAAAATCAGTCTTTTTCTTTCTTCTCCCCCTTAAAACTATTTAAGAAGGGAACTGGGCACGGTGGCTCATGCCTGTAATCCCAACACTTTGGGAGGTCAAGGCGGGAGGATCACTTAGGTCCAGGAATTCAAGACCAGCCTGGGCCACATAGTAAGACCTCATCTCTACCAAAAAATAAAACATTAGGGCTGGGTGCGGTGGCTTACACCTGTAATCCCAGCACTGTGGCAGGCTGAGGGAGCTGGATCACCTGAGGTCAGGAGTTTAAGACCAGTCTGGCCAACATGGCAAAACCCTGTCTCTACTAAATATACAAAAATTAGCCGGGCATGGTGGTACGCACCTGTAATCCCAGCTACTCCGGAGGCTGAGGCAGGAGAATTGCTTGAACCGGGTAGGTAGAGGTTGCAGTGAGCCAAAATGGTGCCACTGCACTCCAGCTTGGGGGACAGAGCGAGACTCTGTCTCAAAATAAATAAATATTATTTTTAAAAAAAGATCCCCTGGGCATGCAATAAGTAATACCATACTACTTAGGCAAATAAAGCACAATTCTATCATTTGGGAATCTTAAGATCGGTTCTACCACTTTGTGGATCTTCAGACTCAATCTCTATTTTAGAGATACTAACATTGATTGATCCTACTATGTGCCAGGCACTGTCTTTCACAACTTCACATATATGATCTCATTCAATCCTCATTTAATTTTGGCAGAGAAAAGTTGAGCTCCTTACCCAGGATCGTATAGCTAGGAAATAAAGACCAAAGCACATGCCTCACTCTTCTTGTTATTAGAAAAGATTTCCTTCTGTAAACCTCAGGGACTTTACAAGGGAAATATTGGATTACTGTAATATGACTCATCAGCCCAATTTATTTATTTATTTATTTTTATTACACTTTAAGTTCTAGGGTACATGTGCACAACGTGCAGGTTTGTTACATATGTATACATGTGCCACGTTGGTGTGCTGCACCCATTAACTCGTCATTTACATCAGGTATATCTCCTAATGCTATCCCTCCCCGCTTCCCCCACCCCATGACAGGCCCCAGTGTGTGATGTTCCCCGCCCTGTGTCCAAGTGTTCTCATTGTTCAATTCCCACCTATGAGTGAGAACATGCGGTGTTTGATTTTCTGTCCTGGCGATAGTTTGCTCAGAATGATGGTTTCCAGCTTCATCTATGTTCCTACAAAGGACATGAACTCATCCGTTTTTATGGCTGCATAGTATTCCATGGTGTATAATTGCCACGTTTTCTTAACCCAGTCTATCATTGATGGACATTTGGGTTGGTTCCAAGTCTTTGCTATTGTGAATAGTGCCGCAATAAACATATGTGTGCATGTGTCTTTATAGCGGCATGATTTCTAATCCTTTGGGCATATACCCAGCAATAGGATGGCTGGGTCAAATGGTATTTCTAGTTCTAGATCCTTGAGGAATCGCCATACTGACTTCCACAATGGTTGAACTAGTTTACAGTCCCACCAACAGTGTAAAAGTGTTCCTATTTCTCCACATCCTCTCCAGCACCTGTTGTTTCCTGACTTTTTAATGATTGCCATTCTAACTGGCATGAGATGGTATCTCATTGTGGTTTTGATTTGCATTTCTCTGATGGCCAGTGATGATGAGCATTTTTTTCATGTGTCTGTTGGCTGCATAAATGTCTTCTTTTGAGAAGTGTCTGTTCATATCCTTTGCCCACTTTTTGATGGGGTGGTTTGATTTTTTTCTTGTAAATTTGTTTAAGTTATTTGTAGATTCTGGATATTAGCCCTTTGTCAGATGGGTAGATTATAAAAGTTTTCTCCCATTCTGTATGTTGCCTGTTCACTCTGATGGTAGTTTCTTTTGCTATGCAGAAGCTCTTTAGTTTAATCAGATCCCATTTGTCAGTTTGGGCTTTTGTTGCCATTGCTTTTGGTGTTTTAGACATGAAGTCCTTGCCCATGCCTATGTCCTGAGTGGTATTGCCTAGGTTTTCTTGTAGGGTTTTTATGGTTTTAGGTCTAACGTTTAAGTCTTTAATCCATCTTGAATTGATTTTTGTATAAGGTGTAAGGAAGGGATCCAGTTTCAGCTTTCTACATATGGCTAGCCAGTTTTCCCAGCACCATTTATTAAATAGGAAATCCTTTCCCCATTTCTTGTTTTTGTCAGGTTCGTCAAAGATCAGATAGTTGTAGATGTGTGGTATTATTTCTGAGGGCTCTGTTCTGTTCCATTGGTCTATATGTCTGTTTTGGTACCAGTACCATGCTGTTTTGGTTACTGTAGCCTTGTAGTATAGTTTGAAGTCAGGTAGCATGATGCCTCCAGCTTTGTTCTTTGGGCTTAGGATTGTCTTGGCAATGCGGGCTCTTTTTTGGTTGCATATGAACATTAAAGTAGTCTTTTGCAACTCTTATCAGCCCAGTTTAATATTACCTATTCATTATAATGTAATGCTGCTCGCACAACTGAGAAAACACTGTTGCTTTACCCCCTCCAGCTCTGTAGCAGCCACGCACAAATCATAGAACTATAAACATATGCTAATTACACAATGTATGTGGGCAATCAATATTAAGAAAAATTTTTACTGCCCAATATTTCTGTGGTTGAAAATGTAGAGTCTAATTCTGATCCGCAGTAACATCTAGGTTAATGTTGATTCAGAAGGAAAACGTTTGTTGTTGCCATGAGAAGAGGCACTGAAACGCTGAATCACCACCACAAATGTTATCACTATTAATATAAGGAGATACATAGCAAGATCGAGTTAGACCATCTCGGACCACCAGGTTTACAATTCCACCTGCAGATACATGCAAGAAGTATTGTCACAATACTTATGTCACGTTATTCCATTGAGGTCATCACCAACTAAGCTTATCATTAATGTGTGGTCAATTTGGTCAATGTCACCAGCGTAGCATACTGACAAAAACAAGGGTTGCAAACTCAGATGCCTATAAGGCAGAATGTAAGACGGTAGGAAGCAAAGTCTATAGGGAACTATATAATAGAGGCTGCAGATTAATGGCAGATTCTAAAGCACAGCAGTCCCCCACATTTTTGGCACCAGGGACCGGCTTTGCGGAAGACAGTTTTTCCACAGGCGGCAAGGGATGGGGCGCAGGATGGTAATGGTCTTGGGATGAAACTGTTCCACCACAAATCATCAGGAATTAGATTCTCATAAGGAATATGCAACCTGGATCCCTCGTGTGTGCAGTTCACAACAGGGTTCATGCTCCTGTAAGAATCTAATGATGCTGCTGATCTGACAGGAGGCAGAGCTCAGGCAGCAATGCAAGCAATGGGGAGCAGCCAGAAATACAGACGAAGCTTCAATTGTTACCCACCATTCACCTCCTGCTCTGTGGCCCAGTTCCTAACAGGCCACAGACCAGTACAGGTCCATGGCCCAGGGATTAGGGACCCCTGCTGTGGCACATTGCTTAATAGAGGACTGTAGCAGCCCTGACCTTTCCTTTTTTTTTTTTTTTTTTTTTGAGATGCCAGAAACCCAGAATTTTTTTTTTTTTTTTTAAGACAAGGTCTGGCTCTGTTGCCCAGGTTGGAGTGTAGGAGTGCGATCTCAGCTCACTGTAACCTCAACCTCCCAGGCTCAAGCAATCCTCTCACTTCAGCCTCCCAAGTTGCTGAGATTACAGGCACACTCCACTACACCCAGCTAATTTTTTTGTATTATTTGTAGACATGCGGTTTCGCCATGTTGCCCAGACTAGTCTGGAATTCCTGAGCTCAAGCTGTCTGCCCATCTCAGCCTCCCAAAGTGCTGGGATTGCAGGAGTGCACCACCACACCTGGCCTGAAACCCAGATTTTATTTATTTATTTATTCATTTTTTGAGATGGAGTCTTGCTCTATTGCCTAAGCTTGAGTGCAGTGGCGCGATCTTGGCTCACTGCAACCTCCACCTCCCTGGTTCAAGCAATTCTCCTGCCTCAGCCTCCCGAGTAGCTGGGATTAGAGGCACATGCCACCATGCCTGGTTAATTTTTGTATTTTTAGTAGAGACAGAGTTTCATCATGTTGGCCAGGCTGGTCTCGAACTCCTGACCTCAGGTGATCCACCCACCTTAGCCTCCCAAAGTGCTGGGATTACAGAAGTGCAACACCACACCCAGCCTGAAACCCAGATTTTTAATATGAAATCAAAGTCTTCAAACCTTGTAGGTGTCATAAAAAGCACGCTGAGGACCACTAGTTTGCAACTGCCAATCTAAAATATCATAGACATTGTATCACTTTAACCACGAAAAAAAAGTATGTGAGGCAGAAAATGGAAGCAACCATGCCTAATTTATTGTTGAATACTTCTTCCATATACCAAGAACTTCCTTTGCACTAGCATCTGAAACTATATTCAGAATGACATTGGTTTTCATAAAAGTGTTGATCCTCACACCTCTTTATAGTCTTGCACCTAGCACAGCAGAGTGAAACACTTTAAATAGCACTTGTTCCTTGAGTATATATGGAAGAAAGTGAAGTATTGGTAAGTGTTCAGCTGATATGAGCAGCATCTCAGGAGTCTGCAATTCTTGAATTACCAGGGAGTATTTTTACCATTTTCCCCCAGTGAAAGGCCTATTTTGAGAGACTTACCCTCCAAAATGAATGTATTAAGTCATATTACTTTTTTTTGTTTTGAGACAGGGCCTTGCTCTGTTGCCCAGGCTGGAGTGCAGTGGCATGATAGTTACAGGAAAGGGGTCCCAATCCAGACCCCAAGAGAGGGTTCTTGGATCTTGTGCAAGAAAGAATTCAGGGTGATCCCGCAGTGTGAAGTGAAAGCAAGTTTATTAAAAAAGTAAAGGAGGAGGGGCACGGTGGCTTACACCTGTAATCCCAGCACTTTGGGAGGCTGAGACAGGTGGATCAGGAGGTCAGGAGATCAAGACCATCCTGGTTAACACGGTGAAACCCCGTGTCTACTAAAAATACAAAAAGATTAGCCAGGTGTGGTGGCGGGCACCTGTAGTCCCAGCTACTCTGGAGGCTGAGGCAGGAGAATGGTGTGAACCCGGGAGGTGAAGCTTGCAGTAAGCCGAGATCACGCCACTGCATTCCAGCCTGGGTGACAGAGGGAGACTCCATCTCAAAAAAAAAAAAAGAAAAAGTAAAGGAATAAAAGAATGGTTACTCCACAGACAGAGCAGCCAGGAGGGCTGCTGGTTGCCCATTTTTATGGTTATTTCTTGATGATATGCTAAACAAGGGGTGGATTTTTCATGCCTCCTCTTTTTAGACCATATAGGGTAACTTGTTGATGTTGCCATGGCATTTGTAAACTGTCATGGTGCTGGTAGGAGTGTAGCAGTGAGGATGACGGGAGGTCACTCTTGTCACTATTTTGGTTTTGGTGGGTTTTGGCCAGCTCCTTCACTGCAACCTGTTTTATCAGCAAGGTCTTTATGACTGGTATTTTGTGCTGACCTTCTATGTCATCCTGTGACTTAGAATGCCTTAACCATCAGGGAATGCAGCCCAGTAGTTTCAGCCTCATTTTTCCCAGCTCCTATTTAAGATGGAGTTGCTCTGGTTCACATGCCTCTGACATGATCACTGCTCACTGCGGCCTCCACCTCCTGGGTTCAAGAGATCCTCCTGCCTCACCCTCCCAAGGTGCTGGGACTACAGGTGTGTGCCACCACGCTCAGCTAATTTTTGTATTTTTTGTAGAGATGGTGTTTTTCCATGTTGCCCAGGCTGATCTCAAACTCCTGGGCTCAAGCAATGCTTCTGTCTCAGCCTCCCAAAGTACTGGGATTACAGGCATGTCCCACCATGCCCAGACTAATATTTACTTTTAATCAGAGTAAGATATGGTTACTACTTGAGTTACTATGGCTCCAGCTGAAAGCCTATGCAGTCATATCATGGGTAAACATTTGCTTTATGCTAAAAATATGGTGGACCTGGCATTACAGCTATTACAAATCTCCTAAGGTGTCTCGGGTAGTATATTAGTTACTTTTCATACTGCTATGAAGAAATACTTGAGACTGGGTAATTTATAAAGAAAAAGAGGTTTAATGTACTCACAGTTCCACAAGGCTGGGGAGGCCTCAGAATCATGGTGGAAGGCAAAGAAGGAGCAAAGGTACGTCTTACATGGCAGCAGGCAAGAGAGCACGTGCAGGGAAACTGCCCTTTATTAAACCACCAGATTTAGTGAAATGTATTCACTATCATGAGAACAGTATGGGAAAAACCTGCCCCCATGATTCGATTACCTCCTACCGGGTCCCTCCCACGACACATGGGGATGATGGGAGCTACAATTCAAGATGAAATTTGGGTGGGGGCGCAGCCAAACCATATCAGGTAGCAACTACCTAGGGTTGGTTTTGCAGGTGGTAAAGCCATTTACCAAGATAGTTGTAGGTAAAGAAGGGCAGATTTATTAGAGAAATTATGAAAATATGTTGCAATGGGCAGCTCAGCAGAGAAGGGGCTACCTGCAAAGAGGCAAGGGCTGGAGGAAAGTTTTATAGGGTCCTGCTGAAGGGTGCTACGTGTGGAATGAGGTCATTGTGCCCGCAGGTTGTTTGTGATTAGCTGTCTCTAACAATTGTTCATACAATAATTGTTCATTATTCTCCTCAACTTGGGGCTCTCCCCAACCTGGGGACCCTTCCTTATTGTTGCTTACTTAGCAGGACTCCACATAAGGGTGTGGAAACTTCATTCACTCATATCTTCAACACAAATTGTAGGTAGCCTGTTTTTTAAAAAATTTATTCAACAAATATTTAGTCCAAGCCACTATTACTTATTACCTTCTCAACTTCTGTATGGACCTTTAACTATCTCTGACACTATTCACTATTCTTCCACATTCTCTATTATTTATACCTATGGTAAAATTTGCCAGTTTGACCATGCAACTAATACTGACGGGGAATATATAGAGTCTAGAAGAAAATAGACCGGTCCTTAAAGGCTGCCCTGCCAACAAAACCGTAATGCAGCAACAAACATCACAACTATGCCAAATAATCAATCCTACAATGTCCAAAATTTTACTTTAAAACTGGAATTTCCAGACTTCCTTTCCGCATTAACCAGTTTAACTAGACAGTAATGAAATATCCCTCCTACTTTATGCTGTGATAGTTTATGTATTTATTTATTTATTTATTTATTTGAGACAGAGTTTCGCTCTTGTTGCCCAGGCTGGAGTGCAATGGCGCGATCTCAGCTCACCACAACCTCCACCTCCCAGGTTCAAGCGATTCTCCTGCCTCAGCCTCCCGAGTAGCTGGGATTACAGGCACGTACCACCACGCCCAGCTAATTTTGTATTTTTAGTAGAGATGGGGGTTTCTCCATGTTGGTCAGGCTGGTCTAGAACTCCTGACCTCAGGTGATACCCCCTGACTCAGCCTCCGAATGTGCTGGGATTACAGGCATGAGCCACCGTGCCTGGCCAGAAAATTTTAAACACACACAAACTCTCGAGTGGCCTAATTCCCTCTCACCAAACCAGTCACAATACAGACAAAAGAGAATAACTTATATTAGTTTTTGTACAAACAAAAAAGACTGATAAATTGTGAATGATGCATGATTTTTAATTACAAGTAAACTGGGCAAATGCTTCTGCATTATTTAAAGCTAAAAGGTGATCAGTGGAAACTTTCCTCTGTTAGGACTCTAATACTTTTTAATCGGCTCACTACAACGTATGCCTCCCAGGTTCAAGCGATTCTCCTGTCTCAGCCACCTGAGTAGCCGAGACCACAGGCAACGCACTACCGTGTCCGGCTAATTTTGTATTTTTAATAGAGACACGGTTTCACCGTGTTGGCCATGCTGGTCTTAAACTCCTGACCTCAACCAATCCTCCTGCCTTGGCCTCCCAAAGTTCTGGGATTACAAGCGTGAGCCACCACGCCCAGCCTTATTATAATTGTTACTATTTAAATCTCTTTTTCTCTCTCCTTCAAGAGAAACCTCATCTCATTCAGTGGCATCCATTTATTTACTCATCTTCTGCCTCTTGGGCTCGAGAGATCCTCCTGCATGAGTCTCCCAAGTAGCTGGGACTACAGGCTCACACCACCATGCTTGGCTAATTTTCGTAGGTTTTGGAGAGACAGGCTCTTGCCATGTTGCCTAGGCTGGTCTCAAACTCCTGGGCTCAGATGATCCACCTGCCTTCGCCTCCCAAAGCACTGGGATTATAGACATGAGCCACCACGCCCAGCCCCAAGTACTTTTACACAAAATGCAAACACTATTTTTCTATCATAAAAGTGATACCACAGCTTCTGTAAAGTTTTGCCAGGTAGTATTCATAATTACCTTGGGTAAACTTTTTGATGTTAAAATGTATCTTCTTATTACGAGTTTTTCCATTGTATTAACTGCTTTTACAACAACACAAATAACAAGTTATTTTACAAACCATTTAGAAATTTCTGTACTATGGTCCCAATAATGTAAAATATATTAATGCCTATTACATTCAGATAAATTATACACTTGGAAACCACATACTTATGACTTACAGAAACTTACATAAACAAATTGTAGAAATTATATGCTCAATTTTTAGGTATATAGTCTTAAGCTCAAATATACATTCTCAAGATAAATTAACAGTTCAGGGCTTCACAACTTGAAATCTGTGGAAGATGACATTGGAGACAACAGAACTCTGGTGGAATTCTTAGATGGAATTTGCTGAAACTTTTTTTTTTTTTATCTTTTTGAGACGGAGTGTCGCTCTGTTGCCCAGGCTGGAGTGCAGTGGCACAATCTCAGCTCACTGCAAGCTCCACTTCCTGGGTTCACGCCATTCTTCTGCCTCAGCCTCCCGAGTAGCTGGAACTACAGGCGCCCACCACCACGCCTGGCTAATTTTTTGTATTTTTAGTAGAGATGGGGTTTTACCATGTTAGCCAGGATGGTCTCGATCTCCTGACCTTGTGATCCGCCCGCCTTGGCCTCCCAAAGTGAAACTTTTCTTTAAAATAGAGATGGGATCTTGCTGTACTGCCCAGGCTGGTCTCAAACTCCTTGCCTTAAGCAATCCTCCCACCTCAGCCTCCCAAAGTGCTGGGATTACAAGCGTGAACCATTACACCCAAGTGAAACTTCTTGAGATAGTTACATAATTTTTAAATCTGCTGGTGTAGAAGTTAATAAAGTGTAGAACTGAATAAATATTAAATATTAGATCAAGTTTCTCATGTTCACCTTAAAGTATAAAGATTTATCTTAAAGCACTGATTTTCACAAAATAACATCAGTGTGAAATTGGAAAAGAAGCCAAATATTTTATTTCATGTATCTGGGAAATGAGGTGCTTTAGTCAACTGAATCTGCCCAAAACTAAAAAGCATTAATTAAAAAGTACTTAACTCAGAAATCATAAAAATAGGAGACATCAATAAAATACATTCTACACAGAATACGCCAATCATACACTACTCTTTTTTGATAATAAAAAACGTACTTACTGAGCCAGTTGTGGTGGCTCACGCCTATAATCCCAGCACCTTGGAAGGCCAATGAGAGTGGATCAGTTGAGGCCAGGATATGACACCAGCCTGGCCAACATGATGAAACGCCGTCTCTACTAAAAATACAAAAATGAGCCGGGCACGGTGGGACTCACCTGTAATCCCAGGTACTCCGAAGGATGAGGCAGGATAATTGTTTGAACTCAGGAGGTGGAGGTTGCAGTGAGCCGAAATCATGCCACTGCACTCCAGTCTGGGTGACAGAGTGAGTCTCTGTCTCAAAAAAAAAAAAAAAAAAAAAAAAGTCAGTTGCAGTGGCTCACACCTATGATCCCAGCACTTTGAGAGGCCGAGGCAGGCGGATTACAAGGTCAGTAGATCGAGACCATCCTGGCCAACATGGTGAAACCTCCTATCTACTGAAAATGCAAAAATTAAGCCGGGCGCGGTGGCTCACATCTGTAATCCCAGCACTTTGGGAGGCTGAGGCGGGCAGATCACGAGGTCAGGAGATTGAGACCATCCTGGCTAACACAGTGAAACCCCGTCTCTACTAAAAATACAAAAACTTAGCTGGGCGTGGTGGCAGGCGCCTATAGTCCCAGCTACTTGGGAGGCTGAGGCAGGAGAATGGCGTGAACCCAGGAGGCAGAGCTTGCAGAGAGCCAAGATCCCACCACTGCACTCCAGCTTAGGCGACAGAGCCAGACTGTGTCTCAAAAACAGGAAAGAAAACAAAAGAAAATTTGGACTATTGCCAATTACAAATAGTTTTAGAGAAGAAATCAAAACAGTAACTGTGGATGATGGAAACAATAGTTATGATAAAAGTCTGATGAAACTTCCCAGTTCACAAGGAAATTTAATTACTTATCTGCAGCATTTTAAGACAGTAATCAGAATCATAACTGACAGCATCACATCAGGACCATCAGACTTTTATAAATTTCATATAATCTTCAGAAATAATAACTTTTTTTTTTAGATAGATTCTACCTCTGTCACCCAGGTGGGAGTGCAGTGGCATGATCTCGACTCACTGCATCCTCCACCTCCTGTGTTCAAGCAATTCTCCTGTCTCAGCCTCCCGAGTAGCTGAGACTACAGGCGTGTGCCACCAGGCATGGCGAATTTTTGTATTTTTAGTGGAGACAGGGTTTCACCCTATTAGTCAGGCTGGTCTCGAACTCCCAACCTCAGGTGATCCACCTGCCTTTGTCTCCCAAAGTGCTGGGATTACAGGCATGAGTGACGGTGCCCAGCCATTCATAACATGTTTATACAAATATAACTTTAACAAATATTTAGCATAACTATCAAAATTACAAATCATAACATATTAAATTTGTATAAATGTATGTGATTTTTGGAACGTGTATATCAACAACATACCCATAAATATAACTGAGATGAGATCTAATGTCACCTCACTTGACAGTGCCCTCCCATGCAGTATCACCACATTTGACAATGCCCGCCCATAAAATCTACCAAATAAATCGAATCACTTAATACCGCTACAAGATGAGAGATACATTCTTTAGACTCCCCAAGGGACGCAGCTGAAAAATCCCAAAGTTAATTTTAAGCCAAAAAGACCTGATTTAGGATTTTGACACTGGAGAAACCCATCAAAGATGTCAAGTTTGAAAACACTTGATCAAAACAGAATCACAGGTCACTATTAAAAGGGTATTCATTTAACCAGAGACTTCCAAAGCAATACAGAAACTTACATGGATATAAAAACCTTAACCCTTTTAAAGGTCAGATTTGCTAAGTGATCAAAAGGGGTACTTGAATTGAGTCGACACAGGAAGAGTGTGTACAGGGTTATGAGTGTAGGCAAATGGTTACTTTGGTCATATCTCCATTTGCCACCTGATTACACATGAGAATGGCATCTTTACTCATCAGAAAGCCAGTATTATGGGAGGTGTAGGAGGCATTCTTGGACTTGAGACGAGAACATTGTTGTGTAGAAATTTCATTGACTGTGTTAAAATTATTCTCCATGGGCTGGAGAACACATAACTTGGTGTTTAGAATGAGACGGGCATGGATTGGATGCAAGGTCTCCACACTTACTAGCTGTGTGACATTGGACAGAGTGCTTCATCATTCTGAGACTCAGTTTTTAAAGGAAAAACAACTAACTACCTTGCAAGCTTGCTAGCAGGTTTAAGTGTAATAATGTGTGGGAATGACTGCACCGTGACTAACACGTAGTGACAGCTTAATTAATGTTAACCCTTATCATTATCATATAAGAAAGTGAGTTACATAAGAGAGGAATCCTGTCAGTTCGTTCTCTGCTGTGTCCCCAAGACCATGAATCATGGCTGGCACGTAGTAGGCATTTAATAATATTTGTTCAACAAGTATTTGGCAGTCTTGGAGGGCAGAAAAGGAGGTGGGGAAGATTTTTAAATAACATTTTTTAAAAAGTCACATTGTCCTACAATACCGATTTTTCTTGCATATTTAGGAAATTGAGGGTTTTTTCCTAAAACATGCGGACATATGGGAAATAGGATGCAACATTTGCACTAATGTTTCAGACACAGTTAGAGGTTTCCAAGAGATTTTGCGCTGGGGAGGCTGCTTGCTACAAGCTCCCAAAGCTCTGGGAGGACATAGTATTCATTCCTCCCTCAGCAGAAGCGGTGAGGCAAGAAGCTCTGGGGAGCACCCAGCCTTGGACTTTTAGCATAGTGTGTCAGGTCTTCATAGTTTGGGCCCGGGGCACAGAGAAGTCACAGCTCTCCAGCATCCTGTGACCTTTACCCTCTTTGCCAAGGGAAAATGTGGCCCACCAAAGCAAGAAACTTGAGGGCATGGGTCACCCCAGCCCTGGCATCTGCCCAGAGCCCGAGAAGGAAGGAACAATGATCCTCCAGCTACCTCACGGGGCTGGCACAGGTGACCACTGCCCTGGCATCACCCAGCTGTGTCCGGCAGCCTGAACCCCATCTGTGGGGATGTGAGGAGGAAAATACAAAAGTCCTTAGGTGAACACTGAGAAGGCAGATGCAGCAGAAACCTCCAGGCCGGAACTACCCAGTCTTGGACCTATGGTGGAGATAGAGCATAGCTGGCGATCATGTGTACTTACACTCTAAGGTCACCTGGTTGCACTGTGGCCTCATCTGTGGCTCTGAAAATGAAGATTTGGAAGGAGATCATCACAGCTAATGTTAACAAGCCCCTCCTGTGTGCCAAATCATTCACCCCTCACCACAACCGAATGAGCTAAGGATTCTCATTATATATAGTTTATGGAGAGGGAAGTGCAGACATAAAGAGGTGAATTATCTTACCCAGATCACACAGCTGATAAGTGGTGGAGGCAGAATAGAATCTAAACAGTGTGGCTCCGGAGCCCACATGCATTGATTCGACAAGTGTTTATTGAGCACCTGCCACGGACAAGGCCTTGTGTGATTAAATAGGGTTATAATTAATAATATAAAAGTGAGAAATCACTAATGCTTTTTAGACTTAACATTTTCTTTTTTTGTAGGTTTCAGGCACAGAACTGTATATCCAATAATAGTGAAATGGATGCCACTAATTATGACAGAAATGATGATACATTTAAATGACTTGGATGTTTTGTAGGTATGATCTCGTGAAACCTTGAGAGAAACTGAATGAGGAATGAAACTATTGTTCCTGTTTCACACAGAAGAAAACTGAGGTGAAAAGGGGTAAAGTAATTTTGCATGGCATGAAGTAGAAATTCAAAGTACAGGAATTTGAACTTGGTTCTGTCCTTTTCTGAAGCCCTTGACCACTATAGACTCAAACATCACCTTGTTTTTCCACTCATTCAACACTTTTTTTTTTTAATTGTCTAATAGGTTGGCACTCATGATGAGCCCCTGTTCTCATTCTGCAAATGGTGAAGCTCTCTATCGTCCTGACCCCACAGTTCCTGTCCCATGACCAGGGCCCGCTCACCAAGGAGCTGCAGCAGCACGTAAAGTCAGTGACATGCCCATGCGAGTACCTGAGGAAGGTGAGTGAGTGCAGACAGATGGGGCCTGGTGCCCTTGAGCAGTTCCCAGGTCTCAGCTGCCACACATCTCACAGCGGGTGATGCTGGGGGAAGCTTACGCAGTCACAGTACTGGATTCTTCCTCTTTTTCTTTCCATACAAGTGGCTTAGGGATGGGGTAGAGTAGTTGACTTATTTGGATGAAAACCACTATCTTCTGTCAGAAACTCAAAAGGAATCATTGCTGGCATGGTAACCTAAAGAAAAACAACCAGACAAGTGCCCAACGACACTTAAAAAGGTTATTTATTATCTTGCCAAGTTTAGGCTGGGCATGGTGACTCATGCCTGTAATCCCAGCATTTTGGGAGGCTGAGGCTGGTGGATCACCTGAGGCCAGGACTTCGAGACCAGCCTGACCAATATGGCAAAACCTCGTCCCTACTAAAAATACAAAAATTAGCCGGGCATGGTGGTGTGAGCCTGTAGTCCCAGCTACTCAGGAGGCTGAGACAGGAGAATTGCTTAGATTCAGGAGGTGGAGGTTTTAGTGGGCCGAGATCACGCCATTGCACTCCACACTGTGCGACAGAGCGAGACTCTGTCAAAAAAAAAAAAAAAAAAATTATCCTGCAAAATTTGAAAAGGAAATTCAAATCAACAGCTTCTAAACTACTTTTTAACATGACTTATAATAAGAAATACATTCTATAGTACGTATATATGTTCTATAATTTTGAATAAAAGAATTAACCACATCACATTTATTTTACAACATGTAATACATATTTTTTATTCTCCTTCATTTGTTTTGAATGCTCTGTGCAGTCTACAAAAAGTCCAATAGTAATAATTAAATTAGTCATTAAGTTGAACATTATCTTGTCTTTTAAAATGATAATCTCAAAAATGATCTTTTATTTTTGAGATGTATATAGATACACACACACACACACACACACACACACACACACACACACATTTTGAGACAGAGTTTCACTCTGTCGCCCAGGCTGGAGTGCAATGGCACAATCTTGGCTCACTGCAACCTCCGTCTCCCGGGTTCAAGCGATTCCTCTGCCTCAGCCTCTGAGTAGCTGGGACTACAGGTGTGCGCCATCATGCCCAGCTAACTTTTGTATTCTTAGTAGAGATGGGGTTTCACCATATTGGCCAGGCTCGTGTCAACTCCTGACCTCGTGATCTGCCCACTGCGGCCTCCCAAAGTGCTGGGACTATAGGTGTGAGCCACTGCACCCGGTCCAAGATAAAATTATTTTAACAATATACTATGAAGGGAAAAACACTGGCTATGAAAGAATATGCATAGTTTTACCCTGT
Source organism: Homo sapiens (assembly GCF_000001405.40). Taxonomy (NCBI): domain Eukaryota; kingdom Metazoa; phylum Chordata; class Mammalia; order Primates; family Hominidae; genus Homo; species Homo sapiens. Next base: position 69,994,748 of record NC_000016.10, on the reverse strand, counting down.
TTAAAAATAAAGATTGAAAGAATACATATGCAAATAAGTTTACTTTTATTTTTGGTAATACTTTACTGCATTGTCTGAATATTGACAATCAGTATGCATTATGAAGCTACATGGCTAACATTGTGTACTCACTGTGTGTGCCAGGCCCTGGGTTCAATGCTCTATATGCACTTATATTTCATTTAATTCTCTCTGCAACCTGAGATGGTATAGCCACCTCATTTTACAGAGTTGAAACTGAGGCTCAGAGACTGAAAGTTAAGCCTGAGGTTGCAGTCAATAAGAGGCAGAGCTGGAACTGAAACCTACGTGTGTCTGACCACCAGTTCATGTTCTGACGGCAGGCTAGTCTGCATCACAGAGTGTGGGGTAGATGGTGCATGCCTGCTAGGATGGGCTAGGTATCACTGTAGGTAAGAAACAGCCTCAAACGATGGAAATGTACACCACTGAAGGCTCTTTTCCTGCCCATGCTGCACATCCTCCATGGCTCTCCTGTGCCCTGTGCCCCACATGCCCTCATCCTGCCACGAGAATAAAGGAGCAGCCTCCATATGGGAGCTGTCAGCTGCTCTAAAAGATGAAGGAGAGGGTGGCCAGTCTCAATGGCTCCCAACTCTTTTGCCTCGAGGTGACACGCTTCACTTCCACTCACATCTCCTGGGTCAAAGCAAATCCCATGGGTACATCCACTTTCAAGTGGCCCAGGAGAGAACCTGAAATACTCGGTGGACTCCATTAAGGCCGTCAGATGGTGTCAGCCTGCATGGGAGACTGTGGAGGGGCAGAGGAGGAGAGTGGGGAACTGATGGGAAATGACAGGAGGACTAAGTCACCGCAGATTTGCTTTATCCTCAGCCAGGTGGAGTTTGTCCCAGAGCTGCACAAAATCATCACCAGCATGATGAAACAGAGTAGACTTCAGAAAAAGCAGTTTGGTCAGATGTAATCAGCAGTGAACTCAGAATCAACTGAGTGACATTGAGTCAGTAAATCTCTGACTGCCTCAGTTACCCTATATGATAGTTTTGAGGATGGGAACATTGAGAGAGTTGATTTGGAAGGATATCAAGAGTACAAATTCCAACAGTTTAGTTCCTTTAAGTGAAGTCCAGGCACTGTCTTTCCTGCAAGTCTCCTGTTCCTTTCAGATTGCACAGGTGAGAGTGCTCAGATTAGGGCTGGAGGTTGTAAACTATTGCTCCCACACTGACAGTGCCCCTGTGTCGTGCATGTATTCTGTGCATTTTCCTGTGCTAAACACTCTCCCAAAACATCGTGGGGCCTGATTCTTCCTCTTTGTTCCAATGGCCCTGGGTGACTCAAGTGCCCATTCAATGACCAGGACACAGAGGTCTTAGAGAGATGCTCCATGAGGCCCCAGGTGCGAGCCTGTACCCTGCCGGAGCATGAGGCAAGGGACAGGGCATCGTCTGTGGGGATAGTGGGGGTAGTGGGGGTAGTGGTCAGCCAGACTTGGTGACTCTACTTGCTCACCAGACGATCCTACACCTGCCACCTCCGATGGATCCACTGCCTCTGTGCCTGCCTGTACTGCCGATGCTCCAGTGGATAACTCAGCATCCCAGCCAAGGCCCAATGCCACTGAAGATGGACCTGCCCCCTGGGGACCCAGGAGTCCTACCACTCAGCTGTCCCCAGGAGTGCCCAGACCCTCATTCTTATCCAGGACCTAGGAGCCTTACCCCTGGCCTTCCCTCATCAGCCGTAAATGATGATTTACTGCTGTTACCATCATCACTGCCTTCAGTGACCAAGGGCCTTCCAAGGTGCCAGCTCTGGAACGAAGGATGCCCTTGGGAGGTGATGACACTCAGGTACACGGGTGCTCAACAGATTGCTTCCTCCTATCCTCAGACGGTCTTTGCATGCATGCAGCCGTTGGCTCTCCCATTGTATGGAAGGAAACCAGCCCAGGGTCACACAGCTGGTCAGCAGCAACGCAGCTGGTCTCAAATCTAAGGTGCCTGGCCATGCCTCCATGAGGGGGACCGCCTGCAAGGGAGGTTGATCCTGGCTTTGGGGAGCCTTTCCTGGGCTGCACGAATAACCTCCATTGTTTGAGGCCCCAAACTCTGCTCACATCTTCCTTTCTCTGTCTCTGCTTGGGCTATGATCGCGGTGACTCTAGCAACCCTTCATGGACATTATGGCACTCTCTGCCATTCACTTTTGGTCTAATCTGACTTCAACCCCCACTTAGTTGGTCTCTCCTTTTACAACCAATACAACCGAAATCTAGGGCTTCTTTTTTTTTTTTTTTTTGAGACAGAGTCTCATTCCATTCTGTCACCCAGGCTGGAGTGCAATGGTACGATCTCGGCTCACTGCAACCTCCGCCTCCCGGGTTCAAGGGATTGTCCTGCCTCAGCCTCCTGAGTAGCTGGGATTACAGGCGTGTGCCACCATGCCTGGCTAATTTTTGTATTTTTAGTAGAGACGGGGTTTCACCATGTTGGTCAGGCTGGTCTCGAACCCCTAACCTCGTGATCCGCCTGCCTCAGCCTCCCAAAGTGCTGGGATTACAGGCGTGAGCCACCATGCCCAGCCAAATCTAGGGCTGGAACATGGCTGCAGCATACAAATAGAATTGAATTCCATAGTTTTGTTCACCCCGTTTTTTGTTTGTTTGTTTGTAGTTGTTGCTGTTTTTGAGACAGAGTCTCACTCTGTCTCCTAGGCTGGAGTGCAGTGGTGCAATCTCAGCTCACTGCAAACTCTGCCTCCCAGGTTCAAACTATTCTCCTGCCTCAGCCTCCCAAGTAGGTGGGACTACAGGCGCCCACCACCACACCCACCTAATTTTTGTATTTTATTAGAGACAGGGTTTCACCATATTGGCCAGGCTGGTCTGGAACTCCCGACCTTGTGATCCACCCACCTCGGCCTCCCACAGTGGTGGGATTACAGGCGTGAGCCACCACACCCAGCCCGTTTTGTTTTTGTTTTGCTTGTTTCTTAGGGTTGTTTTTCTATTTATGGTAAAGGCATTGGCTTTCCATTTGTAGCATCAATAGAATATTTCTCATTTACAATAACCTTATGTGATAGTAAATGTAAAGGGATTTAAAGCAGTGGTTTTCAGCCGCCAGAGGCCTGAGTGAGTTTGGGCACACTCTGTGTGATCGGGCAGAAGGCCTGTGGGAAGTTTAGCTGAGGACAGGGCCAGGAAAGGTGATGGACAGTGGGGGTCCGTCCTGGTCACCAGGCCCCTGGGTCCTACCCACCTGCTTGGAGCTCCCCACCCATCACACATGATGCTGCCAAGCCCTCTGGGTATTGTGGGCGAATACCTTAGGAGAGAAGCTGATGAACTTTGTTTCTTGAAATGCACAGATTCCTTGGACGTCCCTGAGAGGTCAGTCATGAAAGTCAACTTGGTTTTCTCCCCCTCATTTGGGTTCAGAATTTAAAGTCCACACACACGGGCAGTAAGATGATATAGATAAGGACATCATCACTCGGTTTCGGATGTTAAGATGTCTAGGTGGGTTAGGGGTGATTTGAGATCACACAACCTTGTGCCACAAAGAGGAATTCCCAGGCCAGAGGGAGACATTTTATTGCCATGTTATGATCTTATCATTGAGTTTAAAGGCAATCTTGTTTCATTTTGGATTCTTTCTTATGTTTATATCTTATAAGGGCACTTTGAATTTCCAAGCAAATAATAATTTTGAATTAGCTTTTAATCATTGACTTCTAGCACAGTTATATGATCAGAAACATGCTGTGTGATTTGATTGCTCTCAAATATATTGAGATTTGCTGGAACAAAATAAGTCAGGTTAATTTTTGCAAATGTACCATGTATGCTTAAAATGAATGTATCTACATTTGTTCCTGAGATACAGGTTGATGGACGGATGGCTACATGGATGTGATGGAGATGGTTTACTATCGGGACCTTCCGCATCCTGCTGATGTTTTGTTGCTTAGGATATGAATGGCTGAGCGGAGGCTGTAAAACCTGGCACTCTGCTTGGGTATGAGGTTCTTCCTGCCATCCTGCCATCATTTGTTTTTTATGTTTTGTCGCCAAAGGTGACCTTGAGGAACCCTGGGAGCTCAGGAAGGAAGGAGCGCCCAGAAGCAGGGACAGGGAGCTGGTTGGGGAGGACCAGAAATCAGGTTTGTGAAGGTTCCAGAGAGGACCTGTCCTTGGGAGGAGCGTGGGGGACTGAGATGGGGGAGGGGTCATTGGAATGATGCGGGCGCTACTTGGCATTGTCCATTGTGAGGCACCACCGGGGTCATCAGGGATTGGTGGAGAGGGAGTATAAAGCCCCAGGGTTGCTAAGGGAGGGCCCAGACCGAAGAAGGTTTGGTGGAAAGGAGAACCTTTGTCTCCTTCTAATTGCTCCTAAGCCTCACGCTCCCTTGCCCTGCGTGTCCTGTTGCTTCCCTGATCTTCTACGTGACCTGTAGCTAAACCTTCCACCAGCGCTTGAGAACTTAATTTGAACTGGATCCTTTCCCAGACCGCTTTCTTCTCCTCCTCCTCCTCCTCCTCCTCCAGGTGCCCAACAGCCCCCTTCTCCTCCTTTCCCTTCCCTTACTTCCCCCCTTCCCCTCCCCTTCCCCTCCCCCTCCCCAACTCAGATCTGGCCCCGGTCCCATCCCCTTCCCTCCCCCCTGCCCTAAGCCACCTCCACCTCTGTCCTGGCTGCCTCAGGGCGCCCTGAAAGGACCAGGACATGCGGGTGCGGTGGCTGCGCTTTTGGCTCCTCTTCTGGCTCCTGCTGGGATTTATCAGCCATCAGCCCACCCCTGTGAGTAGACGCTGGACCCGCGGGGTTTCTTCCTTTTTACTGGGCTGTGTCAGGCGGCATGAAATTACACAGCTCAGGCCTGTAATCCCAGCACTTTAGGGGGCCGAGGTGGGCAGATCACTTGAGTCCAGGAGTTGAAGACTAGCCAGGGCATCATGGCGAAACCCCATCTCTACAAAAAATTCCAAAAAAGATTAGTCGGGCCTGGTGGTGCGTACCTGTTATCACAGTTACTGGAGAGGCTGAGGTGGGAGGATCGCTTGGGCCCAGGAGCTGGACGTTGCAGTGAGCCGAGATGGCCCCGCTGCACTCTTGTCTCTAACAAACAAAATGGACCAAAACAAAGTGAAATGTCATTTGATTTGTGTCATCTGGTTTGATGACTTTTTTTGTTTTTTTTTTTTAGACAGAGTCTCACTCTGTCGCCCAGGCTGGAGTGCAGTGGCAAGATCTCGGCTCACTGCAACCTCCGCTTCCAGGGTTCAAGCAATTGTCCTGCCTCAGCCTCCTGAGTAGCTCAGATTACAACGCCTGGCTAATTTTTGTATTTTTAGTAGAGACGGGGTTTCACCATGTTCGCCAGGATAGTCTCCATCTCTTGACCTCGTGATCCGCCTGCCTCGGCCTCCCAGTGCTGGGATTACAGGCGTGAACCATCGCGCCTGGCCAAAATATATAACCTTAAGTGTAAGTTTACTAACTTTGGAAAGTACATACACCAGCATAAACCGACCCCCTTTCAAGATCTACATTATTTTATTTATTTATTTATTTATTTGAGACAGTTTCTCCCTTGTTGTCCAGGCTGGAGTGCAATGGGGCAATATCAGCTCACCGCAACCGCTGCTTCCCAGGTTCGAGCGATTCTCCTGCCTCAGCCTCCCGAGTGGCTGGGATTACAGACATGTGCCACCACTCCCAGCTAATTTTGTATTTTTAGTAGAGATAGGGTTTCTCCATGTTGGTCAGGCTGGTATTGAACTCCCGACCTCAGATGATCCGCCCGCCTCGGCCTCCCAAAGTGTTGGGATTACAGGCGTGAACCACCGTGCCCAGCCAAGATCTACACTATTATGTCACCCCAGAAAGTGAACTCTCACTCTTCCCAGCCAGTCTCTTTCTTATCATAGGTTAGCTTGCTTATTCTGGAATTTCGCGTATACAGATGCATGCCATGCCATAGGTACTCTTTTGTGTCTGCTTTATTCTGCTCAACACCATGTTTCTGAAATCATTACCATTGTTGTATGGTTCTCTAACTCCATCATTTCCATTTCAGACTCACGAGTTCAACCAGTTGAAGGGCTATCTCTGTTTAATTCACCATCTTGAAAGAAACATTTAAAATTGAGATGTTTTCAAGAATATATAGTTAAATCCTGAGGAATCGATGTAGAAATGTTATCACAAGCTGTCTGAACTTACTCAGAGGAAGTCTTCGTCTTCACTCACATAAGAGTCTAATGGAATTAATATCAACAATCTTAGAGAAATCCCACACTATTCATGCCATTTTCATGATCTCCACCTTGGTAATTTTTTTTTTTTTGAGACAGAGTCTCGCTCTGTCACCCAGGCTGAAGTGCAGTGGTGCGATCTAAGCTCACTGCAACCTCTGCCTCCCGGGTTCAAGTGATTCTTCTGCCTCAGCCTCCCAAGTAGCTGGAACTATAGGTGCGTGCCACCATGCCCTGCTAATTTTTTGTAATTTTAGTAGAGATGGGTTTCACCGTGTTAGCTAGGATGGTCTCAGTCTCCTGATCTCGTGGTCCACCCACCTCGGCTTCCCAAAGTGCTGGGATTGCAGGCGTGAGCCACCACGCCTGGCCCAGCTTGTTAATTTTTAAGCACTAAAATTTGATACTTATTTGTGAATGAAGTAATCTCTTCATTGTATTTTTTTTTTTTTTTACTTATGCTGAGCTTTAAATGACAAAGATTCATATAATCCAAAAGAGAAGTATTATTTAGAGGGATTCTTTTACCATGTGATATATAATAAATGCATCCAATGTTATACATCAATTTAAAAAACAAGTAAATAACTTAAAAGATAACTACTGGCCAGGCGCAGTGGCTCACACCTGTATTCCCAGCACTTTGGGAGGCCGAGGCAGGTGGATCATGAGGTCAGGAGTTGGAGACCAGCCTGGCCAAGATGGTGAAACCCTGTTTCTACTAAAAATACAAAAATTAGCCGAGCGCGGTGGCAGGCGACTGTAATCCCAGTTACTCAGTAGCTGAGGCAGGAGAATCGCTTGAACCCGGGAGGCGGAGGTTGCAGTGAGCTGAAATCATGCCACTGCAATCTAGCCTGGGTGACAGAGCAAGATTTTGTCTCAAAACAAAAAGAAAAGAAAAGATAATTACATTATACTTAGCTTGTCTTACCCATGAGTGACGGGCTGCATGTGGCCCAGGACAGTTTTGAATGCAGTTCAACACAAATTTGTAAACTTTCTTAAAACATTAGGAGATTTTGGCCAGGTACAGTGGCTCATGCCTGTAATCCCAGCACTTTGGGAGGCTGAGGTGGGCAGATTACCTGAGGTCAGGAGTTTGAGACCACCCTGGCCAACATGGCAAAACCCCATCTCCACAAAAAATACAAAAATTTGCTGAGTGCATTGTCAGGCACCTGTACTCCCAGCTACTCAGGAGGCTGAGGCAGGAGAGTCACTTGAACCTGAGAGGCAGAGGTTGCAGTGAGCCGAGAGCGCACCACTGCACTCCAGCCTGGGTGACAGAGTGAGACCCCATCTCAAAAACAACAAACAAAAACAAAAAAATGGCTGGGCACGGTGGCTCACACCTGTAATCCCAGCACTTTGGGAGGCTGAGGCAGGCAGATCGCCTGTCAGGAGTTCAAGGCCAGACTGGCCAACATGGTGAAACCTCATCTCTACTAAAAATACAAAAATTAGTCGAGCCTGGTGGCAGAGACCTGTAATCTCAGCTACTCGGGAGGCTGAGGGAGGAGAATGGCTTGAGCCCAGGAGCTGGAGGTTGCAGTGAGCCGAGATTGCACCACTGCACTCCAGCCTGGGCGACTGAGTGGAGCGGAACTCTGTCTCCAAAAAAAAAAAAAAAAAAAGTTTTTTTTTTTAGATCATCAGCTATTGTTAGTGTTAGTGTATGTTATGTGTGGCTCAAGACAACTTTGCTTCTTTTACTATAGGCAGGGAAGTGAAAAGATTGGATATCCCTGCTTTATACCAAGAAAGACAACACCCCACATTTGCAATGCCTAAAAACACTACCAGCCATCTGAAAAACATGAGACTTCTAACTTCTGTTCTTTTTTGTAGCAGTGGAATCCCACGGTGATATCTGAGGGATGTGGTTACCTTTTGGAGGAGGTTGACGGTTTCTAAGGATGATTCTTTCTGAGTGAAATATTGTCGGTGTCATTGACCTTTTCATTATTTCAACTATTATTATTCCAGGTTATCAATACTCTGGCTGACCATCGTCATCGTGAGACTGACTTTGGTGGAAGTCCTTGGATAATTATCATTATTGTGTTTCTGGGACGTTACAAATTTACCATTCTCTTCTGCACAATTTACCTTTGTGTGAGTATACTAACTTTCTGTAGAGGTATACTTGTAATCACAAATAAGAATAAATTATATAAAACAATTCACGTTTCTGGACTTCATTATGAATATGTGGTTTTACCCAAAAAATCAGGGAAATGATTTATTAGCATAAGAATTATGAAAATATCTGCCATTTACATTATGAAAATTAAATAGGTCGGTGTTTGTTTAATAGAATGTCAACAGAGCTTTTGGTCAAAAATAAGTTTTTTTAACCTTTGTACTATTTATCACAAATGGAGTATGAGGTTTCGTCACTTAAATAGGAAATTCTTTCTAAACTCTTCTGCTTTATAGTTCTATCGTATGGGTGGAAGGAAAGCTTCCAATCTCCTTTCGGAAGATTCACTGCAGAAATGAGCTGACAACAGACAGCTTAACAGGAAAAGAAAAACATAGAACAGGCATAAACATGGGAACCAGCTGAAAAATGAGACTGCTAGAAGGGCCGGATGGTTGATGCTTAAAGAGCACCCTCTTCTGAGGGGAGAGGGAGATAGATGGAGATGTAGGCCATTTAGAGGGGTAGCAAATGATTTTTAGGGGAAATGAAAGAGCCCAAGGAACAAACAATTGGCCTGAGACAAAGTTCCTCTGAGGTCATAGGGACGAGGTGACAAACTGCCGGAAGGTGAAGGGCAGAACTGCACTGCATCTCACGATGCAGAGAAAGCCCCAGAGAATCTCTTAGAACTGCCCTCCAAGAGAATCAATGAAAAGTGTGTCTGGGCAGGGTAATTTTGAATGACATCATTCAAAGTGCATGTTCCCACTTGCAACTGGAGAGAGATCAGTATGTCAAAAGTCTGTACTTGGTAAGAATTTGGCTGCTAAGTTGTGCCATAATTTGTCTTTTGAGTCTTTTTTCCTTTGGGTAAGTTGAGCTCTACATTTTGTCTTGTCATTCATGACAGTAAAAATGTGGTTGTCTGGGGGCTGAACCTCCTTTTGAACAATGATCCAAGATAAAAGTACTAATACCACAATGCTTTTTTATATTCAAGGGAAGAGGAAGTATGTTTCAGTTTTACCACCTAGATAATTATACGTCATTTGGCACTGCCTTTCAAGATATGTAGAAAACAGAAAATATATGAGTTATGAAGATATCTAGGCAAATTTAACATTCTCTATGCCACTTAGTCCTGAACAGAGAATTTTCGGTATAAATTGGAGGAAGCTTTTTTTTTTTTTTTTTTTTCTTACCCCCGAGACAAGTCTCCCTCTGTTGCCCAGGCTGGAGTATAATGGTGTGATCTCGGCTCACTGCAACCTCCACCTCCTGGCTTCAAGCGATTCCCCTGCCTCAGCCTCTCAAGTAGCTGGGATTACAGGTGCCCACCACCATGCCCAGCAAATTTTTGTATTTTTAGTAGAGTCGGGGTTTTACCATGTTGGCCAGGCTAGTCTCAAAACCCGACCTCAAATGATCCACCCGCCTCAGCCTCCCAAAGTGCTGGGATTACAAGCGTGAGCCACCACGTGAGCCAGGGGAAGTTTTTAAATTTACCACTTTTTAACAATTCCATTTAGGAAAGTTCAGCTGAGCTGTTGGACTTGGACAACTTCGCACCTCTCTTCTTTGTCCTTGTCATCTAGTCATCTATACCATTACCTCCTAAGCAGGGACATCATGGGTGCCATGAAGCATTCATGCGTGATGGCATTTCTTTGCTTCTCATTTCTTCATGTGTTTGACATTTCTCCTATCTCCAAACTGGGCCAGCTACCTTTCCTATGAAATCTAGCAGTAGCTGTGGGATAGATGTGGTTGCCCTTTCATCTTTTTAGATTACCCATTGCTTCTCTCGAAATCCTAGTACATGATTTTTTTTTTTATCCTATGTGCAGAAATCAGGAAAAAAAAATTCTACAAAGATTTTGAAAGATATTATTTCAGGCCAGGTGTGGTGGCTCATGTCTGTAATCCCAGCACTTTGGGAGGCTGAGACAGGTGGATCACTTGAGGTCAGGAGTTCAAGACCAGGTGGGCCAACATGGTGAAACCCCATCTCTAATAAAAAGACAAAAATTAGCCAGGCATGGTAGCAGGCACCTGTAATCCCAGCTACTTGGGAGGCCGAGGCACAAGAATCGCTTGAATCTGGGAGGTGGAGGTTGCCATGAGCCAAGGTAGCGCCACTGCACTTCAGCATGGTTGAGAGTGACACTCTGTCTCAAGAAAAAAAAAAGTCATTTCAATGACTACCTCAGGAGATTCATAGGTATCTGACCCACATCTGAGATGGGATTTGCATTGCATTTTAGCTGTGATGAGAACAAATATTTAATATCTTAGAAGATTAAAAGCATACTGTGATAATATGGAAATCTTGGTGGGAATTCAGTCATTAGTGAGAATGTTTTGCGTTAAGTACAAACCAGCCTCAATGAAGCTGATGTGAGGGAAGGGAAAGTGAACTCTGAGTAGAGCAGGGACAGAAGGAAGATGCTCCAGTGTAGATCAGGAAGAAGCAGGGGGTGAAATGTTACAAATTCTAGAACTCAGAGAGCTGAAGGTAATTCCTTCCTTTTCAAGTTGTGAAACATGTTAACCTGTGGTAAAATACTTATGAGATGATAATTACCATCTAACCATGTTGAAGTGTACAGTTGAGTTGTGTGAAATATATTCGTGTCATTTTTTTCTTTTTTTGAGACGGAGTCTCACTCTGTCACCAGGCTGGAGTGCAGTGGTGGGATCTTGGCTCACTGCAACCTCTGCCTCCTGGGTTCAAGCAGTTCTCCTGCCTCAGCCTCCCGAGTAGCTGGGACTACAGGCGTGCATCACCATGCTCAGCTAATTTTTGTATTTTTAGTAGAGACGGGGTTTCACCATGTTGCCCAAAATGGTCTCCATCTCTTGACCTTGTGATTCTCCCGCCTCGGCCTCCCAAAGTGCTGGGATTACAGGCGTGAGCTACCGCACCTGGCCTTTTTTTTTTTTTTTTTTTTTTTTGAGACAGAGTTTCAATCTTGTTGCCCAGGTTGGAGTGCAATGGCACAATCTCAGCTCACCACAACCTTTTCCTGCTGGGTTCAAGTGATTCTCCTGCCTCAGCCTCCCAACTAGCTGGGATTACAGGCATGCACCACCATGCCTGGCTAATTTTGTATTTTTAGCAGAGACAGCGTTTCTCCATGTTGGTGAGGCTGGTCTCAAACTCCTGACCTCAGGTGATCCTCCTGCCTCGGCCTCCCAAAGTGCTGGGATTACAGGAGTGAGCCACCGTGCCAGCCTCATGTCATTCTTTTGTGTGTGTGTGTGTGTGTGTGTGTGTGTGTGTGTGTGAGACAGAGTCTCATTCTGTCGCTCAGGCTGGAGTGCAGTGGTGTGATCTCGGCTCACTGCAACCTCCGCCTCCCAGCTTCAAACGGTTCTCTGCCTCAGCCTCCCGAGTAGCTCGGATTACAGGCGCCCGCTGCCATGCCCAGCTAATTTTTGTATTTTTAGTAGAGACGGGGTTTCACCATCTTGGCCAGGCTGGTCTTGAACTCCTGACCCTGTGATCCACCTGCCTCGGCCTCCCAAATTAATGGGATTATACGCATGAGCCACCGTGCCCAGCCGTCATTCTTATATTATTATTTCCTAGGTGCCTTTCCTGAAGACTATCTTCTGGTCTCGAAATGGACATGATAGATCCAGGGATGTACAGCAGAGAGCTAGGAGGTCCAACCGCCGTAGACAGGAAGGTATGGCTCTGTTGGAGTCCCCATAGTGTGGAAATGAGTTTGCCCTGGAAAGGGAAAGAATAGCTTCTTGCCCTCAGGTTTCTCACCTTCTCCTCTCCTCACTCTCACCCAGGGCTGAGGTCCATTTGTATGCACACAAAGAAAAGAGTTTCTTCCTTTCCAGGAATTAAAATTGGCCTGGAAGACATCTGTACTTTATGGAAACAGGCGGAAACAAAAGTTCAAGCTAAAATCCGTAAGATGAAGGTCACAAAGAAAGTCAACCATCATTACAAAATCAATGGAAAGAGGAAGACCGCCAAAGAACAGTAAGATGTGCCTTGACACAAATACTGTTGTATGAACCATGTGCCAATCAAAGTAGACAACTGTAAAGTCCTTGAGAATATTTTCTACAATATTTGTGGCAAATTCAGTGGGTTCAAAATTGAGTTTGTCCTTTCTGCTTCATTAGTTTAAGCTGTATAATTCCTTTCCCTTCCTACATTCTTGTTTGTAATTTTTTTGGGGGAAGAGGAGTTGCTAGTACTGGCATTGGTTTTCCTTTCTCTCTCTCTTTTTTTTTTTTTTTTTTTTCCTGAGATGGAGCTTTGCTCTTGTTGCCCAGGCTGTAGTGCAATGGCACAATCTCAGCTCACTGCCTTTTGGGTTCAAGCAATTCTCCTGCTTCAGCCTCCCAAGTAGCTGGGATTACAGGTGCCCACCACCATGCCCAGCTAATTTTTGTATTTTTACTAGAGATGGGGTTTCACCATGTTGTCCAGGCTGGTCTCGAACTTCTGACCTCAGGTAATCCACCCGCCTCAGCCTCCCAAAGTGCTGGGATTAGAGGCGTGAGCCACCACACCCAGCCTTTTTTTTTTTTTTTAATTTTGAGATAGAGTCTCGCTCAGTCTCCCAGGCTGGAGTGCTATGGTGGAATCTTGGCTCGCTGCAACCTCTACCTCCCAGTTTGAAGCAATTCTGCCTCAGCTTCCTGAGTAGCTTGGATTACAGGTGTGTGCCACCATATTCGGCCAGTTTTTTTTTTTTTTTTTTGAGACAGAGTCTCTGTCACCCAGGCTAGAGTGCAGTGGCATGATCTTGGCTCACTGCAACCTCCGCCTCCCAGGTTCAAGCGATTCTTATCCCTCAGCCTCTTGAGTAGCTGGGACTACAGGCATATGCCACCATGCCCGGATAATTTTTGTATTTTTAGTAGAGGCGGGGTTTCACCATATTGGCCAAGCTGGTCTAGAACTCCTGACATCATGATCAGCACACCTCGGCCTCCCAATGTGCTGGGATTACAGGTGTGAGCCACTGTGCCCAGCCCAATTTTTGTATTTTTAGTAGAGACAGGGGTTCACCATGTTGGCCAGGCTAGTCTTGAACTCCTGACCTCAGGTGATCTGCCTACCTCATCCTCCCAGTGTGAGCCACCGCACCCAGCCTGGATTGTTGAATTCAATGCTTGGGTCACCTCCAGATTCATTTTCACAGTCTTTCATGTTTTGGTCATATTACATTGTTTTTTGCTGCCATATGACTGATCTCTTTTTGTTAAATGTGAGATACTTGTTAAAAAATATTTAGCAATGAATTGAGGCCTAGTAGCGTGTTATCTTGCTGCAGAAGAGATGGGAGTCTACTTCTGGGGGATGGTCAGGGGTCCTCCATACAGGCTGCAATTAAGGTCATCAGTGCAGGCTCAGTCCCTACAAAGGCCAGGGTATTTCCTGTCCACCTCTATTCTGATGTGTGACTCTTCTGGGTCTCAACCAGAGCCAGTGGACTTCAGTACGGGTCGCTTTCATTGGCAGACCCTCAGTCCACTTGTTTTCCATCTAATCCCACGCATGTGTGCAGAAGCTGCTCTGCTGCTTTGCATCTCAGTAGTTCCTTCTGGAATTCAGCAATGAAATCAGGGAAATGGGTTCCAAATGCAAGGCTGACTTTTGTCCTGGGTTGCCTTCTTCTCCATCTTCACCTCATGTCTGTTTACTGCCATGTTAGCAATTTGATGTATTCAATCATGGGTTTTATATTCTGTTTGGTGTCCCCCATTGTTCTCATCGGAGATCAGAAGCTTCAGATGCACTTATGTCAACTCAAGAGTAGAATGCTTCCTTAGCTTCCCTCCAGAGTCAGGTTTTGTGTTTCTAGTTTCCAAGTGCACAGCAGGAGTAGTGATGTCCTCACTGGCTTCTCATTTGCATTAAACTGTGAGCTTCTTTAGCGTGGGGACAGGACCCTGCTCCCATTGCATTCTCAGCACCTCACCACACACTCCTTGTTGGAGGCCACTCCAGACAGCATGTGCTGAAGGATGCTCTGTGGTCAGAAACAAGTTCATTAACTTTCCCTTTGAAGTGTTTTCGTCCCTGTTTCCTAGCGTTCTGGGAATTTTACACATCCTTCCTATAAAACCAAGTATCAGGTGAGATCCTTAGGATAAGGACCATGAATCAAGTGGTGTGAGGGCAACACAGCAAACTTACCCTTTTTAGGCCATTTCCTTTTTCTGCCCTCAATCTCTGTGAACTGAACCTTGTTAAAGTCAGTCAACACCAGGGTGGATGGTTTGCAGTTGTCACCTATTTTCAGGACATAACACCCTGACTTAGGAGCCATTCCGATCATTTCTAATTCAATAGATGTGCCCGGCATTCAGATTGCCTTTCCTCTCAACCAGGATCTTTCAAGTCGATGACAAGAGTTCCAGTCCTGAATCACGGCAAAGTGCAGTAGTGAACTGCGGGGTTAATGACACCATATTCTGGAAGGATCTCTCTATGGCTGATGGTCTCAGTTCCGGCATCAGCCTCTGACTGAGAATCAGGTCTCACACAGGAGGAGTCAGATGAGGAGCAATCCTCTGCTTCCGATGGAGTTAGTTGTGATGAGTTGGTGAGGTCTGGTTTTTCACACCGAACTAAAATGAACTTTCACTGTGTCAAGCACAAGACTGACCCCAGAGACACACATAGTTGCACCTCGTAGAAGCTTTTAATAGTCTTTATATTTACTAAAGAATAGGACTAACTATGGAACTATGAAGATGAGCTGGAAATGACAGGTGACTTGCCAGCAGGCCAGAGTGTGATTTTTTTTTTCTCCCTCAATGGGAGGTGTCCATTCTCCCTTCGGTTGTGAGAATCAGTTGGTTCATTTATGGGAAGGTTGCAGGGGGCATCTTTGAATCACAGCCTTCAGATGCCAGAAGGGCAGAGAGAATCCCACATGGGCTGGTGGATCATGTGTGTGCATTTCTCTCCCTTCTAACCTGAGGAAACTAAGCATGAAAGAATGTGAGCATGCAGAAAAGGAGAGGCAGGTATCAGAGGCAGAGGAAAATGGGAAATTGGATATGAAAGAAATACACACCTACAAGTGAGTTCAGAAACTGAACCCCACCCTCCTGGGAAACGCCCATTGGAGTGTTGTTTTTAACCTCTGTACAATGTTTAGACCCAGTAAATGCAGAAATAGAAACAAATGGTCAGAAGACATATCGTGAGAGAGAGAGAGAGAGTTCACAAAACAGAAAACAAAGTACCTTAATATTTACCAGTGACCAAAAGATGTGAAGCAGCAAAAGGTCTCCTGACCCCATTGCCAGCTAGACTGTGTAGAAACTCGGTTCATACCAGCCATTCTAGGGGTGGGGTGAGTTGTTGTCATCCTTAGGAAAGTGTGTTGTTGTAGGATCAACCACATCCTTCAAAAGGACTATGCCTGTTTATAAGCCCAGCTGTTTCTGCCCTGTGAAACACGGTAAGGATATTAATACAAAGAGAATACAGCTTTATGATAAAAGATGCTCAGTGAAGGATGAATTAGGGATATACTGAGAATGGGGAAGGAAACTATCATCTCAGAAGTCAGCAGGCAGTAAGCAAGAGGAGGAATCAATATAGCAACAGTTTGGATCAGACTGTACAGTTTTTTTTTGTTTTTCTGAGATGGAGTCTCGCTGTGTCACCCAGGCTGGAGTGCAATGACGTGATCCTGGCTCACTGCAACCTCCGCCTCCCAGGTTCAAGTGATTCCCCTGCCTCAGCCTCCCGAGTAGCTGGGATTACAGGTGCCTGCCACCACGCCCGGCTAATTTTTTGTATTTTTAGTAGAGACGGGGTTTCACCGTATTAGCCAGGATGGTCTCAATCTCCTGACCTCGTGATCCATCTGCCTCGCCCTCCCAGAGTGCTGGGACTACAGGCGTCAGCCACCGCGACCAGCTCAGACTGTACTCTTATAGCCCTCTGAAATACGTTTTCTAGGTAGAGATAGATTGTGTAAGGGTACAGTTATGAGGATAACAGAAACGTGGCAGATTATTTAAAATCATCCTGAAAGTGGTGCTTTATCTGATGAAAGTGATTGTAATCCATAGGAAAATGTTTCAACGTGCGCAAGAGTTGCGGTGGCGGGCAGAGGACTACCACAAATGCAAAGTAAGGAGCTTCCTCCCCGCAGTTGCAGGATAGTTCAGTGCTGATGCAGATGATGCCACCGCCCTTAGACTCTCTCAACATTCAATTTCTCATGTGTTGGCTTTTTCAGATCACCCCCTCTGCAAGAAAGCCTCTTTGCAACTGGGTAAGTTTGTTTGTTTTCCTTGCTTTTGGACAGTCTGCCAGGTCAGGACATGGATACATTTTTCTCCCTACAGCTCTGTGCTCAAGCCCTGCAGAGGGAGATGGCAGAGAGGAAGGCTGCCTACAAGCATCACAGTCCCATCCCTGTTGGTAACCGTGTTGTGCAAAAACACCTTCATCCCCACCCAGTGGGGCCCCTGATCTAATATTCAAAGTGTCAGAGGTTCCATATTTGTAATAGCAAATGGGCCCTGACTGTAAATTAGTGAAGAGTGAATGTAACTTATTACCCACAGGGACAATTCCAAATGAAGGCCTTAAATGATGCTCAGCTAAGCTGGTTCTTGTGTGGCCTCTGTACCTTCAAAAGCTGCCGAGTCCTATGATTACACGTGATGGGACTTGTACACTTGAAGTGAAACAGTTTTAAAACTTGCTTTGTTTAGAATTCCCACCTCATTTTTCCATGGACAAAAGTATTCTTTATGTCCTAGTGCACTTACAATTTGGTATTACCTGGGAGTGAAAAGAAATATTACAGCCATGCCTAACTGACTTCTTGAGGTAAGATTGTTCTGTCAGAAAACCCTCTCCCAGTTCCCCTGCAGCTCTTCAGGAATCCACATCTCTGCAGAGCTCTTTGTTCTCATGGGTGGCACCTCCAGAGTGAAGAAGATCCTTTATCAAGAAGGGAAACAGGGGAAATGAGAGGGTCCTGCAGGCAGAGCTGGAATCAACTTCCACTCTGCCTCTTGCAAGCTGTGTGACCCCGGGCACAATTTCTCCTTCCTCTGGAAACCTCTGTTTTCTTAGATTTGGAGCAGGGTGGTCACACTGACCTTGCAGAGTTCCGAGAATCAGAGACAGAACATAAAAGGCCTGGAAAACATTCTCCAAAAAGAAGCTGCAACATGTGTGGACAATGGGCTTTTCATGCCTCTCTTACTGTCTGTTGACCTGGTGCAAGAAACATGCTCTGGTGATGGCTGTGAGGGAGGAATGAGGATAGACATAGACACTCCTGTGTCTCAAACATGCCTCTTTATTACTCTGTTATGACTCTGTCTTCCCTGGGGCAGGACCCCAGCCTGCCTACATTTGCAGACAGACACAGTGGCATGTGGAGACAACAGTGTGTCCCAATGACTTTTCTTTACTCCCCAGCTGTCGGCAGTACTCAGTGGAAGGGTGATATTATGACACTGATACTGCTATTTTGAAACCTGGAGGATGGAAAGGTGCAAAAATCTATCACCAGCAACAGAAGGTGCAGACCGTGTTGGTGGCGGTAATTTTGTCCATCAAATGAATATGTGTGAAAACATTCCCTTCTTCGGCCCTACAGGTCAGAATGGCGGCAGCGGAGCATCGTCATTCTTCAGGATTGCCCTACTGGCCCTACCTCACAGCTGAAACTTTAAAAAACAGGATGGGCCGCCAGCCACCTCCTCCAACTCAACAACATTCTATAACTGATAACTCCCTGAGCCTCAAGACACCTCCCGAATGTCTTCTTATTCCCCTTCCACCCTCTCCTCTTCCACCCTCCGTGGATGATAATCTCAAGACTCCTCCCTTAGCTACTCAGGAGGCCGAGGCAGAAAAATCACTGAAACCCAAGAGGCAGAGGTTGAGTAAGCTGAGAACAGGTCATTGCACTCAAGCCTGGGCAATAAGAAGAAATCTGTGAGTGGAACAAAAGAAAAAAATCAAAAAACAAAACAAAACCCACACTCCAAAAACAAACTAACAAAGAATAAATAAATAATATAAAAATAAAATAAATACTGCAGTCCTTATGTTATTGCTTTGTTTCAATATCGGTATGATTGCCTGAGGGACCTGAGGTTTTTAATTGTAGGGGTTTTTTTTAGTCTTTAGAAGTGGTTGGTTATGTAAAATATTATTATTATTTTTTGAGACTGGGTTTTGCTCTGTCAGCCAGGCTGGAGTGCAGTGGCTCAATCACAGCTCACTGCATCCTCAACCTCCTGGGCTTCAAGCAATCCTGCCTCAGCCTCCCAAGTAGCTGGGATCACAGATGTGTGCCACCATGCCTGGCCAATGTTAAAAAATCCTTTAACTTTTTTGTAGAGATGCACTCCTGGACTCAAGCGATCCTCCTACTGGTCCCGACCACCAGCCTCTTTCTGATAAACATTTACACTGTTTATTATCTGATGCCATTTCTATCTTCTTCCTTGTCGTCCAGACATCAAAGAATTAGGTTTCTTCAGGGTTTTCTTTTTCAAGTCTTCATTGTTAAAGATCACTCACATTAGGGCCAGACACCACGACTCATGCCTGTAATCCCAGCACTTTGGGAGGCCGAGGCGGGCAGAGCACTTGAGGTGGGGAGTTTGAGACCAGCCCGGCCAACTTGGTGAAACCCCACCTCTACTGAAAAACATACAAAAATTAGCTGGGCGTGATGGTGCATGCCTGTAGTCCCAGCCACTTGGGAGGCTGAGGCATGAGAATCGCTTGAACCCAGGAGGCAGAGGTTGTAGTGAGCCAAGATCACATCAGCACACTCTAGCCTGGGTGACAGAGCGAGACTCTGACTCAAAAAATAAATAAAATAAATATCACTTACATTAGATATACCCAAGGGGTGGTCTATAGAGAGTTGGAAGCAGTGGTTATTGCAACAGGGGCACGGAAGTCATCTGGCTATGCCAGGATGCCCAGGGGATACTCGGGGTGGGTGGCATGGTGGTGCTGGGGACTCACCGCACAGGACGCTCTGATTGACGCACTGCCAGGAGTAGCGCTCTGTCTTGGGGCTGCAGCCGGCCTCCTCAGCTCCAGTGTAACAACAGTCGTGGCCATGGCAGCACCTGCGGATGTCACATGGGCAGGACAGCAGGTGGGTGAAGCTCTCTCCTGGCCCTCCTCTGCTGCCAGGACCATGGGTGACTGAAGACCCCCAGGGAGGCACAGCATCCTCTAAGATTTTTTTTTTTTTTTTTTTTTTTTTTAAGAGACAGACAGGGTCTTTCTCTGTCGCCCAGGCTGGAGTGCACAGGCACAATCATAGCTCACGGCAGCCTTGAACTCCTGGGCTCAAGCGATCCTCCCACTTCAGTGTCCCAAGTAGCTGAGACTACAGGCACACGCCAGCATGCCCGGCTGGTTTTTTAATTTGTATTTCCTTTGAGACAGCGTATCTCTCTGTCGCTCAGGCTGGAGTGCAATGGCTCAATCAATCAGCTCACTTTAGCCTTGAACTCCCGGGCTCAAGTGATACTGCCACCTCAACCTCCCAAGTATGCTACTACAGGAACACAAACTCCTTTTTTAAATTTTTTGTGGATATGGGGTCTCACTATGTTGCCTAGGCTTGTCTCGAACTCCCAGGCTCAAGCAGTCCTCCTACCTCAGCCTCCCCAAATGCTGGGATTACAGGTGGGAGCTACTGTACGCCTGGCCTTATCTAAGCTGTTTCCCTGAAAATGCCCGTCTTGGGTAATGATTCCATTGGCCCCACCATGCCCTGTCCTGCCTTCCTGGCTGTGCCCAAGCTTGGTCCCTGCCTGCCTGCCTGCCTGCCTCACTCTCTCTCTGGGTCTCGAGCTCCTGTGACACGTGACTCCTCTCTCTTCCTGGAGTGATCCAAGCCCTGCCACTTCCTGACTTTGCCCACACTGTACCCTCTGCCTGGGGCAACTTCATGTCTGCCCATTGTCCCTTAGGCCTCAGCCCAGGCACAAGCCCCTGCCTGCGGAGGTCATCCAGGCCTCACCAGGCTACACCCTCTCGTAAAATTGGATTCCCTCCCTTCAGGGCAGGTTTATAATGAAACCCTCCTCAGAGGCCAGCTGCGGTGACACCCATCTGTAATCCCAGCACTTTGGGAGGCTGAGGTGGGAGGATCACTTGAGGCCACGGGTTCGAGACCAGCCTGGGCAACATAAGAGAGACTCTTGTCTCTCTTGTCTCTATAACAAATTTAAAAATTAGCTCCCCAGGCCAGGCTCAGTGGCTCATGCCTGTAATCCCAACACTTTGAGAGGCCGAGGCAGGTGGATCACGAGGTCAGGAGTTCGAGAGCAGCCTGACCAACATGGCGAAACCCTGTCTCTACTAAAAATACAAAATTAGCCAGGCATGCTGGCACGCACCTGTAATCCCAGCTACTCGGGAGGCTGAGGCAGGAGAATCGCTTGAACCCAGGAGGTGGAGGTTGCGGTGAGCCAAGATCACGCCATTGCAGTCCAGCCTGAGCAACAGAGCAAGACTCTGTCTCGAGAAAATAAAAACACACAAAAAATTAACTCGCCATGATGGCACATGCCTATAGTCCTAGCTACTTGGGAGGCTGAGGTGGGAGGATTCCCTTCAGCCCAGGAGTTTGAGGCTGCAGTAAGCCACTATGATTGTGCCACTGCACTCTAACCTGGGCAAAAGCGAGACCCCAGGCCAGAGTGCATGATTTTGGGTCACTGCAACCTCCACCTCCCAGGTTCGAGTGATTCTCCTGCCTCAGCCTCTTGAGTAGCTGGGACTACAGGCATGTGCCACCACGCCTGGGTAATTTTTGTATTTTTAGTAGAGACAGGGTTTAGTAGAGACCATGGTGAAACCCCGTCTCTATTAAACAAATCTCTACTAACCCCATCTCTACAAAAAACAGCTGGGCATGGTAGTGCACACCTGTAATTCCAGCTACTTGGGAGGCTGAGGCACGAGAATCATTTGCATCTTGGAGGCAGAGTTTGCAGTGAGCTGAGATCGCACCACTGCACTCCAGCCGGGATGACAGAGCAAGACCCTGTCTCAAAAAAAAAAGAAAAAGGAACAAACAACAGCAACAACAACAACAAAACCTCTGTGTCAATCACAGCCTTCGAGCTAGGGGAGAGGCGGCCGAATTCTGCCCTCTGCTGACGAGCTATAGCTTTGTGGAGATGGGTGAGTGGCATGCCCTTGTGAGCCTCAGGGCCCCATCTGTAAAATGGGCCTAACTGTCATGCCCGTCTTTAAGAACAGCCTTGGGGGTAAATGAGTGGAAGTCATGGAAAGATCTCAGCCCACAACCTGCCACAGAACAGGCGCTTCTCACACAGTAAGTAGCAGGAGTGCAGAGGCTGCAGGCATGAATCCAGCCAGACTGCCTGGGTTCAAGTCCCAGCTCCCACGTCTTGGTAACTAAGTGGCCTCAGACAAGTTACTTAGTATTTCTTTTTTCTTTTTTTTTTTTTTTTTTTTCCAGACGGAGTTTTGCTCTGTCACCCAGGCTGGAGTGCAGTAGTGTGATCTCGGCTCACTGCAACCTCCGCCTCCTGGGTTCAAGCAATTCTCCTGCCTCAGCTTCCTGAGTAGCTGGAATTACAGGCACCTGCCACCACACCCAGCTAATTTTTGTATTTTTAGTAGAGACAGGGTTTCACCGTGTTAGCCAGGATGGTCTCGATCTCCTGACCTCGTGATCCGCCTACCTCGGCCTCCCGAAATGCTGGGATTACAGGCATGAGCCACTGCACCCGGGCGACCTGTTTCATTCTGCTTTCTTCCCATCTGGCTACTGACCTCCCCTGTCCTGGTGTCATCTGCTGTCATTCATGATGACCCTGCTCATTAGCTGCCCTACCTGTGCTCCATGCACTCAGCTGTGGCGATGCAGGAGGAAGTCCACCTGGGGAGTCCACTCCTGAGCCAGGAGTCCAGAGCAAGCATCTCCAGCCCGCTTCCAGGTGCTTGGCCCCGTGATGGTTCATTCATTTATTCTCCAGACCCCTACTGAGCACCTGCCTCATGCCCAGCCCTGAGCAGACAGCAGTGAGCAGGTTCCCACCCTCACTCTCTGGTGTAGAGCTGTCCTCTCTGGTAGCAAGTGCTGAGAGACGGGCCCAAAACCAACGGTACCTCCATCAGGTGATCTGGCCGCGGGAAGCACAGGGGTGGCATCACCTGACTTCCCAGCCCTCCTTGAAGCTGACTCTTGCCTTTAAACCCATGGAGCTTTCCTTCTCTTTTTCTTGTTCTCTTTCTCTTTCTTTTTCTTTTTTTTTCTTTTTCTTTCTTTCTCTTTTTCTTTTTGTCTTTTTTGTCTTTCAAGAAATTGAGGCCAGGCATGGTGACTCACGCCTGTAATCCTAGCACTTTGGGAGGCCGAGGTGGGTGGATCACCTGAGGTCAGGAGTTCAAGACCAGCCTCACCAACATGGAGAAACTCCATCTCTACTAAAGAAAAAACAACAACAACAAACACAGCTAGCATGGTGGGAGATCACATCATTGCACTCCAGCTTGGATTTCAGAGTGCGACTCCTCAAAAAAAAAAAAAAAAAAAAAAAAGCCAGCCGGGCACAGTGGCTCACGCCTGTAATCTCAGCACTTTGGGAGGCCAAGGTGGGTGGATCACCTGAGGTCAGGAGGTCGAAACCAGCCCGACCAATGTGATGAAACCCCATCTCTACTAAAAATACAAAAACTAGCCAGGCATGGTGGCGTGCACCTGTAGTCCCAGCTACTCAGGAGGCTGAGACAGGAGAATCGCTTGAACAAGGAGGCGGAGGTTGCAGTGAGCTGAGACGGTGCTATTGCACTCCAGCCTGGGCAACACGAGTGAAACTCCATCTCCCAAAAACAAACAAACAAAACAAACAAGCCACGTGATCTGAGACTCAGCCTACAAGTGCTGGCTTTGTCAGTCCCATGTTCTGACCAGGGCCTCATTGACCATTGCATTCCATGCGGGGTGAAGCTAGTAGAGAGCGGCCTTGTGCGAAGGCAGTAAGGCCTGGAGCTGGGTGCCCTGAGTATCTGTGATGTCATCTAACTTCTTGAAACCGTGTATCGGTCATGAGGCAGGAGAGCGAGATCTCATTGCTCTCTCAAGGTGTTCTCCATGCGGCCCTGGACACATCTGTTAACTGTTCTGTAAGACGCGGGTATTAATAGCACCTGCTTTGTGAGATGATTTTGAGGTTTAAATGAGAAGAGGAGGTTGGGCACCGTGGCTCACACCTGTAATCCCAGCGCTTTGGGAGGCCGAGGTGGGTGGATCACCTGAGGTCAGGAATTCAAGACCAGCCTGGCCAATATGATGAAAGCCAGTCTCTACTAAGAATAACTTCTTTGCCCAGTTACCTTCTTTTTTTGCGGGATGGGGGTGGGGAGACAGCTCCTCACTCTGTCACCCAGGTGGGAGTTTAATGACGTGATCACTGCACCCTCGGACTCCTGGGCTCAAGCAATCCTCCTACCTCATTCTTCCAAAGAGCTGGGATTACAGGCACGAGCCACTGTGCCTGGCCCAATGTCTCTATTTTTTATTTATTTATTTATTTATTTTTTGAGCCACAGTTCCGCTCTTGTTGCCCAGGCTAGAGTGCAATGGCGCGATCTCGGCTCACCACAACCTCCGCCTCCCAGGTTTAAGTGATTCTCATGCCTCAGCCTCGCCAATAGCTGGGATTACAGGCATGCGCAACCATGCCTGGCTAATTTTTGTATCTTTAGTAGAGACAGGGTTTCTCCGTGTTGGTCAGGCTGGTCTCGAACTCCCGACCTCAGGTGATCCACCCACCTCGGACTCTCAAAGTGCTGGAATTACAGGTGTGAGCCACCATACCCGGCCTCAGTTTCTTTATTCTTGTCCTTCCATCGACGTGGCCCCTTTTTTTTTTTTTTGAGACTAGTCTTGCTCTGTCACCCAGCGGGGAGTGCAATGGTGAGATCTCAGCTCACTACAACCTCCACCTCCCGGGTTCAAGCGATTCTCCTACCTCAGTCTCCTGAGTAGCTGGAATTACAGGCGTGTGCCACCACACCTGACTAATTTTTTGTATTTTTAGTAGAGAAAGTGTTTCACCGTGTTGGGCAGGCTAATCTCAAACTTCTGACCTCAGGTGATCCACCCGCCTCGGCCTCCTGAAGTGCTGGGATTACAGGCATGAGCCATTTTCTTTCTGCCCAGCTATTTTTTTTGTATTTTTTGGCTAGACGGGGTCTCACCCTGTTGCCCAGGCTGATCTCAAACTCCTGTCCTCAAGCGATCCTCTTGCCTTGGCCTCCCAAAGTGCTGGCATTACAGGCATGAGCCACTGCACCTGGCCTTCGCTTTGAATTAAAGTGGCAGGCAGGAAGAAGCATCATCTCAAAAATTGATGGTGACAGCGGCAGCGACTACATCTAGCTTGCACAGGTGGCAGCTTCTGTCCCACTTCGGTGGTGCCAATTGTAGCTTCTGTGCCAGCAGAGGCTGTGGGTTCTTCACCTGGCCAGCTTTGCCCAATGTCCTCTTCCTGATTTGATTTTCTGACCCTTTTGAGCTCCTGGGAACTAGCCAGGACCTCTGACCAAGTCCCTTTCTGCTTAGAGTTGCCAGAATTAGTTTCTGTTGGTTAAAACTAAGAACCTTGATTCTCACAAAAATAGGACCAGGACTGGACAGAGCAAGAAGCCCCAAAGGAAACAGGAGCAATTGAAGGCTGGAAAGTGGCCAGAGGACAGTGAAAATCCAGCTGGTATTAAGGGACAGGACACCAGCAGCCCCATGGCACGCCCTGGCAAGACAGCTAATCCCATTGTCCCCGGGAACAAAGTACCCATCAAAGGCAAGGCTTTGGGGGACCTAATGGCTCCTGCCATAGAAGAGAATAAAGATTACACTGAAGTCAAGATCTGCTGGGCAGGGCGGTCATGTTAACAGCGCCACATAGCTTAAATGAAAAGACAAGCTCAGAATCCAAATTCTTGGCTCAAGGTATGGTTAGAAAACCCGAGTGTGCCTGGCCAAAATGGCAAAACCCCGTCTCTACTAAAAATACAGAAATTAGCCAGGTGTGGTGGCGGGTGCCTGTAATCCCAGGTACTTGGGAGGCTGAGGCAGGAGAATCGCTTATATCCAGGAGGCAGAGGTTACAGTGAGCTGAGATCACACCACTGCACTCCAGCCTGGGCGACAGAGTGAGACTTTGTCTCCAAATAAAAAAAACCAAAACTCGAATGTGTTATTTTGCAGCTGAGAGAGCAGAAAAAACTGAAAACTTGATCCAATGGTTACAGAATGACCAAGGGGACCCACACCTTAAAAGGTCTTTATTTGGGAAAGAGTGAAATGTGGAGACCAGAGGCTATGAAAATTAGGCTGTGTGGAAAGATAGGGAAGCCTTAGGTACCTAGCCCCTCCCCTCCCCACCACCCTTGCCAGCCAAAGCTTCCTCTTTGTCACTCTGAAGATCCTAGTAGCAGGAACTCCCTTGCGGGCAGTTAGGTGTTCTATGTAGCTGAGGTATGGCCTGCAGCGACGGCTGAGTCTGTTTCTACACTGCTATAAAGAAACATCCAAGGTTGGGTGCGGTGGCTCATGCCTGTAATCCCAGCACTTTGGGAGGCCGAGGTGGGCGGATCACCTGAGGCTTGGAGCACGAGACCAGCCTGACCAACATAATGAAACCCCCTCTCTACTAAAAATACAAAACTAGCTGGGTGTGGTGGTTCACGCCTGTAATCCCAGCTACTTGGGAGGCTGAGGCAGGAGAATAGCTTCAACCCGAGAGGCAGAGGTTGCAAAGAGCCGAGATCACGCCATTGCACTCCAACCTGGGCAACAAGAGCAAATCTCCATCTCAAAAAAGCAAACACCGAGACTGGGTAACTTATAAAGAAGTTTAATTGACTCACAGTTCCACACGGCTGGGGAGGCTTCAGGAAACTTACAACCATGGAGGTAGGGGAAAGCAGACACCTTCTCCACAGGATAGTTACGAGGATGTAAGCACGAGAAAGAGGAACTGCCACGCTTTAAAACCATCAGATCTCGTGAGAACTCACTCACTGTCACGAGCACAGCATGGGGGAAACTGCCCCCAGGATGCAAGTACCTCCACCTGGTCCATCCCTCAACCCGTGGGGATTGTAATTCGAGATGAGATCTGGGTGGGGACACAAAGCCTAACCATATGGGTGGGACGGATGGCAGTTATTTCCAGGGTGGGCTGTAGCCTCTTCCTCCAACCTACATCTCCTGTTTCCCAAGCTGGTAACCTGGATGCCCTGGGTGACCTAAGAAGCCATGTGCTAAAGATGTCAGGACCTCAGTCGGCCGGGGTTCCCCCTTCCCCATTTCAGTTGAGGGAGGAAGAGCCTTTCAAGAGCGAGAGCTAGCCAGCAGCTAGCATTTCCCTATGTAACACACCCTGTAATGACCCTGCCCCGAAGGAGTCTCCTTATAAGCCCTACCCCTCATTTTCTCCAGAATTAAATGACAAGTCACATCCCCGCAGGCCCCAGGGGCCAAATCTAGGAGGGTACTGAATCATCAAAAAACTCCAGGGGGAAGATACTGAATCACCAAAAGAAACTTAAAGATTTTGCTAATTGATATTGGCTTACTCACAGTACATGGTTGGCTAAAAAATTTTTTTAATTGATATTGGCAAAAATCTGGGAAGGTGATCTGAGAATGAATTCTGAGGGTGCAGGATGGGTGAGGGAGGAAGGGGATGCTAGATAGGGATGAATGTACCGATATTGAGGATTCCACAGGGACAGCTTGAGAAGCTGGGATTATAGGCGTGAGCCACAGCGATAATGTAGTACTTTCAGTGCTGAAATCAGGACAGTGCCAGGCAAACTCGGACAATTGGTCAACCTAGCTGTTAAGTAACTAACTTGCTCTAAATCACAGTTATTAAGTGGCAGGGCCTGTATTCAAATGCAGGTGGGCTGACTTCAGATTCAAATTGTTTGCTTTTGCCAGTGGTTCTCAATCTTGAGCATGCAAACCTGGAGGCCTTGTTAAAATTCAGATAGCCCCATCTTCAGGGTCTCCAATTCAGTAGGTTGGGGCGGCCGAGAATTTGCCTAACCAGCTCCCTGGTGATGCTGAGGCTGCTGGACTGGGAAGACTGGGAACCAACTGAGAAGACCTTTGTATTTGGCTTTCTCACCTCCAGATAAGGGCTTTTTAACTTTTATTTTGTGAGACAAGGTCTCAATCTCTCACTCACGCTGAAATACAGCTTATGATCATGGTTCACTGCAACCTCAAACTCTTGGGCTCAAGCAATCCCCTGCCTCAGCAATATGAATAAACATATTGGAGGCCAGGTGTGAGACTCCACCTCAAAATAAAAAGTAAAGGAATAGGGCTGGGCGCGGTGGCTCACGCATATAATCCCAGCACTTTGGGAGGCCAAGGTGGGCAGATCATCTGAGGACAGGAGTTTGAGACCACCTTGGCCATCGTGGTGAAACCCCGTCTCTATTAAAAGTACAAAAAAAAAAAAAGCCGGCATGGTGGTGGGCACCTGTAGTCCCAGCCACTCGAAAGCTGAGGCAGGAGAATCACTTGAACCCAGGAGACGGAGATTGCAGTGAGCCGAGATCACGCCACTGCACTCCAGCCTGAGCAAGAGCAAGACTCCCTCTCAAAAAAAAAAAAAAGGTAAGGAAATAAAACAATGGCTACTCCATAGAGCAGCCCCGAGGGCTGCTGGTTGCTCATTTTTATGGTTATTTATTGATTATATGCTAAAGAAGGGGTGGATTATTCATGCCTCCCATTTTTAGACCATATAGGGTAACATTCTGGCGTTGCCATGGCATTTGTAAGCTGTCTTGGCGCTGGTGGGAGTGTAGCAGTGAGGACGACCAGAGGTCATTCGCATCACCATCTTGGTTTTGGTGGGTTTTGGCCGCGGCTTCTTTACTGCTTGTGCCGGCCTCTCATCTCATCCTGTGACTTAGAATGCCTCAACCGCCTGGGAACACAGCCCAGTAGGTCTCAGCCTCATTTTACCCAGCGCCTACTCAAGATGGAGTTGCTCTGGTTCAAAGGCCTCTAACAGAAGCTAAACACAAGTGGGGGCTTTCAAAGAAGCAGATCCAATGTCCACTGCCCTTCCTCACTCCCCTAATAGATGTAGGGCACCATGGACTTTTACAGACTGAGGGACATACTCTGGATGAGAATAGTTTACCCTATCAAGGAAAAGTAAGTTCCCCAGATGAAACGCCACAGATAACAGGCATACTGTAAGTCAGGCTTTGTACGTTTTCCAAAACTCACTACAGGGATCCCCTTTGAGGTGCAGAATCTTGTATCACAATAATCACGATTCCTTTGCCAAGGCCTTTTGATGTCATGGTCCGTGTTTTTCTCCGGATCGTTGGGCATGCGGAGGCAGAAGGAGAGCCTGGTAGAGTGAATGACAAACGCAAGGGAGGCTGCAGAGGGGAGGGAGTGAGGGCGGCCCAGGGCCCAGCCCGGCGGGAGCCGAGGAAGAGAAGGACCAGCCAGCCAAGGGCGGGCGGCTTCAGAGGAGGCCCGGGACTCCCCAGTTTCCCAGCCTCTTCCACCCCACGCGGATCCCTGCCCCGACGCTGATTCAGGGGGTCAAAGCCTCGGGCGGGGCGGACCGCGGCGGTGACTGGAGGCGCCCCAGTTTCTCTGGGTGTGGCCTGCGGACCCCCTCGGGAGCAGGTCGTCCCGCACCAGTGTCTGCCCCCGGCCCCCAGGGACACCTGCACCCGCCCCACTCACGACGGCGCGTCAGGTCCCCAACCAGGCGTGGGGCGGGGTGGGAAGGTCTCGGCTCGGCCGCCCCGCCTGTGCTGTCCCCACCGCCCCCCGGCCTCGGGCAGCGCGCGCCCGGGTCACCCACCTCCCGCGGGCATGCGCAGGGCGGCCCCTCCGGGCGCTGCGGCCGTGGCCCCGGACAAGGGGCGGGTCCCGGGTCCGGGAGGAAGAGGCGCGGCTGCTGGCTGACCCGGGAACCAGACCGAGCCGGAGAGCGGGCCCTCCCGTCTCCCACCGGGCAGGAAGGCCTGGCGCTCGCAGGCGACCTTGCGCCAGTGCCCGGGCAGGGATCAGGGGGCTCAGCGCCTTCGCGGGAGGTAGAGAGAGCTGGGGGCATCTGTGTGATCACCCCGCGTAGGTCCGCGCTGAGCCAGGACACAGGACAACTGCCCGCGCCCGGTTAGACAGGCGAAGCCATGGGAAGCAGTGGGAGAGGGAAAGACTGGGCCGGCGCCGGGCCTCATGCCTGTAACCCCAGCACTTTGGGAGGCCCAGGATGGCGGATCGCTTGAGCACGGGAGTTCGAGACCAGCCTGAGCAACATGGTGCAACCCCGTCCCTACAAAAAACACAAAAAATAGCGGGGCGTGGTGGTGCGGACCTGTGGTTGCAGCTACTTGGGTGGCTGAGGCAGGAGGATCGCTTGAGCCTGGGAGTTCGAGGCTGCAGTGAAGCCCGATTGCACCCCTGCACTCCAGCCTGTACGACAAAGCGAGACTCTGTCTCAAAAAAGAAAAAAATAGGGCCGGGCGCGGTGGCTCACGCCTGTCATCCCAGCACTTTGGGAGGCCGAGGCGGGTGGATCACGAGGTCGGGAGATCGATACCATCCTGGGTAACACGGTGAAACCCCGTCTCTACTAAAAATACAAAAAACAAATTAGCCGGGCGTGGTGGCGGGCGTCTGTAGTCCCAGCTACTCGGGAGGCTGAGGCAGGACAATGGCGTGAACCTGGGAGGCGGAGCTTGCAGTGAGCGGAGATCGTGCCACTGCACTCCAGCCTGGGCGACAGAGCGAGACTCCGTCTCAAAAAAAAAAAGAAAAGAAAAGAAAAGAAAAGAAAAAAAAATAAATAAATGACAGCCAGACTCACTGGGTTTGACTCCCAGCTGTATGATCTTATGCAAGTTACTCAATCTCTCTGCCTTCATTTCTTCTGCTGTAAACTGGGATAGTGATAACCCCTTGTGGGTGATGTCTGAGGAGCTGGGTGAGGGAGCGGGACTGCACAGGCTCTGACTACCATTGGCCCTGGTGCGATGACACTCCGCCGGTGGGGGCAACACACACGCGTCGTCTCCCAGACATTCAGAGCAACTTCTATTAATACCCTGCCTGCCTGGGCCCCAGCCATGAGAACAGCTCCTCACTGAGGCAGAGTCTGGTCTTCCTCTTCTTGGGGAGACCCAGAACTTCCAGAGAGTGTCCTGGACCATGAAGGTGACCAGGAAAGGGAATAGGTGGGTGGAGGCCGCTGCAGTGAAGCCTCAGGCCCCCTCTGGTCTCTCCAGGGTCATCCTGGATCATCTGAATTTCCCTTTGAAATGAGCATGCACAGGTTCAGCTGATTCATAATTTAATACCCTGTGGGGTTCATGCCACAGGGAAGCTCCGCTGCCCCACAGGGTCTGGGCCAGGTGGAAGAGAGCAGCCTTTTTGGACCACTGGCGGTGTCCTCTCCTTCGCCATCTAATTGAAGCCCATCTTCCCAATCAAAAGCAGGCGAAGGGCCCCAGCTTCTTCTAACACTCACTCCCTGGCCCTCACTGGCCTCCCTGCCTCTCTCTGCCCAACTTCTGGCATTGTGCAAGGTCTGAGACCTCTTTGGACATGAGGCATGTGATCTTAACCTGGCCCTTGTTCCAGACAGGTGGGCAGACAGGTAAGCAGAGCCGGTGCTCCCAGGGCAGGCGAGGGAGCCATGTGGTCAGGCCTCAGGACCCTGGGCCCCACCGGGAGATGTGCTCCTGGGCTGGAAGGAAGCAGAAGAGAGCAGGGCTCGATGGCAGCCCAGGCAGTCCCAAGATGGCAGCCCTGCTGCACTCGGTCTGGAAGTGCCCATGGCCGTGGTCCCTGTGGCGCTCCAGGCCTTCCTAGCAGAGGCTGCTGGGAGCTGGTGCCATGCTAGGTTTCACCTCCGCCTCCACCACAGTTCATGGGGCTCCCGGGAACACCAAGGAACCCAACAGGTTCCCAGGAAGCAGCTTTCATGACAGGAGAGGGTCCTTGGAGAAATCCCCTGCAGAGCTGTAGCTCTAGTCCTTCCTGCGTGGCCTTGCTGTATGAAGCTGGGCCCGTCGTTGCCCCTCTGGGCTCAGGAGCCCACAGGTACAAGGCCATCAACAGGGCATCCTCTATGGCCCCGTGTGCCCAGACCCACTCTGAACCTGCCACCTAGATACCCTTGCAGGCTGGACCGGGTCAGCAGCACCCCCAGGGTCAGGGATCAGAGAAGGGGAGCCTCAGGAAGTCCCTCACCAAACTGGCAGATGTAACGGTTTCGGGTTTTGCAGCGCTGGTCGTTCCAGTTGAAGGCAGCTGAAGCCTGCAGCTCCACGCAGTTGCCAAACCTGCAGGCCATGGTGTGGTGGTCAGGAGGCAAGAGTGAAGTCAGGGACCGGGAGAGGCCTAAGCCCTCCACCCATCAGGACCCTGCATCTCAGGGGCTCCAGTGCCCCCACCTGCCGACGGGGCTGCCGGGAGCCAGGCCCGTCCCCAAGCCCCCAGCCCTGCTCCACTTCTCAGGGAAGCCCCTTCCTGGGGTAACAGCTCTGCCTACCCCATGGCAGCACTCAGCCACACCAGCCTGTGGGGATGGTGGGGACTGGAATAGACAGCCCACTTGAGAGGTACACCTGGGAACCCAACAAGGCCCAGACTTCCTCCAGGCAAGAGGCCAGGGGCACAGGCCGGCTGTTGGCAAGGAGGGCTGGCTGAAATCGCTGGAGCCCTTGGTGGCCTCGCAGCCGGACCACCTCCACCCTGGCCCTGGGCATTGCTGGGCTTTGAAGAGCAGGGTGGGGCCACGTGACCAGAGGGTTCTTGCTACAGGATGGCTGGTGGGTCTGCAGGTGCAGGGTTGTATTGTGAATGAGTGCAGGTGGGTGACAGCTAAGGAATGCTGGCATCAGTGTAACTGATGCAGGCAGAGGGCATGCAGACGGAGGGGTGAGTGGATGAGAATTGGAGGGATGGAGTCACACCAGGGGACACTGGGGATGGACAGATGGATGGAGGCTTCCTGGGTCCCTCTCTCCCCCACGTGACGTGCCTTCCGGCTTGCATCTCCCTCACCCCACCACCGGCCCACACCAGCTGTGCCCACAACTCTCTGGCACCTGGGCAGGCACCAGGGAAGGATCAGACCCTCAAAGGGCCCAGCCAGGCAGCGGGATGGGGGGCTCCACCAGGCAGGCCCAAGTGAGAAGGAGGCCCAGGGGAGGGAGGCACCCCACACTTACCCGTGGTTGTCAGGCTGCCCAAAGGCAAAACTGGTGAAGGCCTGGTGCTCCCCTGTGGCCCAGCGGAAGGAGTCCTTGGCGGTCTTGTAGGTGAGCCCTGGGCCGGGGTAGTCAAGGTTGGCCCACTCAGACCCTGGAGTCTGCTGCCAGCTGCCTTTCTGGCCCCTCTTCCCAGCGCTGGCAGCCCCCATGTGCTCCCTACCTGGGCCCTTCCCGGGAAAGGGGGTGAGCAGCTGGCCCCGCTCTGGGCTCCAGGCCCTCAACACACCCTTGCCATCTGCTGGCAGCCGCCATGGCCCAGGGTTCCTGCAGCAGGGTGGGGCATCACAACCCCTTACTCGCCATACCCCCAATCAGCTGGGCACTCACCGATCCAGAAGTTCCTGGTCTCGAAGTCACTGTCAATCACCTCGTTGGTGGTCTCCAGGCGGCCCAGATAGAAGGCGAGGATGTCCTGCACTTTCTGGCTCTTGATCTGGGCCAGCACCCCGCCTTTCCTCTGTAACCCCACCCTGGGTCACACAGGCAAGGCTCCCAGAGCCCAGGCTGCCCCTTCCTGCCACCCCTGCCCATGGCCTAAGATGCCACGTGTGTGTGCTGGCCGGGCTATCATCACCCCCAGCCCGCACAGCCTCCCTTCCAAGAGCAGGGGTCCCTTCTGCTCCCGTCTGCTTCTCTTCTCCCTGTGCACGGGGGCGCGACCAGCAGCCCACAAGCCCAGGCAAGGTCTGGCCCCTGAGGAGGTTCTGTTTCACCTGCACAGTGTCTTAAATATATCCAAGTTGATTGCCAACCCCAGTAATTAATTGTGGTTTCGAGAGTTGCCAGTGGAAGTCTGGGTTGCTGGTTTTCTTGAACAACCCCGAGCTCTGGCCACCCTGACCTTGCATTCCTGCAAGGCAACCAGTGGCTGGAACTCCCTTAGATGGAGGTTGGTCTTGACCTTGGCCCCTCAGGTCAATAAGTGACCTCCTGGCTTCTATGAGCCTTGGAGTCCACGACCCCTGCTTTATGCTGATGAATAGGGTGAGGTCAGAGACGTGGAAGGAACCACCTCTCACTCCAGGGTCCCTGCATTAAGACCCTCACTTGAGGCCCTAGGGGGTTCCTAGGAAGCTAGGGGTGACTGTCACCTGACATTTCATCCTGGCTCTGTAATAGGTGTCTGCCTCTGAAGACACCATGAAGCAGTCTCCGTCGATCCTCAGGTCACAGGTGTGGAAGGGAAAATGCACCTTGGCTGGGGTAGGGGAGCCTGAGTTTGTGTGTGGACTTCAGAATCCCTGCCCTTTCCTGCCCTGCCGGGGAGCTAAGCTCAGGGTGCCCCTTCCTCTGGCCACCTGCTCCAAAAGAGTGGGTGGTGAGGGTCAGGAGCGAGCTGGTAAGTTGGAATATTGAGCTTGCTCTCTCTCAAAAGAAAAAAAAAAATCCATGGTTTATAGCATTTGCCAATTTCTTTGGTGTAAATATCCATGCTGTGGCCAGTTTCAAGATCTCAACGTGTTGTCACTGAATGAGTTGGAAAGAGAGGCACACAGCGGGCTCCTGGGAGCTGATGCCCCATTGAAGGGGGGTCTTGAGAGGAGCTGGCTCTTTGGGGGCCCTGGGGCAGGACTCACTGGCACACTGGGCTCCCCCGTAGCCGATGTCACAGACGCACGAGCACTCCTCCTCCCGGAACCGGCCGTGCACACACTGCAGGCTGCACCTCACTGCCAGGGCAGGGCAGTGGGGCAGAGGCTCAGCCCCCAGCCTTCTGGACCCCACGCTGCCCCCCAGAGGCCTCGAACATCCAGGGAATGCCAACCACAGCAAGAATACCCCTCCCATAGACAGAACCCACCAAGGCTTCCGATTGCTGGCACGCCTGGTGTCTTTGGTTTGGTCCCCATTGCAGAGTGAGGCATATTGGAGTTTGGGAGGTGACCTGCCCATGGTCACAGAGTGGGTTAGGGTAGAGGGGCAGTAGGGCAAGAATCCACTTCTGGGTCCTAATTCTGTCCTCCTCCCAGAGCCTAAGGGGCTGAACCTGATTTCACTTTGAATCTCCTGCACAGCTCAGGGTCTGGCAAACAGCTAGTGCTCAGTGAATGCTTGTTGAAAGAATGTATGCAGTGGGCAGACTCAGGGAGTACACAGTCAGCACCTCTGACACCCTTGAGACTCTCAGGAAGTGTAGCAGCCCTAGGACCTGCCACGAGAGCAGGGCTGGGCACACCCAGGCTCCAGTGCCCTCACCTTGGCAGTATCTGCCCGTGTAGCCAGGGGGACAGTGGCAGTGGCAGGTGCTGATGTTGAGACGTCCATGGTTCTGGCAGCTCATGCGACAAGGATTCCTGGGGACCTCTGGTCAGAGGAGGAGGGGACTCTGAGAAAAGGGTCTCCTCCCAGCAGGCCGGGCAGGAGCCTCCCTGGGTGCTAAGGGCCAGGGCTTCTGGGACAGCCCAGTAGGATGCTACCACCCCCACCCCAGGGTCACCAGACTGAGCCCTCATGCACTCACCACAGAGCCCCCCTGCATGGTCCCAGGCTTTGAAGCAGCCTGAGACACTGGCTGTGCAGAGCGAACACCAGGCACCCTTCTTATAGGGGACGATTGTCTTCCCGTTGACCTCCCAGTTGCCTCTGTGAGGACGAGCAGGCACCACAGGGTGTGGGAGGGCCTGGCCTTGGGCAAGGCAGAGGCAGGGCCCTGCTGCCTGCCCCCCTGGCCCCTTCAGCTCCTGCGGCCAGGCCAGGGAGTCAGGGAGCTGGGTGAGATAGGGAGATTCCCTGGGAGAGAAGAGATGGCCTCCAAACCAATCCTGGACAAACTCCCTGATACCAGGACCAGTATCCAGGAAGGGACATCCGCAGAGCAGCACCTTCTGCGTGGCCAGAATCTTTAGCACCCTCTGCCTTTCCTCTCCTCCCCTCTCCCACCAAGGGTGCAGAGCAAGGCATCAGGGACTCTACTTTCGGGTGGATGTGTGGGAATCTCACCCTCGGTGAAAGCACCCCTCCCTGTCTCCCAGACATCCCAGCAGAGGGTGTAGCAGGGCTTACCTGGGGGAGTAGGCACAGACAAAGGCTTCTATCGCTGCCTGGCCTGCAGAGCACAGGTGCCGCCCACAGCCCAGCTGGCTTGAGGTGGCCCACACGAGCTACAGGAGACACAGGGGATCAGAAACCCTATTGTGAACCACCCCTGGGGAGGGGGACACAGCTTTCGCTATCATCCAGGTGAACAGAGGGCTCCCTTACCTCCTCGAGGGCTCAGGAGCAGCAGCTGTCCTGGGCAGGGGTAGAAGCATGGGTGGGAATAGTTCAGGAAGGCTTATTTATTTATTTATTTATTTATTTATTTATTTTTGAGATGGAGTTTTGCTCTTGTTGCCCAGGCTGGAGTGCAATGGCCTGATCTTGGCTCACCACAACCTCTACCTCCTGGGTTCATGTGATTCTCCTGCCTCAGCCTCCCGAGTAGCTAGGATTACAGGCCCGGTTAATTTTTTTGTATTTTTAGTAGCGACAGGGCTTCTCCATGTTGGTCAGGCTGGTCTTGAACTC
Source organism: Homo sapiens (assembly GCF_000001405.40). Taxonomy (NCBI): domain Eukaryota; kingdom Metazoa; phylum Chordata; class Mammalia; order Primates; family Hominidae; genus Homo; species Homo sapiens. The sequence goes on along the minus strand of NC_000016.10, from coordinate 69,958,535 downwards.
CCAACCTCAGGTGAACTGCTTGCCTCGGCCTCCCAAAGTGCTGGGATTATAGGTGTGAGCCACCGTGCCCGGCCTAGGAAGGCTTTCTTAGTTGAGAGGGGGATGGAGAGGGGAGGTACCTGAAATGAGGGGAGATTGTTGATGGGTGGAGGGGAGTAGCCAAAAAAAGACTGGAACATCAAGGGCCTTGTGACTGCATGGTGACCACAACCATTCATTTCTTGCACCAGGCCACTCCTTTAAATGTGACTCTGCAGCTTTTTGCAGCAAAGAGAGGTGTCTCTTTCCTTGCTCCTTGAATCTGGCTGGCTCTGTAACTGGTTTGGCCACCAGAATGCCACAGAAGTGATACTGAGCCGATTTTGAACCTAGGCCTTAAGAGACCTTGCCATTTCCACTCATTCTCATAGAACCATGCTCAGTCACCACATGAACAAACTCAGTATAGGAGTTTGGAAGGCCTCATGGAACAGAGATGAACCATTAGAGGCCTTTTTGCACAGCCAGCTCCCAGCCGGCCCCCTAGTTGATTGCAGGTGTATGAGTGGGCCCAGCCAAGACCAGAAAACCTCCCTGCTGAGCCCAACCCAAGTGGCTGACCTGCAGAATCGTAAGCTGCTAAATTTTGGGGTAGTATGTCATGCAATAAAACCTAATGGATACAGGTCTGCAAACCAGTTTAAAGTCTTAGAATCAGCAACAGCTTGGAAATAGCACAAATGGGCAATATATAAGAAGAGTGAAACAAACTCTCCAGTAGAGACTAAAAATGACATGTACAAGACTGGCTTGTAGCAGGCAGATGTGAACATGTGATCATATACATGTATCCAACACTTAAAGAATATGTATCGTTTTTAGGAATGCATGGGACTTTTGCAAACCAGAAAGGAGGACCATACATTAGACCACTAAGCAAGTTTCAACAAATAGCAAAGAATCAGCACATCCTACAGGCCACATTCTATGAATTCAATGCAATGAAATTTAAAGTAAATAATTTACAAGTAAATAGAGAAGATAACATAGTTTAGAAACTTAAAGATACACTTCAAAATCTAAAACAACATCATGGCCAGGTGTGGTGGTTCACATCTGTAATCCCAGCACTTTGGGAGGCTGAGTTGGGTGGCTCATGTGAGTTCAGAAGTTCAAGATCAGCCTGGCCAACATGGCAAAACCCCATCTCTATTACAAATACAAAAAATTAGCCAGGCATGGTGGCACACACCTGTAGTCCCAGCTACTCCGGACCTGAGGTGAGAAGATCACCTGAGCCCAGGAAAATGAGGCTGCAGTGAGCTGAGATTGCACCACTGCACTCCAGCCTGGGCGACAGAGCCAGACCATGTCTCAAAACAAACAAAAACAACATCATGATTGGAAATAGAAAAAACATCAAAACTTATTGGATGCAGCTGAAATCGTTTAAAGGGAAATTTATAGCTTTAAATGTATATAGTAGAAACAAAAAAAGATTTAAAATGAATGATCTAAACATTCACATCAAGAAAATTAGAAACAATAATAGAGGCTGGGCGTGGTGGCTCAAGCCTGTAATCCCAACAGTTTGGGAGGCCGAGGCAGGTGGATTACCTGACGTCCGGAGTACTAAAAATACAAAAATTAGCCAGGTGTGGTGGCAGGCGCCTGTAATCCCAGCTACTCAGGAGGCTGACGCAGGAGAATCTCTTGAACTGGGGAGGCGGAGGTTGTAGTGAGCTGTGATCGCACCACTGCACTCTGGCCTGGGCAACAGAGCAAGACTCTGAATCGAAAAAACAAAAACAAAAACAAAACAAACAAAAAACAACCACCAACAACAAAACAGAGTTAGGTTTTTCACACCTTTGAGTCTGACAAAACTTAAGGAGCCAAGGCTGGGCACAGTGGCTCACACCTGTAATCCCAGCACTCTGGGAGGCCAAGGCAGGCGGATCATGAGGTCAGGAGATCAAGACCACCCTGGCTAATACGGTGAAACCCTGTCTCTACTAAACAAAATACAAAAAAATAGCCGGGTGTGGTGGCGTGTGCCTGCAGTCCCAGCTACTAGGGAGGCTGAGGCAGGAGAATGGTGTGAACCCAGGAGGCGGAGCTTGCAGTGAGCCGAGATCGCGCCACTGCACAGTAGCCTGCGCGACAGAGCAAGACTCCGTCTCAAAAAAAAAAAAAAATTAAGGAGCCAGAAGATCTTCGGGAAGTGGGAACTGGTTTGCTGGTCTGCACAGTTGGCGTAAGCACTTTGGCAGCACCTAGTTGTAGGGGCACATGTTCTTCTTTTTACTGAGCCAGGGTTTTACTCCTGCTGCCCAGGCTGGAGTGCAATGGCGCAGTCTCAGCTCACTGCAATCTCCACCTCCCAGGCTCCAGCAATTCTCCTACCTCAGCCTCCCAAGTAGCTGGAACTACAGGCGCACACCATCACACCTGGGTAATTTATGTATTTTTTTGTAGAGGCAGGTTTTTGCCATGTGGCCCAGGCTGATCTCGAACTCCCGGGCTCAGGCAATCCTGCCACCTTGGCCTCCCAAAGTGCTGGGATTACGGGCGTGAGCCACCGCACCCAGCCTTGTGTAATATTTAAACATGCACAACCCACTTGCACAGGTAGTAGAGGTATTAAATATTTCCTGGGATTTTGCTTGTGTTTTTCAGTGCATCTGAAGAGCGCCAGGTGTGTGTAGAAGACCCTCAACAAATATTCGTTGAATGAAGAGAAAAAATGGAAACTTGCTTGGCAGTGATATCAGCTCCTGAACTTTGGGAAGATTCCCTCCAGGGAGGGACAGCGGGAAAAGGGGAGGAGCAGGGCTTTAGTTTAGTAGCATCTTCTAAACCTAGGTAGTGGGTAAGAGTGGGGCCGTTTTAAATTTACGTTTGAGGCTGGGTGCGGTGTCTCACACGCGTAATCCCAGCACTTTGGGAGGCCCAGGCAGGTGGATCACTTGAGGTCAGGAGTTTGAGACCCAGCCTGGCCAGCATGGTGAAACCCTATCTCTACTAAAAATACAAAAATTAGTGGGGTGTGGTGGCTCGTGCCTGTAGTCCCAGCTACTTGGGAGGCTGAGGCAGGACAGTCACTTGAATCTGGGAGGCAGAGGTTCTAGTGAACCGAGATCAAGCCATTGCACTCCATCCTGGGTGACAGAACAAGACTTTGTCTCAAATAAATAAATAAATACGTTTATGTTTGAAATTATTTATATTTCAGATTGAAAAAAAGTGGCTTAGGCCAGGCATGGTGGCTCACGCCTGTAATCCCAGCACTTTGGGAGGCTGAGGCAGGCAGATCATTTGAGGTCAGGAGTTCGAGACCAGCCTGACCAACATGGTGAAACCCTGTCTCTACTAAAAATACAAAAAAATGAGCTGGGTGTAGTGGCGCACACCTGTAATCCCAGCTACTTGTGAGGCTGAGGCACAAGAATCGCTTGAATCTAGGAGACGGAGGTTGCAGTGAGCTGAGATCACACCACTGCACTCCAGCCTGGGGTGACAGAGTGAGACCATGTCTCCAAAAAAAGAAAAAATGTGGCGGGGCACAGTGGCTCATGCCTGTAATCCCAGCACTTTGGGAGGCTGAGGTGGGTGGATCACTTGAGGCCAGGAGTTCAAGACCAACCTGGCCAACATGGTAAAACCCCATCTCTACTAAAAGTATAAAGCCATTAGCCAGGCCTGGTGGCACATGCCTGTAGTCCCAGCTAGTCAGGAGGCTGAAGTACAAGAATCACTTGAGCCCAGGAGGCGGAGGTTGCAGTGAGCCGAGATCACGCCACTGCACTCTAGCCTGGGCAACAGAGCAAGACTCCGTATCAAAAAAAAAAAAAAGTAAAACTAAACCAATTGGAGGAAAAGGAATCCCAACATTTAGGACAAACTGTAGCCTCTTCTGAGATGGCCCAGTGGAAGTCTGTATCTGGGAGCTGGCACACTGGCCTCACCTGCAGCACACTCACCTGCGTGTAGTGGGTGCAGGTGGCGTTGCGAGCACACTCTCCTGCCGCGTGGCTGTACCGCTGCCCCTCTGCAAACCATAGGCTGACCACTTCGACAAAGGACACCAAGCCCGCGGGTAGCAGCTGCATGTTCCAGCCCACTTGCAGGGTGCGCCACAGGCCGGACGCCAGGCTCGGGGTTGGGGTTCCACAGAGGGCTGCCCTGGCTTGAGCCAGCTGGGCCAGGCTGTCACTCCAGTCCTGGGGGCAGCACAAACAGACATCTGTGGGAGGCCTTTGACTGCTGGGCCAGGCCTCAAAGATTCAACTCCCCTGCCATCTCTGAGCATCCACCGGGTGCCAGGTCAGGTGGCAAAGAGAGCACTGGATGAGGAGTCCTGCTGGAGGAAGCACTGGTGTTGTCTGATGTCCCTCCAGGAGGAGCCCAGCTCCTCTCACGACTGAGCCTCCATCTCCAAATCCTGTCGTGGGCATCCTTCGGCCCTGCCCAGGCAATGGGACCCGCTCCTGCTGTCTTTCTCCCATCTGGTCATGTGAGCAGTGCCCACGCGTTGCAGACTGGTTCTGTGTTTGGGCCCTGGCCATTGTCAGAAAGGCTCCACTGCTCCCACCCGGCCATGCTGCCCTCCTGTGATGCAAAAAGCCCTACAGCCACGCCTCTCTGCCCTAGTCTCCTGCCCCCAGGAGCCCGGCCTCATATGCTCCCCACCACGCACAGCTGACCCCGCCCCCTCCCTCTTCTTTTTTTTTTTTTTTTTTTTGAGACAGTCTCACCCTGTCGCCCAGGCTGGAGTGCAGTGGAGAAATCCCGGCTTACTGCAACCTCCGCCTCCCAGGTTCAAGCAATTCTCCTGCCTCAGCCTCCCAAGCAGCTGGGATTACAGCCATGTGACACCACGCCTGGCTAATTTTTGTATTTTTAGTAGAGACGGGGTTTCACTGTTGGCCATTGCTGGTCTCAAACTGCTGACCTTAGGTGATCTGCTTGTGTCAGCCTCCCAGAGTGCTGGGATTACAGGTGTGAGCCACCGTGCCCAGCCCCCTCCCTCTTCTTAAACAAGTGGGCCTGGCAATCACCACCCCTGGGTGACTTGGTGCAGTCCCCTGATCTCCCGAGACTCCCTGAGCTCATCTGTAAACGGAGCAGGGAGGTGCCTGCAGGATAGGACTCACAAGCACTGAGTGGATGCAGGGAGGGGGGCCCCTCGGGGCTGCACCCCAAGCCAACTTCATCCTGCACTAATGTCCATCGGGGTTTTACCTCTGATGAAGGCTGGGGCCAGGAGCTGGGGGCTCCCCGGGGTCCCTCAGCAGCCCTCCACCCCCACAAGACCTTCAGTCTCCACTGTGTCCAAAGAGGGGGTGCCCTGGAGCCCTAGAGGCCCGGAGGGTGCTCGGGGCCGGGCCACGAGGGAGGCTGAGCCATGGAGCTCCATTTGCACCTTTACGGAAATGAAGTTTTCTAGGACTTTGACAAAAGGGCCCTGGAAAGGGTGCCAGCTGCCAGCCAACGACCACCGCAGCCCCTCCTGGGGTCCCAGGCAGGAGTACCCAACCACGGAGGTCACAGCTGGGAGCACCCCTGGTTGCCCAGGGTCTGAGCCTGAGGAGAGGCAGAGCCACTCAGGGCTGGGAATCGGGGAGAAGCGACCCCCCGCATTTAGCCACCCCACCCCCACCTCCTGGGAAACTGACCCTAGAGTGCTCAAGGTCGCCACTGTGGCCGCCTGCCTTGGAGGAGTTCATGGGAAGCAGCCATGGGGAACCCTCCCGCCCCCACCACCCTGCCCTGGCTCCCTGGCCTGCTAACATGGGCTGGGGCTGCTGGGGTCCCAGACAAGGGGGGGCAGCGTTTCTGAGCCTCCAGATGACAGTCCCAACCCCGCAGCCCCAGCCGGGCTGGTGGGGAATTCTATACCCCCGACCCCCGGCCCCTGCTGAAAATGTGGAAAATGTGGACGAGTGAGTGAGCAGAGAACATGGGCAAGGCCCGTCCTCGTGGCTCAGATAAGCTCAGGAGGAGGCGCTGGGTCCTTGCCGCACAGAAGCCCCTCCCCAGCCCAGCACGACCTTCTCCCTCCCTGGCCCGGCCGCCCATCCTGCAGGGCTCCTCGTGAAGCTCCCCTTCCCTGGAGGAGGGGATCCGGCTCCTCCTGTGGCTCCTGGTCTCTGTGACAACAAGATGCCAGGGAAGGCCCAAGGTCCTGCCCTTCAGGCGAGTGGGAGCCAAGGGGCCCGACCTCCTGAACTGAGGGTGGGGGGTTAAGAAATTGCAGAGACCCCCAGCAACCAGGGCCTCCGTCCCTCAGGGACAAGGTGGCTGGCTGTGCCTGCCCACCCTGGTCAAGTGGAAGGGCACCTGGACAGGCGTGGCCTCCTGAGCCGCCCTCTGGGGTCCGCGCCTCCGGCCACCCCCCTGGCAGAGCCCAGCTGGGTCGGGTACTCACCAGCCTCCGCATGTCAGCCGCAGGGGGCTGGACCCAGCTGCGCAGGCGGTTGTGCAGGGAGAGGAGCAAGAAACTCTCCTTCCTGTTCAGGGCTGGGGTGGGGAGAGAAGGTCAGGCAGCCCGAGGATGGGGGGACCTGAACCCAACACACGGCAGAATAAGCATGTGTCCCTGCCCTTGGAAAACAAGATGGGAGAGGAGTGTGGTGGGTGCAGGGGACGTGGGGCATAGCAATGGAGCGAGGCTGAGAGAGAGACCAGGTACAGCAGGCGTGGGCTGAGTGCTGGGGTTGGGGTGGCGGGAGGGAACAGCGGTGCGGGCTGGGTGTAGGGGCCAGCCCTGGCTCCCGCAGGCCCCTGTCTGGGGCTCCTCCGGGCCACGGATTTCTCCAGGCCCCAGCCACAGCGCCCCTCGGCGTTCCTCCTTGACCCCAGCCCTGGTCCTCCTTCCTCCTCCTTCCTCCCCAGTCCAGCATCCACCCCTCACCGCCCCCGGGCTGTCCCAGGGCTTCCTCATTAAACCACCCGCACGGCCTGGGGCTCAGGCCTGGGACCGGGCTTCCAGAAGTCTCCTAGCACCCACTCCTCAGAGCTCGTAATGGTGCCTCCACCTACCTCCTCACCAGGTGTCCCTTACCTCCGGCCATCGGAGCCTGCTCCTGCAGCTGGGGTGGCCACACCTCTGCCCAGGCGGTGCCAAGGAGGGCCAGGAGCACAGCCAGGAGATGCCCCCGGCCAGGGGAGGTCTCTGGATGCAGCATGGGTCTGTTGGGCCCGTCAGGCGCTCCGTGCACAGCCTGGCTCAGCCACCCGGCTTGTTTCTCAGGCTGGATGGAGCTATTCACAATCTCCAGGAGTCAGGCTGGGCTGGTGGACAAAAGAGGGAGGCTGGTGAGTGAGTAATCAGTGTGTCCAGACAGCCTCCTGTTGGCGCTGGCATGAAAAGAGACAACTCCGGGGGATGCCTGCCTGCTCCGGCCTCGGCCTGGCCAGCCCGCCCCCGACAGCAGGCAGAGTGGCGTGCACTGACCCGCGGCCCCTGCTAATCATTGTGGGATTATTAGCACCCTTGGGGAGCCCCCAGAGACCCCGCTGATTGGCCCGCGGACATTCCAGTGCTGCAGATTAGTGACCGATGGCCGTGTCCTGGCTGGGACAGTGTCCTCCGAGCCCACTGATGGCTTCCGCTCCCCAGCCCCGGGCCCTGGGAGGAGGACCTCGGCTATGGTCCTTCTGGTGAGCAGGAACTGGGCAAGACCCCAGGGGAGTTCTTTCCTTTCTTGGGAAGCTCGTCCCAACCCCCCAGCCATGAATTAAACATAGGCAAGAGGTAACCGCACACCAGAGGGGTGCAATCTGTGGGCTCAAAGGGGGGTGGGCTGAGGCCGCACCTGCACGAGGAAAAGGGTGCCTTAGGAAAGTCTGTCTGGGCAGGGTCGGGGGCTGGGCCCAGCCCCGGTGCCCACCACCCTCACCCACGTGACTACAGGCCAGGGGGGGAGTGAGGCAGGAGGAGTCAAAGCAGGCGGGGACCAGAGCACGTGATGCCCTGGGCTGACTCCAGTCCTGCTGGGATCACGTCCGCCTCTAGAAAAACAGGCGGCGTAGCAGGTGGGCAGCACGTTGCCATGATGTGCCGTGGCCCGGCCGTGGCTGGCGTGATCCCACCAGAGTGAGCTGGAGCAGATCTGCACCATGGGCCAAGTTTCTCAGAAAATACATGGCTTCCTGCGGGCTGCAACCTAATGCCCACGTTCCTCTCGGGGAAGACCAAAGGTTATTCAACCAGGGCAAAGGACAGCCTTGCAAACCAACTACGTCCTCCTTCTGGAGTTTGTGTGACCCCTGGCCCCTGAGCCCACACCCTCTCGGAGCGGGGTTCCAACTCTGTGGAAGCTCTGCTGAGATGCAGGTAGGGTTGGCTTTCCTGGGGAAACACCAGTGGAATGTGGCTATCGTCATGGATGCCAGGGATGGGGATGAGGCCAGGCATACAGGCCATGAAGGCGGTCTGGAACTGCATGTCCCCCACAATACCTAGGGGCTCAGGAGTTTCTTCTCCCTCAAACAGAAACCCAGCACCCTCAGGGTCACTGCGTGTGGGTCCTAGCAATGCTTAATAGCTACCTGTTTTTTGATGTATTTTTATTTTTATTTTTTAGACAGTTTCACTCTGCCACTCAGGTTGGAGTGTTATAATCTCAGCTCACTGCAGCCTTGACCTCTTGGGCCCAAGTGATCCTCCCACCTCAGCCTCCCAAGGAGCTGGGACCAGGTGTGTGCCACCATGCCTGGCTAATTATTATCATTTTTTTTGGTAGAGACAGGATTTCATCGTCTTGCCCAGGCTGGTCTCCAACTCCTGGGCTCAAGGGATCTTCCCACCTTGGCCTCCCAAAGTGCTGGGGTTGCAGGCATGAGCCACCACACCTGGCCAAGCCACCTGTGTTTATGGAGCTCACAAAGCCTGTTTGCATGTGTGAGTTCAAGTTATTGCCACAAGAACCTGGTGCAGTAGCAGATGGGATGCCCGTCGTGTAGATGAGGAAACGGGCTTAGTGTGTCTAAGGGGCTTGTCCAAGGTCACTCAGCGAGTGCATGGAGCATCCCAGCTAATCCAAGGTCTCTGCCTTCCCATTCCCAACGCTTTAATTCACATCCTGATCTTTCCCAGTGCAGTTTCCACAGCTCTGCTATGCCGGGTGATAAAAGACCCACTTCCTACAATTGGGCTTCCATGGCAAACACGGCCAGTTGACCCATATAGTATGATGCCAGGCACTTGGGACAGGCGGGAGAAAAAGATATTTTGGGGATTAGGGTGGAGCAACTTTTGAAGGGTCCCATGGCCCTGGCTCACTGCAAGAAGAGTCCCAGGCCGGGTGTGATGGCTCATGCCTGTAATCCCAGAACTTTGGGAGGCCAAGGCAGGCGGATCACTTGAGGTCAGGAGCTCGAGACCAGCCTGGCCAACATGGTGAAATCCTGTCTCTACTAAAAATACAAAAATTAGCTGGGCAGGGTGGTGGGTGCCTGTAGTCCCAGCTACTCGGTAGGCTGAGGCAGGAGAATTGCTTGAATCTGGGAGGCGGAGGTTGCAGTGAAGCAAGATGGCACCACTGCACTCCATCCTGGGCAACAGAGCAAGACTCTGTCCCACCCCCGACCCCTCAAAAAAAAAAAAAAAGAGTCCCAGGAGAGCAAGGTTCATGGGCCAGAAGAGAAGCTGAGTGGATAAAAGATTAATGAGACACTGGAAGACCTAGGCTGGAACCGACACGCTGTGTGACCCTGAGGATGGCACTCCCACTCCTGAAACTCAGTATCCAATGGCGTAGAGCTGGGATGACCCCTCTGCTGGGCCCCTAACCAGGGCATTGCAACTTGGTTTCCATGGTACTCCCTCCTGGGTTCAGACTTTTTAGTGGAGCCTGCTCGGTGGCTGGGGTGGGTTTGGAGAATGGGCAGCCTCATTGTTGCAAGGCAGCTTTCCCCAGGTGAGGCTACTACAGGGTTTACATCCACCACCCAGATTGTAGGGTTCACATTTTGCTGTATTTTCTTTATCACCTGTGTCTCTATCTATCCCACCCCTCTCCAGCTCATGCATAGCTGATACCTCTTCTCCCAGTCTGCATTTGAAGGTTATAGCGTTCGAGTCATTTTATCTCTTCCTGAAGCAGCTCCTTTCTTTAAAGCCTTGAAATCTTGTTGATGGTCTCAAAAAACAAACAAACAAACAAACAAAAAAAACATTTAACTCTAGGAGAGTTGTGGCCACATTTTCTTTTAAAAATTACATGTCCAGGCCAGGCGTAGTAGCTCACTCACACCTATAATCCCAGCACTTTGGGAGGCCAAGCTGGGTGGACTGCTTGATCTCAGGAGTTTGAGACCTGCCTGGGCAGCATGGTGAAACCCCGTCTCTAAAAAAAATACAAAAAATTAGCTGGGCGTGGTAGCACGTGTCCATAGTCCCACCTACCTGGGAGGCTGAGGTGGGAGGATAGCCTGAGCCAGGGAGGTCAAGGCTGCAGTGAGCTGTAATCGTGCCACTACACACCAGCCTGGGTAACAGACCAAGATTCTGTCTCAAGAAAAAAAAAAAAATTAGGCCAGGTGCAGTGGCTCATGCCTGTAGTACCAGCACTTTGGGAGGCTGAGGTGGGCGGATCGCCTGAGGTCAGGAGTTTGAGACCAGCCTGGCCAACATGGCAAAATCCCGTCTCTACTAAAAATACAAAAATTAGCTGGGTATGGTGGCACACACCTGTAATCCCAGCTACTTGGGAGGCTGAGGCATGAGAATCACTTGAGCCCAGGAGACAGAGGTTGCAGTGAGCTGAGATCACACCACTGCACTCCAGCCTGGGCAACAGAATGAGACTCTGTCTAAAAAAAAATCATGTCTATTTGATTTTTAAATTTTTCTTGAGACGAAGTCTGGCTCTGTTGCCCAGCTGGAATGCAGTGGCACAATTTTGGTTCACTGTGACCTCTGCTCCTGGGGCTTTGACCTCCACATCCCAGGCTCAAGCCATCCTCCTACCTCAAGCTCCTGAGTAGCTGGACTGTGGGTGTGCGCCACCATGCCAGGTAATTTTTGTATTTTTAGTAGAGATGGGCCTTCCCCATGTTGCCCAGGCTGGTCTCAAAGCTCAAGTCATCTGCTGGGATTATAGGCATGAGCCACCACAACCAGCCCCAAATTAGTATGTTGAAGTCCTACCTCCATTACCTCCGTGTCACTGTATTTAGAGATAGGGTCTTTAAAGAGGTAATTAAAGTTAAATGAGGTCACTGGGGTGGGTCCTGATCCAGTCTGACTGGCCTCGTTATAAGAAGAGACACACAGAGGGAAGATCCTGTGAAGACATAGGGAGAAGGCGGCTGTAGACAAGCCAAGGAAAGAGGTCCTCAGAGGGAACCAACCCCCCGGCACCTTGATCCTGGCCTTTATGCCTCCAGAACTCTGAGAAAATACATTCTGTTTTTTAAGCCACCCAGTGTGTGGTACCTTGTATGGCAGTCCTAGCAAACGAATACAGCCCTTACGCAAAACGTACAGCTAATATCACACTTAACAGTGAGACCAAAGACTTTCCTCCCTAAGATCAAAACAAGGCAAGGATGTCTTTTCTCACTGGTCCCACTAAACATTGTACTACTGAATGCGCAATTTGTGCAATAAGTTAAGAAAAAGACATTAAAGGCATCCACACTGAAAAGAAAGAAGTAAAACTATCTTCATTTGCAGATGACATAATTCTACTGTAGAAAATCCGAAGGAATGTATAAAAAAAAAAAAAACCCTACTAGAATAAAGGTCTCAGAATACAAAATTAACATACCAAAATCCACTGCATTTCTACACATTGGCAATAAACAATCTGAAAATGAAATTGAGGAAACAGTTCCACACATGGCCAGGCACAGTGGCTGACACCTGTAATCCCAGCACTTTCCGAGACCGAGGCAGATGGATTGCTTGAGGTCAGGAGTTCAAGACCAGCCTGGCCAACATGGTGAAACCTCATCTCTACTAAAAATACAAAAAATTAGCCAGGCGTGGTGGTGGGCAACTGTAATCCCAGCTACTCTACTCAGGAGGCTGAGGCAGGAGAATTGCTTGAACCCGGGAGGCGGAGGTTACAGTGAGCCGAGATTGCGCCACTGCACTCCAGACTAGGCGACAGAGTGACTCATTCTCAAAAAAAAAAAAAAAAAAAAAAAAATCCATACACATAAAACTGTAAAACAACATTGCTGAGAGAAACTAAAGATCTAAAAAAATGCATAGACATTTCACATTCATGGAATAGAAGACTCAATATTGTTTTATTGTTTGTTTTTTGAGACTGAGTCTTGCTCTGTCGTCCAGGCTGGAGTGCAGTGGCCTGATCTCTTCCTACTGCAACCTCCGCCTCCTGGGTTCACGTGATTCTCCTGCCTCAGCCTCCCATGTAGCTGAGATTACAAGCACCTGCCACCATGTCCAGCTAATTTCTTTTTTTTTCTTTTCTTTTTTTTTTTTTGAGACAGAGTCTCACTCTGTCACTGAGGCTGGAGTGCAGTGGCGCGATCTGGGCTCACTGCAACTTCCACCCCTTCGGTTTAAGTGATTCTCCTGCCTCAGCCTCCCAAGTAGCTTGGATCACAGGCGCCCGCCACCACACCCGGCTAATTTTTGTATTTTTAGTAGAGACATGGTTTCACCATGTTGGCCAGGCAGGTCTTGAACTCCTGACCTCAAGTGAGCCACCCACCTTGGCCTCCCAAAGTGCTGAAATTACAGGCATGAGCCACTGCACCTGGCCAATTTTTGTATTTTTAGTAGAGACAGATTTCACCATGTTGGCCAGGGGAAGACTCAATATTGTTAAGATAGATGGTAATTCTCCCCAAATTTGTCTATTAATTCAATGCAATGCCCATCAAACTTCCAAAAGATTTTTGTTGTTGTTGTGTTTATTTTAAAGCAATTGAGAGGCCAGGTTTGGTGGCATGTGCCTGTAATCCCAGCTATTTGGGAGACTGAGGCAAGAGGATCCCTTGAGCCCTGGAGTTTGAGACCAGCCTGGGCAATATAGCAAGATCCATCTCAAAAAAAATTTGAAAACTGGATCTCAAAATTTGCACGGAAAGGCAAAGGAATTAGAATAACCAAAACACATTTGAAAAAGAATAAAACTGGAGAATGTATACTACCTGATTTCAAAACTTGCTATGAAACTTCTAGTAATCACATCTATAAGATACGGAAAAAGGACAAGACATATAGATCAAGGGAACAGAATGAACAATACAGGAAAAAACTTACATTTATGGCCAATTTATTTTATTTGAGGGTCTCACTTTGTCACCCAGGCTGGAGTGCAGTGGTACCATAATTGCTGAGTAGCCTCGAATTCCTGGGCTCAAGCCATCCTCATGCCTCAGCCTCCTGAGCAGGTAGGACGATAGGCACGTGCCACCATACCCAGCTACTTTTTTTTTTTTTTTCCAGACAGGGTCTCACTCTGTCACCCAGGCTGGAGTACAGTGGTGTGCTCACGGCTCCGGGGTTCAGGTGATCCTCCCACCTCAGCGTCCCAGGTAGTTGGGACTATGGGCATGCACCACCATGCCCGGCTAATTTTTTGTATTTTTGGTAGAGACGGGGTCTTGCCATGTTGTCTAGGCTGGTCTAAAACTCCTGGGCTCAAGCGATCCTCCTGCCTTGGCCTCCCAAAGCGCTGGCATTACAGTTGTGAGCCACCGCGCCCGGCCCTATTCTTTTTTTTCTTTTTTTTGAGACGGAGTATCGCTCTGTCGCCCAGGCTGGAGTGCAGTGGCGCCATCTCAGCTCACTGCAAGCTCCGCCTCCCGGGTTTACACCATTCTCCTGCCTCAGCTTCCCGAGTAGCCGGGACTACAGGCACCCACCACCACACCCGGCTAACTTTTTGTATCTTTAGTAGAGATGGGGTTTCACTGTGTGAGCCAGGATGGTCTTGATCTGACCTTGTGATCCACCTGCCTTGGCCTCCCAAAGTGCTGGGATTACAATCATGAGCCACCGTGCCTGGCCCTTCTTTTTCTTTTTTTTAGATAGGGGTCTCACTCTGTTGCCCAGGCTGGAGTGCAGTGGCTATTCATAGGTGCAATCATAGTGCACTGCAATCTCCAACTCCTGGTCAGCCGCTACTTCTTAAAATGTTTCTCTGTCTGGTTCATGTTTCAAAGTCTGGTTCATGACTCTGCTACACTTCAGTTTCAAAAGCTGGTAGCAAAGGAAAAGAACATGCCAAGAGCTGACGTTCTGCTGTGATGAGACCACCCAAGCTCCCCGTATCTATACCAAGGGATCTGTTGCCCAGGCTGGAGTGCAGTGGTGCGGTTTTGGCTCACTGCAACCTCTGCCTCCCGGGTTCAAGCGATTCTCCTGCTTCAGCCTCTCAAGTAGCTGGGATTATAGATATGCACTACCACACCCGGCTAATTTTTGTATTTTTAGTAGAGATGGCGTTTCACCATGTTGGCCAGACTGGTTTTGAACTCCTGACCTCAAGTGATCTGCCCGCCTTGGCCTTCCAAAGTGCTGGGATTAGAGGCATGAGCCACCACACCCGGCCCGGATGACTTACTTAGCTCTTCAAGGCTTACGGAAGTTGGTACCTTGTGGAACTAGGCTGGGGAGGTCTGGATGCCAGATGTTCTTCTGAGGTTGCTGTTCTTATAATTGCTGTATTCAAATATATCACCCAGTTGAGATGAAATGCCTAGAGCACAGCTGCGGAGTGGGACCAGCTGGGCTGAGGAGGGAATGAAGTACAAACATCCAGCGATGTTCAGGGCCCTGAAGCAGCTGGGAAGCGCAGGCGTTCAAATCACCAGAGGCATGGCTATATCAGCTCACATATCATGCACACAGATGCATGTCCTAGGCGTGGAAACAAAGCTCCCCAGACCATGGTTAACTCACCGCATGCACCTGGAGTTCCATCTGCACCAAGGCGCCAGTGGTTACTTTTAGAAATAAACAAGTCACAACGAGGACATTATGTTAAGTGGAATAAACCAGTCACGAAACGACAAGTACTATATGATTCCACTCGTAAGGAGGTAGTTAAGAGGAGTCACAATCAAAGGGACAGAAAGGAGAATGGTGGTTGCCACGGGCTGCAGGGAAGAGGAATGCGGGGAAGAGGAATGCGGGGAAGAGGAATGCGGGGAAGAGGAATGCGGGGTCAGAGTTTCCATTCTGCAAGACGAAAAGAGTTCTGGAGATGGATGATGGTGATGGATACACAACGTTATGAATGTATTTAATACCACTGAATTGTGCACTTAAAAATGATTAAGATAGCAATTTGTGTATTTTACCACAATAAAAAACAAAACAAAAACAGCCAGGCATGCAGTGGCTCATGCCTGTGATCCCAGCACTTTGGGAAGCCGAGGCGGGAGGATCAACTGAGGTCAGTAGTTTGAGACCAGCCTGGCCAACATGGCGAAACCCTATGTCTACTAAAAATCCCCAAAGTGCTGGGATTACAGATGTGAGCCACCACACCTGTCCCCGCTGGGATTTTTAAAGTATATCTGGAAAGATCCAAAAGAAGCCAGCAGCGATGGTTGCCTCCTGGAAGGCATCAGGGTGGCCAAGGGACAGAAGAGTAAGGGAAGCCTTACACAGCAGCTCCTTTGCATCTTTCAACTGAACCTTCACCAAATTTTTAAAGAAAAATAAAGGTGCATGATCAACAATCAAACTTCTAGGACCGTCCCCTAGCAGGAGAGCAGCAGCAGCAGCAGCACACAGACCTGCCCGAGGGCGTTTCCCGGAGCTCCACAGCCACCAGCAAACTGTGGGACACAACTGCCACCTCCTTTAGGAAGGAGGTGAGCATATTACAGAACTGCAATCATACAGAATATCACACTGTGGCTAAAGAGTTAAGCAGTGTCTACTTCGATGAACATGGAAAGGGGTCCATAGCATCTCATTTAATGAAAAAAGTGAGTTGCGCAGTGTGTACAATATTCCATTTTTGGTATATTTAAAAATCGTATGTGTAAACGATTTGCCCACCCGCACAGAAGCGTCTGGAAATGCCACCGCCAACTGTGAATAGTAGGTCCCTCTGGGGACAAGGGTTGGGGGAACGATTTCCACTGGGGCATGTCTTATTGAATTTATCATGAGACATCTGGACCTTTTCCAGTAATTTTGTCCAAGTACAGCCTTGGCCTGTTGCCTGAAAATAAGGTTTTGGAGCTGGAGGCAGTGAGTCCAGCTGACGAACCCAGGAGGGAGCTCGCTCTGAACAGGTCTGCCCCGCTGAGCATCGGAGGCACAGTCGGGGCCCTGCTTGGTCCATGACAAAGTCACTTCCTTGTCAAATGCATCAAGACCCGCCAGCATGGTGATCTGTCAAAAACAAAAAAAAGTGGGTGGCAAGCCCTTACGTGACCCTGAGGTCAAGATCACAGAGTCCCTCGACCGTCGTGGAACTTGTGAAACCTGAGTATTTCCCAAATGAATGACTGCCTGGAACACTCTCCCTGCAAGCCAGTTTCGGAAGCCCACCCAGTCTGTAGCTGTTATTGTTCTGCACCCCACAGCAACTGCTTGGAGACCCCCGGGTCCAGCAGGCGGAGGCAGAGGGTGCCGAAAGGGTACGGTGAGGCAGCTGACCAAGGGCTGAAGCCGGTGACCCCTGGGCCAGGACTCAGCTGCCCAGCCCAGAAGTCGGGGGCTGCCTCGGTCCATGACACACATGCTTCTCAAAACCAGCGAGGTCAGGGAATTTCCACCCCTATCCAGGCCTGGAGGGTCTGTGAGGCCCGGAGTCCTCTTGACTGGAGGACTGTGGCTTTGTAAACATCCACAACAACACCACCCACAGCTGCTGATTGTTTATTGCACAAGAAACTGGCAATATCGAGGCAAGGGGCGGGCATTACAAAACAATCTGGTGACCAGCCCATGGCTAGCAAAGGGCATTCCGTACAGACACTTCAGTTATATACACGTACGCACACACACGCACGAACACACATGAACACCCGTGAGCCTGATGCTTCCAAACCTCACCAGCAGCTTGCACCCTGACCCACCCTGGAGCGGCTTCCATGGTAACGTGCCACAGGGAAGTACAGCAAATGACTGAAAGGGACAGAAGAGGCTGCGCTGTGGCAAGCTAAGCCACTCAAATCAGCACACACGACAGAGGCAGACGCAGGCTGCACCTCCCGGGCCGGGGGAAGGTCGAGAATCTGGGAGCATGGAGACTGTGCTTGGAAGGCACCCGGGACCAGTCCAAGGGGCTGCCTGGGGGTCCTAGAATCCTGGGGGCCCAGGCCGGGAGTCTGCCATGACTACTGCCCCAGCACCCCGGTGGGGCATGGTCACCTTGAAGATTTCAATATGACCTATGAAGATTCCAGTTACGGCAGAGTCCCCGTGTTGGAGGCTGGCGGGAACTGCAGAAATCAGATGGGGCTATGCAGCAGCTCAGGGCCTTTCTGCTGGTTTTCATGTCCTGTGTGCAGATAAAGCCTCACACCTATGCAGAATGAACACTTTCCGCTGGCGGGCTGCACTCCATTCTGAACAGGGGACCAACAGGCCCTCCTGGAGCTCCAGGGGCTGGCAGGGGAGCTCCACAGCCGGACCCCTGTGTCCCGCCACTGGGGACTGCCTGGGGGACCCTATCTAGCAAAGGGATTTCTTCTCTATTGAAGGCGGCAAGGCTAGGAGTGGCGCTCGGGACCTCAACCCCTCTCATTCTGCCAGGCTTGGGGACGAGGTCCCTGCCAGGCTGTGCCGCCGGGTCAGGCCTGCCTGAGCTCACGGAACCGCCAGGTGGGTTCCTGAGAGGCGTGGCTGTTTGGGAAACTCTTGGACCCAAAGGTCTGGGTCCCTCAAGGTCTCAGAACACCTGGGGTGCCAGCTCCTGGACAGAAAGTGACAGCAGCGTAACAAAAAACCTGCAACCCTACAACACAACCACTTCAAGTTTATACATGGACAAAGTCTGAGGGAGTTTGCTGTTTTTGTCCCGTGGATACCCAGGCAGCTTAGACAAACCTTCATTGGCTGAGAATGAATTAACTGGCCGGCATGTGTCCTGCGACTCAGCCTCCACCGCTGGCGCCTGCTAGGGAGGCAGGCAGAGATGGCCTCGCCCCAGGGCCCGCTCCCTCAGACCTTCACTTCATCTCCATCATCAGAGAGGCTCAATTACAGGCAGAACCTCCTTTGCTGGCAAAGACCCTTGGCGCTCTCAGTCCCGAACAGCCACCCCCAGTGGCCAGTCTCCTCGCCGAACTAGTCCAGGAGGTCTCCGGCCTCTGCGGCAGCCCCTGGGGATGCAACACCTTCCCTTGCACACTCACATACACCCAGGGTGGGGTCTAGAGGACAGGGGAGAGTTTTGCAGAGAGGGTCAGCCCTCTGGAACTTTGCAAAGGTGGGGCCAAAGGCAACTAGGGGGCTTTATTCCAGACTGCCATCCGCGGGTCGGGGGAACTGCAGGGCCTCCTGGGATCAGGCTTTTCTGCCAGCAGCGAGATGACAGTGTGGTCCCACACAGGGCCACATCCACGGGGGCCTCCCAAGGGCTGCGGGGCCAGTGGCCTCTCAGGCAGGGAGGACTCAGGACTACATGTGCGCTGGGGGGCGTGGGAGGGGCGGCCTCGGTTACTCCTGTCCAAAGCCCTCGGTCTCCTCAATGGCATACAGCAGCTTCTCTCTCAGCTGTTCGTAGCTCTTGTAGGGTGGAAGATCCAGACGGTTGAAGCTATTGAGAGTGGGGAAGCACGACAGTCAGCCCTAGGAGGCCAGGGCTCTGATAGCCCCACCATGCCTGCCTGCAGCAGGGCCACAGGGCTTGCACCACACTGGCTAGGGCTCAGGGGCTGCCAGTCAGGCCTTCACATTGCAGGTGCCTGGACCATGGGGTGTTAAGGGAGGGGCCAGGACAGCTGGAAATTGGTTGCGGGGGACACTTGGGGCAGTAGCTCTTGGACTACTGGAACAGAAGTGCTTCATATGTAAAACCCGGTAGATCAGATGCCCATCACAGCCCCATCTCTCCAACCCAACACCCCAGGGCCACGCAAAAGCTGCCAGACTCGAGGCTATGAAGCTGCTACACCCACTGGGCTGTCCCAGGAGCTCATCGGGTCTGAGGCCCCCCGACCTCCCACTAAAACCAGCAGGCTCACCAGGTGTGGCTTCTGGGCAGCCAGGTTTCCTTGCCAACTTTGTCAATGCAAAACTTCTGTGGTCCGTTGCTACCTGTGATCCAAGGTAAAACACGCCGACGTCAGCAGAGACGTCCCTTCCCAAAGCAGGATCCTCCGGCTCCACCCACAGATGGGCTCGGCCCCAGGATGCAGAGGCCACAGCTCTTCTCCATCCCACTGACGTGCTTCCAGGAAGAGACTAGGTTTCCCCCTCCCTCTGAGCTGTCCGCACTGCCAGCCAGGACGCCAGAGGGCGAGAGAAAACATACCGATGAGTTCGGCAAATCCCCCGACGGGCAGGCGGCAGGTACCGGTGACAAACTGCAGCAGCCGGATCCTCTTCTCGTTGTCCATCTCCTTCACCACCTGGAAGTCCGCAAGTCAAGGCACAGTCAGGCAACCCACGGGGCCCAGTACTTTGCCCGAACGTGGAGCTCTCTAGCTCAGCGGGGCCCCTCTTTGGGGCTGAGAACACAAAGCCAGGTTGGCCAGGGGATGACAGCCTCCAACCTGAGAAACCCCAGAAGTGCTTTTGCTAAGAGGCTGTGTGTGCATGAGATTCCCACCAGTCCATGGGACATCTCTGGGTCTCAGGGACACCTCAGGCTGGGTATTCTCTTCCCATCCACGTTCTGCTTTTAGAGATGACTAAATATGGGAGTGACTGCTTAATGGGTATAAGGTTTTTGGGGAGATGAAATGTTCCAGAATTAGATAGTGGTGCCAGGTGCACAACACTGTGAATGTACTGGAAGCCACTGCTCTGTCGCCCAGGCTGGAGTGCAGTGGCACGGTCCAGCTCACTGCAGAGCAGTGGCACGGTCCAGCTCACTGCAGTCTCCACCTCCCAGGTTCAAGTGATTCTCATGCATCAGCTTCCCGAGTAGCTGGGATTACAGGTGTCCACCACCATGCCTGGCTAATTTTTTATATTGTTAGTAGAAAGAGGGTTTCACTATTTTGGCCAGGCTGGTCTTGAACTCCTGACCTCAAGTGATCTGCCCACCTCGGCCTGGGTGGGAAGCCAAGGAACCCAAAGTGGAAAGCCACTGAATTGTGTATCTTAAAAAACTTAAATGGGTTGGGCACAGTGGCTCACGCCTGTAATCCCAGCACTTTGGGAGGGTGAGATGGAAGGACTGCTTGAGCCCAGGAGTTCAGGACCAGGCTGGGCACCATAGCAAGACCCTGTCTCTATTGAAAAAAAAAAAATTAATAGTTAATTGTATGTTATACAAATTTCACCTCCACAAAAAATTTGTATACGTACATATGCACACAGACATGTACTAAGAATACCTGTAATCGCTATTTTTTTTTGTATGCTGTATTTCATAACGACAACAACAAAACCCATACGTATAAAAGAATCAACACATTAATTATACATAGGATGACAGCTCTTTCTGGTTTCTGGAGCCAAGCCCCTGCCTTCCTGTCCCATCTGGCTGGCAGGGGACCTCTCAACCAGTGGCAGCTGCTGTCTGCCTGCAGGTCTGTCCCTGCACACCAGCTGGCCCAAGGCTGACCACTGACGACCTCCTGTCACATCCACTGGCCACCACTCAGCTGGAACTGTCCCCGTTCATCCCAAGGCTGGTCTATCGTCTCCTTTTGCAAGGTGTGGGAGGCAAGGACAGGGCCAAAGCTGAAGGTCCTTGCGCGTGAGGCCTCCTCAGGACCCGTTTCCTTTGGTTGATGGCCCAAATGTCCCTGCCAAGGCCTGGGCCCGGGACCCACCTGCCAGAACCACTGGATCTGCTTGCTGTTCTTGGTGTAGTGCCGGTAGATGGTGCTCTTCTGCCAGTCGCTCATGTCTATCTCCTGCATGCCGCACAGCATCAGCTGGGGAGAGGCGGCAGTCAGCATCCCCGGCAGGTCCCTCCCCGCGCATCGTCCACTCGCTAGCACTTGACATTACCCCAAACATATTCAACTAGCTATTTTTGGTGTCAGCGTTAATAATATGGGTAATGTAAGTCCCTGCTTTCTTGAAACAAGTGTCTGGGGAAGGGTGGGTCCCAAATCAAACCCATCTGCCCTGCCGAAGTGGGAGTTTTACGCTGAGTGTCTGTGGGTACACAGTGAGCGTATCACAGAGCAGGATCGCCCCAGAGGCAGGGGCTCAGGGTCCCAGCAACCTCAGACACTCACCTCCAGCTCTTTCTCGTCAAAGTAGCGCAGCCACTCCAGCGGGGCCACCTCGTTGAAGCCATCCAGGAAGGCTTTGGTCTGCTCTTCCACGCCTCGGGTGAAACGCCAGTCAGTCAGCAGCCTGAGACCAAAGAGCAGCCATGGGTGGAGTCTGAGACCCACTGCTCAGGGGTGGCTCCCGGCCAGGCCGCGTGGCCGTTACCGCGCAGGACCACCAGATCAGCAGAGCCCACTTCGCACACCCAGACCCAGCCTGCTGGAGGACCTAGAGTGAGGCCCTGAAAACCTCACAGTGACCTGCAGACACCGGAGTCTTTGAAATCATCCTCACCACCACCTCCTCCTGCTCCTGCCCCCAGCGCCGACTGAACCTCAGACGTATGGAAGCGTGGAGATAAAGACTAAAGCAAGAGGCCTGAGGAACAGGCACGGAGAACGGGCACACGTGAGACGGTGGGTCTAGGCACACAGGCCACAGAGATCCTTTCGGCCCGGAGAAAGATGCAGATGTCTCAGCTTGATGCCACTTCAAAGAAATTCCACGCTGCAGGCTTGAAGTCTCCCACATGGCGAAAAAGCACAGCTGGGAGTCGGTAACTAAGGACCTCGGCTTTGGTTCCCCCAGCTCGCGCCATCACATGACCGCCCACCAGCAGCCACCATCAAGGCAAATGCAAATGGCATCCACAGTGACCGATGGGCCACAGGTGGGGGCCCATCTTTCTCTGCAACCCACTAGATCTCCACGCCACCCCTGGAGCGGAGCCCCCGGCGCCTGAGACTCACATGATGTACTCTTCCTTGTTCTCCTCTGTGACCCGGATGCTCTCGCCGCCCTCCTTCAGCTCGTGGGTCGTCACCTTGCCCAGTATCTCCATGTCCTGGATGAAGTACAGCTCCAGGCCACATTCTTCCAGGTTGTTCTCTCTGGGGGCACAGGAGACCAAGTGGGGAGATGTCTACCGTGTCAGGGTCTTTCCTGGATCCTGCTCTGTTGCCCGTGGGACACCAAGGGCCCACAGGTGGCCTAGAATCCTGAACAGTGACAGGGGACAGCTCCTTGACTCAAGGAGAAGGTTCTAGAACTGTCCCCAGGGAACCCAGAGGACATTCCTCTCCACAAGCTCTTATAGAGGCTGGAAAAGAGCTCAGGGGCCACACTGGCAGACAAAATAAAGGCCATCAGTACCTGCTTCCCACCCAGAGACGTCCCTCCTATCAGCGCGGTGGGGCAAGGGGGCAGGGAACTCACTTGATCCAGACAATGGAGTTGTAGAACTCAGGGTCAATGGACTCCAGGTCTTTCAGGGTTGGTCTCTTATTGAGCATCCGCTTGTAGAAAGGGAGGGTGAAGCCCGTGTCGATGAACTTTCCATGGTACAGCGCCTGGGAAGGAAGAGGCACAGCACAGAGGTTTGGCCTTCCCTGGGCACTGCCAAGACCAGCTCTCAGATGCTCGGTATCAAACTCTGCTACCGCTACCCGCCTTCCTTCCCTGACAGAACTACAGCAGCAGCTGCCTCGGACGCAGCGGGAGGGCCTCAGGAGTAAACAACGCCTTTATCCTGACTTGTACCTACAGAGGGACTCCCACCCTGCCCTGCAGACCGCAAGGACTGGGCAGAGCCAGCTGGTGCGGGAACCCACGTCCGGGCCCGCATCTGCCCCGCACGCTGGCCGGCTGGCTCCTGGCCTAGCAAAGGTCTGCCCCACGCTCACAGAAAAGGCTTGCTCTGAACAGCTGCAGGTGGCAGCCCTGATTCACTGGCGCTCAGGGTGGGTGGCAAAGGCAGCCAAAAATAATGCAGACACCGCCGACAGCGAGAGCTGGCGGCCAATGGTGAGTAATAGTCTAGGGTTTTACCGGTCTGTCCTGCTGGCTGCTGGGCCAGGCGGGTCTCTAGACCTGGGAAGAATGTGCCCATTTCCAGAGCCCAGCACCTTGGCCAAGAACTCCTCGACGATGGGAAGGGCCGGCCATATTTAGTCACAGGCTCATGGGGCGCTTGGGTCCTCCTAAGAGGGGAGCCGGGTGGGACACTCAGGAAGGCAGGGGAAGAAGCGAAGGAAAGGAGAATTGAAACATCTCCAGCTATGCATGTGGCTCCCGCGCTGTGCCTCCCACGGGCTCCGCTTCTCAATCCGGGTTCTCCACGCTCCCAGGACCCTCAACGGGGCACGTGGCAGGACCTCCCTTTCCATATTCACATTGTGTCCCTCTTTCCAGTTAAATACAGACGCTGGGACGCCCCTCCCCAGAACTGGCTCACTTTCTGACAGATGTCCCTACACCCTGCACCAGCCAGTCTACTGTTCACCAGGAGGCAGCGTGGCGTGAACGGCAGCGCCCATGGACTGGCGCGCCCTCTCTGGGCTCTACCCTTCGCCCCCATAGAGCTGGTAACCTAAAAATGTAAAAAGCTGGAGATAGTTCTGGAGAAACCAGAGCTTTCTCAGTGGCTGCCCTGTAGGTACTGAAGAGTTTCCATGTTGCTTTGCATAGGACTTGTCAAGAGGGGGCCCAGGGTCTCTGGGCCACAGACTTTACGTTTTGTTCTACACTAGTGTTGATTCCAAATGCCCTTCCAGAAGGCTTAGTGTCTCAGTGGGACATTCCCAAATGCCGTGACAGTGTCACCTCCCAGAGACAGGCAGCAGGTGGGCAGCTATGGTTTCACCTGGCCCTGTCATCCCAAGGCCCTCAACAGAGCACATATTTAATGTTCAGTAAAGTCTGTGGCCCAGCGACCCTGGGCTCCCTCTTGACAAGTCCTGTACAAAGCAACATGGAAACTCTTCACTACCTACAGGGCAGCCACTGAGAAAGCTCTGGTTTCTCCAGAACTCTCTCTAGCTTCTTGCATTTTTAGGTTACGAGCTCTATGGGGGCAAAGGGTGGAGCCCCGAGAGGGTGAGCCAGTCCACGGGGGCTGCCGTTCACGCCACGCTGCCTCCTGGTGAACAGGCCCAGGGCCTCCTCCAATGCTGCCCCTTCCTGGAGGTCTCAGAGAAAGAGCAGATTCCCCTGGTGCCCCTGGCACACTTCACCAGGAGAGGGAAGAGGAGGGAGAGGAGGAGGGAACTAGGCAGACCCCTGGGGCCCCCTTACCATGGCGATGAATCTGCCTATAAAGCGAAAGTAGGTGAGGTGGTCCGGGTTGATGGAGGAGGCGGGGTTGATCTGCAGGCAGTAATTGTTCTTTCCGGCATATTCAAATAAACAATACATAGGGTTGAGCACCTCATGAGACAGGAGGAAAAACCACTCTCTGTGAGGGAAGAGACAGAAAAGACAAGAATAATGGGTCCCTTCGTGCACATCTGCACAGGAGCTGTGTCTCTTCACCATCGTGTCTCAGGTTAGTATGGGGACACGTGTCCCAGGGAGTCGAGCCCTGTGACAAGCACCCGGGCTAACCTATATGAACAGCTGGTCAGTGAACAGGGCAGGCTCAGACCTACAGTGAACCAGGGCGGCAACTGCATTTGAGGATGATATTTGGGAAAACGTGTGATTGTCGGCTCCCAGGTGATGTGTTCCAAGACTTTACATCACAATATCCAGAGCTTCTAATGGTAAAGGGGGTCCTTGTACCCTGGGTCACCATGCTCAGTTGCCTAGGCTGTGCACTGCACAAGGGCACGATGCATGTTTATTACAATAATTTTTCTGCAAAGGTTCTGTTTGAATAGTAACTACCCTGTTTCCACTCTACCTGGGCGGGCAACATAACGTAAATACACAGCAACACATTTCCAACCCCGATCCATGACAATGTAATCCATGCTGCCTTCAGATGAGAAACCTCATGCCCACCAGCTATGCAACACTCTTGCACTTTGCCCTCCCTTCACCCCCAGACCCCAACACCATCCCCGTTCCCACACTTCCACGCATTCATCTGAACCAACACCCGTGCCCTGGGTGCGAGCCTCAGGCATGAATTCAGAGTCCTTTTGGGCTTGAGCTAAACCAGCAAGGGGATGTCCCAAGGGGGCCAGTCCCCAGCTGCTGGGCTGTTTGTGGCTGGGCAGACGAGGAGTCCGTCGACGCAGAGGGTGCCCCGGTATCCTGTCCGTGGTTCTACCCTGTGGTAGAACAGCATGACGTAACCTACCATAGGGTAAAACCACTGGCAGGACACAGAGAGAGACACACACAGGGCGCGGCCACACCAGAAGCCCACCAAGCAGAGCCTGGAGAGGAGGTCACCACGGAAAAAAGGAACATCCATCCACGGGGCCAGCGCAGAAGGCAACGCCACCACCGAACAGAGGACCAGAAGCAAGTTAACCCAACACCAAGCGGGAAGACATGCCCACACCGGGAGAGGTCTCGAGCGGAGAGGTCGCTGCGGGCCACAGCGCTCTCTCTCTCTGCCGGGGCCCTTCTGCCCTGCTGTCCAAGGCAGCATTTCCCAGAGGGCCTGTTAACTTTTATGGGTGGACCAGGGTGAAGGCAAGACAATGCTTTGGACTCTTTTTAGGGTGACATAAGCCGTTACAGTTTTACTGACCCCAGGCATGTGACATGCAGTTGAGCCCTGCTCAAGGCCCTGTGGATCGTGACACAGCTTATCCACACGGGGACACCTGACTTCACCTGCCCTGGCTGCCTTAAGAGGAGGGGATCCCAGGGTCAACTCTAATGGATGACCACATGGCCCCTATATTCAACTGCCCAGATGCTGCTGGCCTGGTTGTTAAAGTACAGAAACATGACACATTGGTAGATAACAGAGCCATTGTACTGAGCTCTCGCCCCTCCCAGGAGTCCTCCGTCGCCTCATGACCCAGTAACTAAAGGCTTAATGTCCAGCCCAGTGGGGCACCCCAGGCCCCTGTTCCAGGCCCAATGGACTGGCCACATGGATTCACGTATTTTGTTTTTTTGTTTGTTTTGTTTTTGAGATGGAGTTTCGCTCTTGTTGCCCAGGATGGAGTGCAATGGCACGATCTCGGCTCACTGCAACCTCCTGCCTCCCAGGTTCAAGCGATTCTCCCGCCTCAGCCTCCCCAGGAGCTGGGATTACAGGCATGCACCACCACGCCCAGCTAATTGTGTATTTTTAATAGAGACGGGGTTTCTCCATGTTGGTCAGGCTGGTCTCGAACCCCCGACCTCAGGTGATCCACCTGCCTCAGCCTCCCAAAGTGCTGGGATTATAGGCGTGAGCCACCGCGCCTGGCGGGTTCACGTATTTTGAATGCCACACTGTGCCCATTCCTGAAGATGCATGAGAGCTTTGGGAGGGAATGTGAGCAGGGGGCAGGCAGCTTTCTGGCCATTGATGCTGTAGCCTGGGGAAGCGGGGTACAGGGCAGCCTTCCGGGGCACTCAAGCTCACCTGGCGATGCCCCCATAGTCCAGGCCCTCCTCGCCACGCATGATGATGTAGAGCCGGCGGCGCAGGTCATAGGGTTTCATGTTCATGATCTGGGAAGACAGAGCATCGGGCCAGCCTGCCACTCTCCCTTCCACAGCAGGCAGGGGCGGGAGGGACAGGGGACTCTAAGGCCCAATATCCAGCAGACACAGTCACCAAGACTCACGCCCTGGAAAGTCTGCAGTGTGGGTTTAACAGGCCACGCGATAGGAGATGGGGTGCTGGGAGGAGGGCGTCGGCCTGCCACTGGTTTCGGGCACCATGATCTAACCTGTTGGAAGGAATCTTCGAAAAGCGTCTGCCTGGAAACGCTGATCTTCACGTGGCTAGGTAGGGCATTTGACTGAAAAAAAAAAAAGAAAAGAACTTTAAATCGAGCCTCAAGTGGTCATCTGTTCTCCTGTCTGTATGAACAGGCATTCCCCAGCCTGCTGGGCCAGGAGGCAATAGCATGTGCCCTAGGAATGAAAACTAGCTTCCTAGAGACAGCCAGCTCCGGGTTAGACAAGTGTCTTGCGCCCGCCTAAGACACAAACATTCCGATACCTGCTGCTGTGCCGGGAACTCACACTGAAATAACTCAATAACCCCAACTGCCACGGGAGCCCCAGTACCAGAACTCACATGGCAGAGGAAACGGAACTGGTGATACTTCCACCGAAAACTGCGGTCATAAGCACCAGGGGAACCTTGCTTCGTCCTAGGAAGAGCAAAGATGTTCAGGGGTTCATGCGATTTCTCAGAAAATGAACAATTTGTCTTTGTCAGCCCTAAGGAAAGCTGGTGCTATGTTAATTTAAAGATTAGTAATGTAAGGTGAGGAAGTGACTGTCATTAAGATCCTTGAAGAATAAAAAAGAAAATCTAGAAATAAAGCCAGACTTCTTGCTTTTAGAGAAATAACTCTAGTGTCATTCGGAATAAACAGGATAGTCCCTTCCTCCCCATCCCATCTTATTTATTTGTTTGTTCGTTTTCTAGAGACGGGGTCTTGCTCTGTCACCCAGGCTGCAGTGCAGTGGTGTGATCATGGCTCACTGCGGCCTCGAATTCCTGGTCTTAAGCGATCCTCCCGCTTTAGCTTTCCAAGTAGCTAGGACTACAGGAGTGTGCTACCACACCGAGCTAATTTTAAATGTATTATTATTTTTTAGAAACAGGGACTCACTCTGTCACCTGAGCTGGAGTGCAGTGGTGCCATCATAGCTCACTGCAGCCTCAAACTCCTGAGCTCAAGGGATCCTCCCACCTCAGCCTCCTATGTAGCTGGGACTACAGGCATGCACCACCACATCCAGCTAATTTTTAATTTTTTTTTGTAGAGATGGGGTCTTGCCATTTTTCTCAGCCTGGTTAATCTTTTTTATTGTTGTGGAGACACGGTCTCGCTATGTTGTCCAGGCTGGTCTCAAACTCCTGGGCTCAAGCTATCCTCCCATCCCCTTTAATATGACATCAACATTGGCCACTAGAGGGCAGTAAGGGCAGTAGAACGCACCACAGGGGCCACCCAAAGTGGGCCTCCCAGAGCCAGAACAAGGACAGCCTGGGCCTCGGCTCCTGACACTGCTGCTACCTGCACAAAGTCCTTACCCCGACTCAAACCCCGGGCGAGGATCCTTAAAGGTGGTGGTGCGGGTATTGTGGTCCACAAAGTATCGCACCCCCTCGCTGGTGTATTTCATCTCCCATCCTGGGGGCAGAGCTGGTTCCTGGATCATCCTGGAAACACGGGAAGAAAAGGGTGAAGGGCTGGCCCCACCTTCTGGACCTTGGTGGTTGGAGGCTGGGTCCTCAAAGTGTGGCTTTGTCTCTGCAGAGCCCATGAGGGACTTTGAGGACATGCACCCAAGAAGCATGACCCAAGTCGTGAGAACAGTTCTGCAGCACGGAGAGGTCACTTATTATCTCATGGCCAAAAACCCAGCCCTGCATGGATGGCATTGGACTGAGCAGCCACCAGCAATCCTGAGGCACCCTGTGCCCCAGCACAGCTTCACTTGGGGGTGTTGGGAGACCAGGATGCCCTCAACCTTTTTGCAATCCAATTATCAGCAGCCAGCACAATCAGTATGGAGACCAGCAACACCCGCCAGCCGGGCCGCCCTCCATCCACCAGGAAGGTCTATTTAAGAAACCCCTTTTAAGCTCTCATCAGGCCAACAGTGTATCTGTACGGTGAGAGTCTCAAGACACTTGTGTGTGGCTAAAGGTCCCTGACATCAGCCCTCTGGGACGATGCAGTCCAAAGCCACCTGCCCAGTGCTGGAGCTGCACAGAGACCCAGCCCAGCCCGGCCCCCCTCTCAGCCCAAGTCCTTACCCCTGGGTCCGGGGATCCTCCCACTGGGTCGTGCGAGTGTTATGGTTCACGTAATACACCCGTCCATTGTCCTGTCTCTTCTCTGCCACATGAGAAGAAAGAAAGAACATCAGATTCAAACACGGAGAGCCGGTGTCCTTTCCCTGAGGTTCCCACCTCCTGGGTGCTGGGTCTGAGTTTATCTCCCTGTTGTCAGCCTGTTAGAGAAGAACCAGCCAAAGCCAAGCTCACTCACACTTGTCACTGGGAAAGGGACAAAGAGGGTCCTTCCTTGTTGGTGGTGGGGGGCGGGGGTGACATACTTCCAACTCGAGATGAAGCACTTCTTTGGTTGATTGGTCGGAGGGAGGGGGTGGTGTGGCCACCCAGAGGGAGCAGCACAGCTCAAACCAGAGGCATAATTGCTCCCAGCTGTGTGCAGCATGGAAGCCGGGCAGTCCCTAACCCGCCAGGCCCCCCACCCAAGTCCCTCACAGCTGATCCCTGGTCCTGGGACCCTCTGCACTGCATGCAGCTAACCTGGGCGCCTCTGTCCTACAGGGCGTGGTCCTTATGGAGTGGCTGCATTTCCCTCGCACCTCTCTGATCAGTGCTCTGCACCCTGCGCCCCTGTACCCTCCAAGTTCTCCCTCTTCTCCCACTTACAGGCTAAGTCTTGTTCTAAAACTCTCATACCCTGGCACGCCTCTTTCTTGCTTATAAGCAAATAAATGATATCTGGGGCTGAGGACACTTACACTGCCCAGCCTCTTCTTAGACTTGTATCTTTTTTTTCTTTTTTATATAAAGACAGGGTCTCGCTATGTTGTCCTGGCTGGTCTCGAACTCCTGGCCTCAAGTGATCCTCCCGCCTCAGCCTCCCAAAGTACTGGGATTACAGGCAATAAGCCACCGTGCCTGGCCTGCCTATCCTGTTCTTAGGCCTAAGTATGTGCTTTGAGACAGGGGAATGTTCATGGAGTGGGGCTGGGGAACAAATACACTTTTCCTCTGCTCTGAACAATCTCTGTTCTCTTGCCCTTTACTGATATACTGATAAGGGCTCTGGGGTCCCCAAGGGAGGAGTCTGTGCTCCAGGGGCAGACCCAACCCTAGCTGGTGATTCTGGACCTTGAGAGGGATTGAAAGGGATAACCTCTCAGCTCCAGGTAGACAGGAGAAAAAAAAAACAAAAAACTAGGGGGTAAAGCTCTTGGCTCAAAAGAGGTCACCTTTCCCAGGAAGTTCCTGAGCCTTCAAATCTGCTTCTCTCCTGAAAACAAATGATGCTAATGGCTCTCCTTTTACAAGACAGGGCAGCATTAAAGAAACAAAAATAATCAGTTCCAGAAGCTACAGGGAACCAGAAAGCTGAAAAAGGAGCAGAACAGGGAAGTGCAACAACCCCCTCCTGACTCCAAGACTCGAGCTGCAGTGCTCCCAACACCAGACCAAGGCCTCAGTCTCCCTCCCACTCTCTGCCTTACCTGGTATCTATGACTCGACTGAAATTTTACAAACAGACATTATTTGTCAATCATACCTCAGTAAAGCTGGAAAAACAAATAAATAAAATAAAAATAAAGACAGGCTGGGCACGGTGGATCACGCCTGTAATCCCAGCACTTTGGGAGGCTGAGGCAGGAGGATCGCTCGAGCCCAGGAGTTCGAGACCAGCCTGGGCAACACAGCGAGACTTCATCTCTATTTTGTAAATAAAAAATAAATAAAAGAAAGCCAAAGGAAAGAAAGAACAGGAGGTGCCCAGAGCTGTTACAGAGCTACCACCACCTCAGAACACACAGAAGGAAGGCTTCCCAAGAGGTTTCCAGGGGAGGGGCTGCTCCCAGCCCCGAAGCTACTGCTTTGAACTAGATCCTCCACGTCTGCCCTGTTAAGGGCCAAAGCCAAGGCTAACCACAGGGCCAGGGGGATCTGTCCAGCGGGCTTGAGGCCTGTGTCGTCATTTCTGGCACTGCTGCTGTGTGGAGGCCTCCCAAGGCCGGCTGGCTGCCTCGCGGCATTCAGTTTCAGTTGGGGGCTGGGAAAGACCCCAGGAACACCTGGCTCGACCTCATTTTAGGACAAAGGGACTCAGACATATTCAGCCACAGGCCCAGGGTCAGGGCTGCCGAGGGCAGATGTGGATCTGAACCCGAGGTGTCCTGAGTCCCACAGCAGTGTGTGGGGAAGATGCGGGGTCTCTCCTGGGGCAGCAGAGAGGGACACCAGCAGGCTGGGTTAGCAAGCTGCCGATCACTCTCACTTGGTCTGGCTGTTCTTCCTGTTCATTCTCGGTGAGCCCTGGGGAGCCGGCCCCAGCCACAGCCCTGGGGCAGCCAACACAGATCCCCAAGGATCTGAGATTCAGAAGGAGCCCTGGCCTTTAGCCAGAATGTTCTTCCTCTTAATTCTAGACTATGACAGTTTTGTGGGTTTTTTTCTGATCGTTCATTAACAGTATCGACTCTGACCACGGCTCCTCCATTTCTATCTCAAATATTTCCACACTTAGCATTCGAGAGCTGTTTTCAAGTCTCCATCAGCTGTGCTTACCTGGTGACCATCACTCAGCAGAACTGGCATGAAAACCCACTTGACTGGGCTACATCACCTGCCTCTACAGAGCCTGAAATACACTAGAAGTCCCCGGCTTCTATGCCACTGGCTACTAAACAGCAGTACAGATTCTTGTTTAATCTGACGCATTTTCCCCTGCCTACTGACGACGCAGGGTCTTCAGAGTTTTACTCTCTCGCATTGGAGTTGCTGCCAATCTCTGAGATACTAATGATCTTTCTTTGGTCCAGGGAGCCATGTGGGGCAGCTATCTGCGTAAGGGATCCCCAAGCTGAACATCAACAAATGTGTGGAAGCTTCACTAAATGATCTCTCCAATCAGAAGGACCAGAAGGCCCTTCTGGCACACTGGACTGCAGTGCTCATTGACTAAGTGGTACCCTGCAGGTATAACAGGGTTGACACAACCTCTTAAATAACTACCCGAGAGCAGAAGTGTCTGCATCGAGAAGATCCAGCTCCAAACCTGCATGTTTCCAGGCATCAGATGCCCATCCTATCACTGCCAACTTCCCAGGATGCACCTCTCCATCTTTGTTGTCGAGCGCACCCCCTCCCAGTTTCACACCATCTGTCAACACCACCAAACCAACGTTTACCGTCTTCTGCTGGCCTAACCAATAAATGAAACCCAACACATGCTGGTTCCCGCAAAAACTGCTTTCTTCTGCTCCCAGTGACTCTCACAAGATTAAATAAAACTCTGCCCCAGCTCTATCAAATGCGCTAAGTCTCATCATCTCTAATGACCCTTTTTGCATGGCTACTCTTTCCTAGAATAGCCATGAAGCCTATCATCTCTCCTAAGTCATGGATGTCCATCCCTTAACTCACTGTCAGCAAATCACATCAAGGACTTGGGATAGGTAAGAGGCGGCTACCAAGCGCGAGGAGAAATCTACACGGCGATAATAACTAGCAGCGATGCGTTTCCAGAGTCACCACCTGGCATTCAACTCTCGTATCTGCTTCCCTCTGGCCTCTTTCACAGCTATGTCAGAAATAAAAAGGTGGCTTCTATTAGTCAAAATTAGACCAAAGTCCTCCAACATCTCAGCTGCAAAGAAAGATTTGTTAGGGTGGATCATTCCAACCATACGGTCACAGATCTGAAACAAATCCATTTGGGAGTTAGGCAGTGTCAAAATATCTTAGTGGTAGCATGGACTCTTGAGTAGACACCTTGAAACTCAAGACCAAAAGCCAATAGCCCCCCAGCTGCTCAGGGACATCTTTTCTTAGGGTCACACTCCTTTAGCGATGGTGGGTGGATGCTACAGTGGTTCGGTGGAGCTTGGTTACTTTCCCAGCTGCCCAGCTCCATCACCTGTAATTGCTCTGGTGGGGCATGCCCAGAGAGTGTGCTGGAGAGGGGAGAGATGGAAAACAGAGGGACAGGAACAGGGAAGGAAGACACGCGGGAGGAGAGGACAGAGCACCGTGGCTGACGGAAGGCCAAGGGCCAGGAAGAGAACTCAGTACTTACCCCAGCCAGGAGGGAGGGGGCCCAGGGGATCATGGTCAGTCGAAGCACTCGAAGACTAAACACAAGAAACACAGCAGAACACAGAGGTTACAAAAAGCCACTGGTGAAAAAATCAATCAATCAATAAAAAATAAAAATGCCAATGACTGGCTTCCACATTTGAGCGCTTTGCAGGGAATGCAGTGGGACTTTAGGTGGCATCTGCTCCTCTCAAAAGTCTCTGTTTTTTGTTTTGATTTTTACAGAAAAACCAAAAAAGAACCCTGCGCACGGAGGGCCCAAGTGAGTTTTGGAAAAGGCAGAGCGACGGGGAGGAGGCGGTACGCGGGTGAAGGTGTGCCAGGGTGGCGGAGGCAGGGAGCAGCCCTGGCATGGTAGGAAGGCCCGGGAAGCAGGCTCGGCCCAGTGCCTCCGCTCAGCTCCGGCTCAAGGCGGCCAAGGCGACTGAAATCACCACCACCTCCAACTTTCTCCAAGAACCACACGCAGGAGGGGAAAAAATATCGCAGGCCTTTCCAATGAAATCATTCCCACAAGCCCTGCCCACGCCCAGAGCTTCCTGGCTGGGGCCCGGCCCTCCTCCCTCCACCTCGGCGTCCCCCCCAACCTCCCATCTGGGTGTGCAGCGTCCACCCAGACTGAGGGCACATTCATGCCCCAAGCCCTCACCTCCCCCAGGAATGTTTTCCTTCCCCTTTACAAAGCACCTTTATTCCTCCCCTGCCTGAACCTGAAGTTGCTCAGTGTTCTGTGTTTGTCTCGGGGTGGGGGTGGGGGGGGTGGGGGGTGTTGGGGCTGGGGGTGGGGCAGCAAGACAGAAGGGGAGACAGGGGAAAGAAGGGGGAACTGGCTCCAGGGCTTCAGGGTCACTGTTTACATTAGAATCCCCCCCACACCCCCTCCAGCCAAATTCTGCTTCGAGGTCCCTGGGGATGGACTGCAGTGGACCAGGCATTCTCATATCCTGCGGGGAAGGGGGGTGTTGTCAAAAAGTTCTGGTCGTTAAATAAAACAAGTATTGTTCCACTCTTTCTTCCTTTCTTTTTTTTCTTTCTGAAGCATTTTTATTTTACTTACTAAAATTTAATCGTTATAAGAGGGGATCAAGTTCTAAATGCGGACTTCAGGCTGCTGGGCTGGCCCCGTCTAGGGGTGCCGGAGCCACACATGGGCAGGAGGATGAATGGGGCTCAGTGTCGGCTTGAGAAAACATTGGTGGAACTCAACTGCCAGCAAGCCCCCTTCCACAGCCCTCCCTCCACCCCCAGCTGAAAGGACAGAGAAACTTTCTTTCCAAGGTGGCAACACAGGCCCCTCTTCCAAGCAAGTTCCAACAAAGATGTTTAAGTCTTGAAACCATAGGCTCTTGACAGGACGGAGCCCCCTTTCAGGGCAGGGCCTCCTGCCCACACAGAATGCAAGTGCACGGAGGTGGGGGAAGCTCACCTTGATTTAGGGCCCCTTATCATTGATCTCAAGCTGTGCCTAAAATTCTCCATCACAAATCACGTTGAATCATTACTGAAAAAAATCTCCCGAATTCCAAGTCATGGGGGCGTGTGTCTGTGTGTTGGGGGGTTGGGGGAGATAGGGTACAGCATCTCATAAAATCCAAGTTCCTCCAACTCTGTTTTGTAGTTAACACATTAAAAACATTCGGCAACAGAGGCAAAGGAACAAATGAGAAAACACACGTATTCTACATCATGGAGCCAGAGGCACTGGGTAAGTGCTGAGCTACAGCAGTGACCTTGCAAAAGGGAAGGACTATAGAAAAGGTTATTTTAAGACATTAAAAGAAGACGCATTTGGTGTAAAAGTGTTTGCTGCTTCAGGTCTTGTTTTGGAGTCAGTAGATCATCTGTAAAGCGTTCAGGGTTCTCCTGGGAAATCAGCTACCAGCTGGTACCAACCCAGCTTCCACAGGGGCATGGTCATCTTTTGCTTAATTCTACAAATCAACAGACCAAAAAGGTCTTTACTGACAGTCTCCCTGACTAGCACTGAACTAGGATCAGAAAATACTGATCAGCCCTTTTCTGAATCCTTGCCTTTTAAAAAAAATCTCAGCCTTCATGCAATGTTGGCTCTCTTTCGTTAAAGGGTTTTTAAAAAATTTCCTTGGTATCCTCTGTTTGTTATTCTATCAGAACGCACCCCCCCCACCCCCCCAACACACACACCTATAAGAAGCGAGGAGAAGAGGAGGCAGACAGGAAAGGGAGAGACACCAGAGACTGATAAACACAAACAACATTTATTAGGTTGGTGCAAAAGTAATTGTGGAGTCATGGCGGCCGGGTGCCGTGGCTCAGGCTGGTGATCCCAGCACTTTGGGAGTCTGAGGCGGATGGATCACTTGAGGTCAGGAGTTCGAGACCAGCCTGGCCAACATGGGGAAACCCTGTCTCTACTGAAAATACAAAAATTAGCCAGGCATAGTGGCAGGCACCTATAATCCCAGCTACTCAGTAGGCTGAGGCAGGATAATCGCTTAAACCCAGGAGGCAGAGGTTGCAGTGAGCCGAGATTGCGCCACTGCACTCTAACCTGGGCAACAGAGCGAGACTCCGTCTCAAAAAAAAAAAAGAGTCGTGGCAAAAACCACAATTACTTTTGCACCAACCTAATAAAATCAGAATCAATGGGAGCTGATCCTCACAACAATTTTACTTTTCATTGTTAAATAGAAGCACTTGACGATTTTGGATACTTCTTCCCTAAGGTACGCAGTACAACTTGAAAAATAAAGCCAGAAGGAAGGAACAAGAAGAAATGAAAAATAAAAACTATGCATCATGGCCAGAAAACCAAAAGCCAAAAACCCCACACCTCCAATGAGCCAACCGGCTGCCCCTCCTCTTCTACCACATTCCCCTAAAATGAGAGATGTCAAGGTGTTACGTGGAGCAGAAAAGGATGGAGATGGGGGAAAGCGGGACTCTGCAGCCAGAAGGGAGATCCTAGATGTTCTCTATCACTAGGAACAGAAAAGAACACTGTGGAATCCTCTTCCCGGGTAATGGTCCCTGGGTTGGGAGATCTGGGGTGCAGGCCATGAGCCAGAGAGCTCATGAGAGTTCAAGTCCCTTGGGAACTAAGCACAAAGTTCCAGTAATATTTTAAGATACAAACTCAGAAATAAAGAATGTCTAGCAAATACAGCTGAGGGTAAGAAAGGTCTGGGAAGGGCATAAAGGTTGCAGCGTGGAACGCAGGCATTTTTTTTTTTTTTTAAGGATGCACCAGACGGATGCAGAACAAAATCCAGGTGCTTGAGAATTCAATGCAAGGGGCTCATTGCAGAGTAAGAAACAAGTTGTCTGTTTCTCGATAATGCAATTTGGAGTCCACACCCTAAGAGCCACAAAATAATCTGTTTCTTTTACCTTTTTTTTTTTTTTTTTGAGATGGAGTCTCACTCTGTGTCTCTGGCTGGAGTGCAGTGGCATGATCTCAGCTCACCACAACCAACCTCTGCCTCCCGAGTTCAAGCGATTCTCCTGCCTCAGCCTCCCAAGTAGCTGGGACTAAAGGTGCCCGCCACCACGCCCAGCTAATTTTTGTATTTTTAGTAGAGACAGGGTTTCACCATGTTGGCCAGGATGGTCTTGAACTCCCGACCTCAAGTGATCCGCCTGCCTCAGCCTCCCAAAGTGCTGGGATTACAGGCGTGAGCCACCGCGCCCAGTCAAAATAATCTGTTTCAATACTGCAGAGAGAGATGCCCCAGAAATTGTCGGCCGTGTGATAGTCCCGTCACAACAGCACAATGTGCAA
This sequence comes from Homo sapiens, assembly GCF_000001405.40. Lineage (NCBI taxonomy): Eukaryota > Metazoa > Chordata > Mammalia > Primates > Hominidae > Homo > Homo sapiens. Next base: position 69,921,704 of record NC_000016.10, on the reverse strand, counting down.
GGCTGTGCCAGGCATCTTCAGTGGGTCCCAGCAGGAACACGACACAAGACGGCAAAAAGAAACTGCAACGGTGAAGCAAGCAAACGAAAAGATACACGATGATCACGGGCAACATTAGCACACTAGGAGTTGGGAAAGGGAAACATGGCAGAAAAACTAAGAACCAGAATTTAGAGGAACTGGAGAAGGTGTGTGTTGAGGCAGACAGCAGGAAGGAATTACAGGAGACTGCAATCTGGGATTCCCTTGATTTCCATTTTGAACTGTATTTCATGTTCTCTGCAGTGCAGCAAAGAAGAACAAGGTCTCAGTTGAAGCCCAGCAAGAGGAGGAGGGGAGGCCGCTAGCTAGTCTAGTATTGGGTCTTAAGTCTTCCGAGTCAAACTCTGGGCCTAAGCCAAACCCCAAAATAACTATATGAAAGCAACCCTTCTTACTTGTAACCAGGACATGGCACCATAGCAAACAAGAGGAGAAAACCAATGCCAGAGGGGGAGGAAAATCAACAGAGAGACATTGAAAGCAGACCAAAGAAAGATTCCTGCCACATTTTTCAATATGAGTTTTGTTTCATGGAGAAAAGGTAACTATCACCTCCATGCAGAACCCTCCCACATCCCCAGCGAGCCTGAGAAAACCATTTTAGAGTACTCAGAAAGAAGAATTTTTTAGTGTTTAATTTTTACTTCTAGGGAACCCTCCAAGTCAAAGTTCTACCTCTATAAACCCAGAATAATGTTGCTAAGAGAGGCAGGCAGGAAGGAAGACTCCAAAAAGACCAGGCAGATGTGAGCTCCAGAATCTGGGAATCTTCCCTTTCACACACCAACATCTTGGTCAACCCACAGAACCTAACTAGTGGGGCTTTTAAGGGAAAAAAAAATTGCTTTAATGCATTTTATTTTATTTATTTATTTATTGAGACAGGATCTTACTGTCATCCAGACTGGAGTGCAGTGGCACTATTATAGGTCACTGCAGCCTCAAACTCCTGGGCTCAAGTGATCCTCCCACCCGCCAGTCTTCCAAGTTGCTGGAATTACAGGTGTGCACCACAACATTCGGTTCCATTTTTTTTTTTTAATGAGAAATTTTGGATAATCAGGTAGACAAAAACCATGTGAAACTCCTAAAATACGTCCTTGTCTCTAAGTCAAAGGACAGATAGGTCAAAGAAGAAAGATGCCCCAGACCTTCCCAGTTTTGCAGCCACAACCACCCAAGAAAATGGCAGGCAAAATCTTTTGGGCCCAGCTCAAAAGGAGCAATCTCTGAAATGTGGTGAAAGACCAGATTCCATCCAATTCTGAAACATGCCAGAATTGGATGTCAGGCATGTGTGGCAGGCATGGGTGGGAAGCCTAGCCCAAGAAAGTGTGCAGAGCGCACTGGGCTAGACAGCGGGGCCCTGGCTGGAGAGGGGCATGATCGTCGACCCTGGAGCAACTTACTAAGACAAACACCACACTTTCTGCTCACCTCTGCTAAGGAAACTGAGGTCCTCCATGGTTTCCTCCCTGTACAATGAGCAATCCATCCCCACAGACAGAACTAACCAAGGGAGATGCTACAGTGACTTATGGCTGATGATTAAAAGTCGGGGGTCCATCAGCTGGGTGTGGTGACTCACACCTGTAATCCCAGCACTTTGGGAGGCCAAGGCAGGTGGATTGCTTGAGCCCAGGAGTTCAAGACCAGCCTGGGCAACATGGCAAAACCCCATCTCTACTAAAAATACAAAAAATTAGCCAGGTGTGACTGTGCATGCCTGTAGTCCCAGCTACTTGAGGGGGCTGAGGTGGGAGGATCACTTCAGCCCAGGAGGTCAAGGCTGCAATAAGCCATGATCATGCCACTGCACTCCACCCTGGGTGACACAGAATGAGACCTTGTCTCAAAAAAAAAAAAAAAAAAAAAGTCAGGGACCCAGCTCAAAACATTTCCAGCCTGCAATGCACCATCATATCCTGTGTTAGTTCTGCTGTAGATCCCAACCTTCGCATCTAAAGTGCTCTGAGAAAATATAATCAGCCAACTTGGGAGTCCCACGTCTCCCTACCAAAGAGGCTTTGCAGCTGGGCTTCCCCACCTCCAGCTCACTGTGGACCCTCTAATGGGATGGAGACTCCAGCAGGTGGAACTGGGAGGGTTCCCACAGGGACACGGTATAGGAGACTGTTTAGGCAGTTAGTTTGAAACCAGAGCACCCACAATTCTGGACGAGAAAATTTAAATGTGGGCCAGGCATGGTGGTTCACACCTGCAATCCCAGCACTTTGGGAGGCCAAGGTGGGCGGATTACCTGAGGTCAGGAGTTCGAGACCAGCCTGACTAACATGGTGAAACCCCGTCTCTACTAAAAATACAAAAAATTAGCCAGGCACGGTGGCGTGTGCCTGTAATCCCAGGTACTTGGGAGGGTGAGGCAGGAGAATTGCTTGAACCCGGGCAGTGGAGGTTACAGTGAGCTGAGATCATGCCATTGCACTCCAGCTTGGGCAACAAGAGCAAAACTCCATCTTAAAAAAAAGAAATAAGAAAAGAAAAGAAAATTTAAATGTGGTCGGGGATGGTGGCTCATGCTTGTAATCCCAGCACTTTGGGAGGCCGAGGAGGGCAGGTCACTTGAGGTCAGGAGTTCAAGACCAGCCTGGCCAACATGGCAAAACCCCATCTCTACTAAAAATACAAAAATTAGCCGGGTGTGGTGGTGGGCACCTGTAATCCCAGCTACTTGGGAGGCTGGGGCAGGAGAATTGCTTGAACCTAGGAGACAGAGGTTGCAGTGAGCCGAGATTGTGCCACTGCACTCCAGCATGGGCAACAGAGCAAGACTCCATCTCAAAAAAAAAAAAAAAAGAAAGAAAAGGAAAAAGAAAATTTAAATGTTACTCTTTAGGTAAAGACCACAAAAGGTTTTGAGCCAGTAAATGGATGCAATGACAGTAACGTTTGAAGACTGCTCTGAGGGGAACAGGCCAGATGGATTGGAAGAGAGAGAAGGCCAATGGAGAGAACAATTTAGAGGCTGCTCTAGCAATTCAGATGGGAAGGGGCAGAAGATGATCAAGCATCAGAAAGAAGGAGGCTCAGCTAGACCAAAGATAACAAACTTTTTCAGCAAAGGGTCAGACAGTAGGCTTAGGCTACTTTAGGATTTCTGAGCTGTACAGTCTTTATTGTGATACTTAACTCTACCATTGTACCACGAAAGCAGCCACCATTAATATGTAAACTGCTGGGTGTTCTTATGTTTCAATGAAACTTTATTAACAAAATGAAGTGGCAGGCCAGCTTGGCCCATGGACTATTATTTGCCAATCCCTGATCTAGATGAGCCCAAGGATCCTTCATCCCTGAGAATGTGTCAGATAATAAAGATCTAACAAAAAACAGTAGCAGGTTTTTGTTTTTGTTTTTGTTTTTTTTTAGAGACAGGGTCTCACTATGTTGCCTGGTGATTGCTTTCATCTGGAAAGGTGAGGGATGGGAGAAGTCAAAGCAAGTCAGGGTGCAAGTCAGGGAAAATGGACTTGAATGAAGGGGGCAGAAATGAAAGCCGATCTCGGAAGAAAGACGGGGAATTCAGTTTTAGACACGTTGATTCCTTAAACACAGAGGCTAGATATGGAGCTGCTGAGTGAGGCACACTGGAATTTGAGGAATTTCACTGTGATGAGTAAAATCTCCAGGGGCAGAGCACTGACGTTGCCAGACGCTGTTTTCCCTGCTCACTAAGCAGGTCAACAGAGAACACGTGGCTGCACATTCGCAAGCGCAGGGAGGCGGCCCCACCTCGGGCCAAGCGCCTGCCCTCTCACCTGGTAGAGGAATCTTTGGCTGAAGTGCTGCATGGCCCCCTGGAGCTGATTCCGCTGCGACTGCCACTGCTCATAGTTGCGCACGTACTCCGCGGTCGGACGCTGCCAGGTGGTGGTCCGAGTATTGTGATCCACATAGTAAAACCTGCCTCGGGGATCTGTGCGTTTTTCCCAGCTGGAAATAGGAACCTCAGAATGAATATAATGACCACCCCACTCCCATCCCCCAATTCTAGAAAAGTCTCAGGATGCCTAGCACAGCCGGGCAGGCCCTGTCACAGAGGTTGCTGGGGCTTAGCTGATTATAGCAGACATCTGTGGTTGCCTCTGCAGCACCCAATCCCTCCTTGCCATTAGCTCTCAATTTCTAATTTGGGGATCCATGTGGTTCTGGGGAAGCTGACTCTGTTCCCAACCTCAGAGTTGCATGGTTGCCTGGACCAGAAGTGCACATGTGATGTATGTTGAGCCAGCCACAGCCAATCTCAGGACATCTGCTAGCAAATCTAGGAAAAATAATAGTTGCTCATCCTTTCTGAATATGACTGAGGAAGCATGTGGTCCTGGGGGCCACTGGCTATTATTTTGGACCCGAAGACAATAGGAAGTTGACCCAGTGGATGGCAGAGCAGAAAAATGGGAGAAAAGCCAATTCCTTGGTGATATTGTTGAGTAGCCCAAGCTTCGCTTGGAATCAGGATTGATATCTAGAATTTTCAGTTACATGAGCCAATACATTCCCTTCCTTATTTAAGCCAATGTTGCTAACAACTTTTGTTACTTGCAACTGAAACTCACCTGATATAAGGTGCCAGTGTAAACATGTTGCATGGTCTTTGGTTTTGTTTTGTTTTGAGACAGAGTCTCACTGTTTATATTTTTAGTAGAGATGGAGTTTCGCCATGTTGCCCAGACTGGTCTCGAACTCCTGGACTCAAACGATCCTCCCACCTCGGCCTCCCAAAGTGCTGAGATTACAGGCGTGAGCCACTGCACCCGGCCTCAATGATTTTTTTTTAAACTCAAGGCCTCCCTAAAAATGGTTTCCCCTCAAGTGGTTCCTAGGACCCACAGTCAGTTCCCAGATTTTGTCTGGATTCTGCCTGCTAGAGTGCCTCACCTTCATGACCAGCTGTCACCCTTCATTCAATTGAATGCCACAGCTCTCTCCCCACACCCAGGCCTTTCTTCAGTCTCCTCATGTCAATTCTCCTCCCAGGGATGAAACCAGGCCAACATCATTCCCGCTGCTATCAATCATTCAGCCTGACTGCTGCTTTTTCAGTCTCCCTGCCACTGACTTTCCATTTTCCATTCCTATGTCCAGATCTGTATCACCTCACCCCTGGACTACTGCTCCTACCCCAGAATTAACCTCCCCACTCCATCCAGCCTACAAATAGCCATCAGAGTAACCCACTAGACTGAGCCCTTCGGTCACACTCCTGCTCAAAAACTTCAATTGACCAGCCTAAGCAACAGAGGGAGACCCCCATCTCTACAAAAATATTTTTTAAAAATTAGCTGGGGGTGGTGGAGTGTGCGCCCTTGGTCCCAGCTACTTGGGCAGCTGAGGTGGGAGGACTGCTTGTGCCTGGGAGATCAAGGCTACAGTGAACTATGATTATGCTGCTACATTCCAGCCTGGGCGACAGAGTGAGATCCTGTCTCAAACAACAACAACAACAACAACAACACTTCCATTGACTCCCCATTGCCCTTGAGTCAAAATCCTTTAGTAAGTACACAAGGCTCACAAAAATCTGGAACCTTCCTAGCTTTCTCATAATTTGTCTAAACTAGTGATTTTTATTTATTTTTGTTACCAAAGATTTTTTTTTTTTTTTGACAGGGTCTCACTCTGTTAGTCCAGGCTAGAGTAGAGTAGCAGGATCATGGCTCACTGCAGCCTCACCTCCCAGGCTCAAGTGATCCTCCCACCTTAGCCTCCTGAATAGCTAGGACCACAGGAATGCACCATCACATTCAACTAATTTTTTAAAAAAATTTTTGTAGACATGGAAGCCTCCCCGTGTGGCTCAGGCTAGTCTCAAACTCCTGGGCTCAAGCAATCCTCTCGCCTCAGCCTCCCAAAGTGCTAGGATTACAGGTGTGAGCCCCTGCACCCGGCCCGAAGTCATATGTATATAGTTTTGAAACATAAACAGGACTGCAGGGAATATAATGAAAAACGATGGTCTCTTGCCCCATTGCTGACTCCTGTTCCCCGAAGGCAACCACTTTCAACTCTCAATTGCTTCTACTAGTATATGTGTACATCTGTGTCTCTAAATAACATGTCTATTTCATTGCTTTTTGTCTTTTCTTTAATACAGAGACAGGATCTCACTATGTTGCCCAAACTGGATTTGAACTGCTGGGCTCAAACTATCCTCCAGCCTCAGCCTCCTGAGTAGCTGAGTAGTCTCAGGTGTGCACCACCAAGCCTGGCTCATTATTTCTTGATTTTTGCCATATTTGCTATCGCTTATGGACTTTCCACTACCAAAGATGAGGGATGAGGATATAGGTATTGCATTCCATCCCTCAACTATCTCCTCCCCTCGTCCTCTCAATATGGAAACTCACCGTTAAATCAATATTCAGGGTTTGGATGACAATGTAGAATACTATAAGTACATTTCCTTACTTGTAACAACTTTTTTCTTTTTTCTGGAGGTGAGAACTTCCTTGTCGTCTTCTGTGTGGTTTTCAAGAACCTATCACTGATGCATCCCCAGATTCTCAGACGGGACAGGTGGCCTGGCAGTGGCCTTCCTCTCTCGGCCACATCTCTCCCTCATCTGACGGGGACAGTTGTGTGTCCATCTCACACCCGCTCTGTGTCCTTGACCTGACTTGCCTTCCCTTCTCCTCCTCCTGGGAGATTCCATGGCCTCGGGGTTAAGTTCCCTGTGTCTTGCATCCCATTCATTCTTCTTTCTTGGCTTCCTGGTGGGATTTGGTGCGATAAATCATGGAGTAGCTTCCAAGACAGGATGTATCAAGGTTAATTTTTTGAAGCCCAGAATGTCTGAAGATGCCTTGACTTCTACTCTCATATTCAAATGTTAAAATAACTCAAAGTTGATTTCTAGACAGGAAATCATTTTCTTTTTTGTTTCTTTGAGACAGGGTCTTGCTCTGTTGCCCAGGCTGGAGTGCAGTGGCATGATCATGGCTCACTGCAGCCTCGACCTCCCAGCTCAAGTGATCCTCCCACCTCAGCCTCCCAAGTAGCTAGGACTACAGGCACGCACCACCATGCGGGGCCAATTTTTTGTTTTTCTAAGAGATAGTGTCTCACTGTGTTGCCCAGGCTGGTCTTGAACTCCTGGACTCAAACGATCCTCCTGCCTTGGCCCCCCAAAGTGCTGGGATTAGACGTTTGAGCCACTGTGCCCGGCAGGAAATCATTTTCCATCGGAATTGTGAAGGTCCTGCTCTACAGCTGAGAAGAAGGATGGCACTCTTGGTTCCTGATCCTTTCTAGGTACTCTGTTTTTTCCCTCTGGAAGTTTCTGAGGCTGTCTCTTGGCACTCAGAAATTCAATCAGATGAGCCTTGGGGTGAGTCTTTTTTTATCCTCTGGGCTAGGCGTGTGGTGAGCTGTTTGAATCTGGATACTTGAGTTCTGGCAATTTTCTTTTCTAATGATTTCCTATTGCCTGTTTCTCTGTTCTTTCCTGCTATTCCGCAAGTTCTTGCTAAAGAACTATTCTTCAGATATTGAATGTCTTGGTCACATCTTCTCATCTTCTTATCTCCAAATTTATCACTTTCTTTTTTTTTTTTTTTTTTTTTTTTTTTTTGAGACAGAGTCTCGCTCTGTCGCCCAGGCTGGAGTGCAATGGTGTGATCTCAGTTCACTGCAACCTCTGCCTCCCAGGTTCAAGCGATTCTCCTTCCTCAGCCTCGCGAGTAGCTGGGATTATAGGCAAGCACCACCACGCCTGGCTAATTTTTTATATTTTTAGTAGAGACGGGGGTTTCACCATGTTGGCCAGGCTGGTCTCGAACTTCTGATCTCAGGTGATCCACCTGCCTCGCCCTCCCAAAGTGCTGGGATTACATGCGTGAGCCACCATGCTCAGCCCAAATTTACCTTTCAACCATTCTACTGAATTTTTCATTTCTGTTGTCATATATATTAATTTCTAAAAGCTCCTGTTTTCTGCCTGGTCCATTTCATGGCCTCCTGTTCTTGTTGCACAGATGCCATTATTTTCTCCCAAATCTTTGAGGATATCAATTATAATCTGGTTTTCCTTTCCAAAGCTGTTTTTCAGCTTCCTATATTGTTTTCACCAAGTCTCTTTTTTCTGTCTGCTCATCTTTGGCTGTTTGTTCACATTTATTTTTATTTATTATTATAATTTTTTGAGACAGGGTCTTGCTCTGTCACCCAGGCTGGAGCGCAGTGGCACAATCACGGCTCACTGCAGCCTCAACCTTCCAGGCCCAACTGATTCTCCCACCTCAGCCTCCCAAGTAGCTGGGAACACAGGCATACACCACCACACTCAGCTAATTTAAAAAAAACTTTTTTTTGGCTGGGCGTGGTGGCTCACGCCTGTAATCCCACCACTTTGGGAGGCCGAGGTGGGTGGCTCACCTGATGTCAGGAGTTCGAGACCAGCCTGGCCAACATGGTGAAACCCCATCTCTACTTTAAAAAAAAAATTACAAGAATTAGCTGGGCGTGGTGGCATGTGCCTGTAACCCCAACTACTTAGGAGGCTGAGGCAGGAGAATCGCTTGAACCTGGGAGGTGGAGGTTGCAGTGAGCCGAGATTGCGCCACTGCACTCCAGCCTGGGCAACGAGAGCAAAAATTCTGTCTCAAAAAAAAAAAAAAAAAAAAAAAAAAAAAAAAAAAAAAAAAAAAAATATATATATATATATATATATATATATATATATATATATTTTTTTTTTTTTTTTTTTTTTTTTTTTTTTTTGTTTTGTAGAGACTGGTTCTCCATATGTTGCCCAGGCTAGTCTCGAACTCCTGGACTCAAGCGATCCTCCCACCTTGGCCTCTGGAAGTTCTACTTCCAGATCCTCCTGCCTTGGCCTCTGGAAGTTCTACTATTACAGGTGTGAGCCACCGTGCCCAGCTGTGTTCATTCGCATTTAACAGTGAGCCACTAAAACACTGACTGAGTTCTGTATCCTCAGATGAGGGCTGCAGACTGTAGAGTGACCAGGAAGAGTCTCAGCTATTTCACTAGAAGGTTCCCAAATATCACAATCTATGTTTCTTTCTCTTAGACTATCACTTTCCCCAGCAAAAACAAACAAACAAACAAACAAAACTACCCTCCAATTTTCAGCCTGGGGAATGGAGATAGCATCCGCATTTAATCTCTTGTTTCTGAGTTCATCCTGGCCTTCAGCTATAGTTTGTGTCCCCCGACCTGGTCCTCCTACTCTCTCTGCAGCTTCTCAATGTCAGAGGCAGTCATGAGGCTGTGTGTGTGTGTGTGTGTGTGTGTGTGTGTGTGTGTGTGTGAATCTAACTCCCTGCACAAACTTCCAACTCATCTTCCAACTGATCTAAAACCAATGAGGTTTTGTTTTGTTTTTTTTTGAGATGGAGTCTCGCTCTGTCGTCCAGGCTAGAGTGGTGCAGTGGTGCAATCTCAGCTCACTGTAACCTCCGCCGCTGGGGTTCAAACAATTCTCCTGCCTCAGCCTCCCAAGCAGCTGGGACTACAGGTGTGTGCCACCATGCCTGGCTAATTTTTTGTATTTTTAGTACAGATGGGGTTTCACCGTGTTAGCCAGGATGGTCTCAATCTCCTGACTTCATGATCCACCTGCCTCGGCCTCCCAAAGTGCTGGGATTACAGGCGTGAGCAACCGAGCCCAGCCAAGGTTTTAATCTCATTCCACACCCATCCTTGGTGCCTCTAATCGCTGAGGCTTTCCAGAGCCCCATGGTGCACATCAGCCGGCTTCCTGGTGGATTCCTCATCCTGCAGGTGTGGGTTTCATTCTCTCGGCTCTGCCATTTATCTATCAGAAACTAAACTTTGATTAACATCTCCCATATGCTGTTTCTCCTCTTCCATCCCTTTATTGTTGAAGGTTTATGCCTTTTTAATACTTTTATTACTATTTTAGTGGGTTTTCAGGAAGAATAGAAATAAACACATGTTCAAGCCACATGTTTAACTAAAAGTACTCTGCTGTGGTGAATTTCCACTTCTAAGAAGCACGATTGCACTCTTTATTTCAGTTGAAATCTTGCACAGAACAGTGACTGGAGGCCCAGTCAGCCCTTCCACCCTCTTTGGCTCTGGTGGGCATCTCCCCCAAACCTGAGAGCCCCACCGGGCACACTTGGACTTCTTTACTTCATACAACCCTTCCACTCCAGCATAACCACCCCATGCATCCTTCCCCAAACACATCCTTTCCCTTCCCATATGCAGGCAGCCACCTCCACTGTCCCCCCAACCTGGATCATCTTCTTGCAAGAGTTGGAGCCACTTCCCTCTGTGAGGCCTCCTCAATCCTCTTGTTTCACAGTGATCACTCTTTGCTTACCTGTGGTCTGAACACTGCTTAAGAGTGACTGATGAGCAAATGGATGCATTCACCCTGAGCTACTAGGTCCAATACTTATTGCTCCCGGATAGAAGGACCCATTCTCATACAAGTTTCCTGTGGGTTTCCTATGCAGGGACGGCCATGATTAAGTGAATCGGTGGTTCAATCTTGCTCCCCAGGGACTAGGTCTGTTGAGATCATGGCTCCATCTGTAGTTTCAAAATTGTTTTCACCATGGTTAATACTTCCCTGGAGGCAGGACTTCTGCCATTAATGAGAAATGAAAGCTTAAGCATTCATTCTGTTCTCTCTGGATCCCCTGTGATTACAGAGCAGAAATGAGAGCTAGAGGCTCAAAGTTCTTGACCTAAAACTCAGGAAGGACTAGTAAGCTATGCAGGGCGTACAGGTGAGCCATCTCCCAGGAAAACATGAAAACTACCCTGAAATAAGACAGCTTGATTAGTAGTGTCCCACCTCAACACCTAGAGGAGAGCAAGTCCCCAGCGATCCTTAGAAGGTACCACTGAATATCTTTACTTAAATTCCATGCAAATGCTCACTGGGTCAAGGCCTACGTCCCTCCTAGACAAGAGAGGTTAAGAAGAAGCCACAGTAGGCTGGGCGCAGTGGCTCACATCTGTAATCCCAGCACTTTGGGAGGCAAAGGCAGGCGAATCACAAGGTCAAGAGTTCAAGACCAGCCTGGCCAAAATGGTGAAACCCTGTCTCTACTAAAAATACAAAAAATTAGTTGGGCATAGTGGCGGGCGCCTGTAATCCCAGCTACTTAGGAGGCTGAGACAGGAGAATCGCTTGAACCCAGGAGGTGGAGGTTGCAGTGAGCTGGAGATTGCACCACTGCACTCCAGCCTGGGCAACAGAGCGAGACTCCGTCTAAAAAAAAAAAAGCCACAGTACACAGAGCTCCTGCTGTTTTAAAGTGCACATGTTATAAAGTACACAAAGTACAAGTGTGTAATACATACTGTTAAAGTCAATGTTTAATTTGTGACACAATTATAGAAAGTCAAATATTGACTGGGTATTTGATAATATAAACAAAATACTGTTAATGATATTAGAGTTTTATTTTGAATAAAAGAATATGTTTTAGAAATACATAGTGAAATATGGATAGATGATGTGACATTTGGGATTTGCTTCAAAATTACCTAGATCAGGGTGCGGCGGATAGGTTGGGGGTTACAGATCGGGAGTTAGCAAATTTTTTCTATAAAGCGCTACACAAAGTAATTATTTTAGGTTTTGCAAGCCATAGAGTCTGCTGCAATTACTCAACTCTGCCAATGAAGTACAAAAACAGCCAAAAACAATAAGTCAACAAATATGTGTGGCTGTGTTCCAATAAAACCTTATTTACAAAAACAGTCAGAGGGCCGGATTTTGTCCACAGGCCATCATAGTGTGCCGACTAGTTTGTACAGATGAAACAAAACCCGCCATGAGTTGATAATTTTTGAAGCTAAATGTTGAGTATGTGGGGGTTTGTAACATTATTCTCTCTATATCTATTTGAAATTTTCCATAATAATAAGAACATTTTCATAATTTTCATAACAAAACACTTAACCTGTTTTTTTGTTGTTTGTTTTTTTCTAATTTGAGAAGTCCATGTTTAACTTTGGTAACTTCATTTGACTTCAAGTCAAAGTGGAAAACACAGTGAGTACTGATGATGACAGGTTATGAGTTTCATCCTCCAGGAGGTACGGAAAAAAGGAAAACTCAAGCATTCTACTGGAAAACTGGAGCTAAAAGCAGCCCATCCATGGAGAATTATGGGACCAGAAGATGAGGTGGGATGTGTGTGGCACACGCCTGACAGCTGAACCAAACAGGGCACACGGGCTCTCCTAAGAGTCCCTACTTCCGACAGCCTTTCCCTCCACAAACTCAGGGCAGGGGAAGTGTGCATATTTTATACAGGAGCCCTTCATGGCTACTTTACTGGGAGGTGATTCTTTCTTGGAGCAGAATACATCCCCTTTTGAAAGCTCTCGGGACCAGGAGACACATGTGGAAAGAACTTTCTGTCCCTGGCAGACAGGGAACCAAACCCCTTCTCCTTGAACTTGGACAGTCTTCCCTCTCTTGGAAGCCTCTCTCATCCTTTGGTTTTGGATAACTTGGCGGCATTCTCACGAAGCCCTGCCGAATAAGAAGCACTCTGCCTTTAGGGACAGGCTGGGCATAGGGTACGGCGGAATGCATCAACACTCTAAATCTTGGCCTCCCATGCGCCTTTTGTTTCCCAGAGATCTTCTAATAATTCTAATATGTCCTAAGACATGGGAGCAATATTAAGGTAAGTGGATAGGAAAAGCAATCAAGTGACCCGGAATAAACGTCACTGTGCTATGCTACCTCCGCAGAAAGGGACCGTTTCAAGAAGCCATTGGGTGACTCATGGTGTCAGTTCCAGAGTCTCAGGTCTTCTCAGTTGATGACCTACCCTGGAGGAAGGGGCCGCTCCCAGGTGGTGGTCTTGGTATTGTGGTCAACATAATAGACACGTCCGTTGGGCAGCTCTCGCTGTTCCCATCTGAAAAATAAAGTCAAGGGTAGCATGAGACACACAGTGGAAAGGCATAGGCCCCTGTTAGAAAGGAAGACCTTCATCACTCATGTGGCTAATTTACAGGAAGCATCAAAGATGACATGCGAGGCCGACCCAATGGCGAAGCCAGTTCCTGCTGTGGCTGAGGGTGCCAGCCAGGAGTGCTTCTTGAAGAAACTATAATAGCTCCCCTGTATGGAATCAATGGACCAGGATCCACTATAGATCACTCTAAATTTCCCTAAATGACTGACAGGAATATATATTCCATGGATTTTTTAAAAAAATTCAGCATTTCTCCACCATTTCACAAAGGTCCCTTTAGGAACATGATGAAAGCTGAGGACCCTTTCCCTTCAAAATGCACTTAGGACAAAAATTTGTATTGCAATTTCTGGGTTTCATAGACCCCTCCACAAGATCATCTATAGGCCCTCCAGGCTTTTTCGTCTACCCAACCTGTTAAAGTCACAGATTCTTTACTATTATTTATTTTTTAATGAAACAGGGTCTCACTCTGTTGCCCAGGCTGAAGTGCAGTGACACAATCTCAGCTCACTGCAGCCTCCACCTCCCAGGCTCAAGCAATCCTCCCACCTCAACCTCCCGAGTAGCTGGGACTACAGGCACACATTACGATGCCCAGCTATTTTTGTTTTTTAATTTTTGGTAGAGACGGGTTTCACCATGTTGCCCAGGCTGGTCTGGAACCCCTGAGCTCAAGCGACCCACCCACCTTGGCCTGCCAAAGTGCTGGGATTACAGGAGTGAGCCACCGCACCCGGCTTAAAGTCACAGGTTCTATGACTACCCCTCTCCTCCGAGCATCATATATATTCATGCTCACATTTATTTTTGTAATATAAGATTCATTTACAGAGTATCTTAAACGAGATCTGGGTGAATACAGAAACACAACATATGGTTATTTTATACTGCTCTACCTATGAAGTCAAATCTGTTTGTAAGCTAATATAAGATCAAGGTGCTGAGGATGGCTTATGTGCACTACTGAAAGAATGCCAAGGTAGCAGGTGATTCAGAGATAATACACAAGCCCGATCAGTACAAAATACAGCCAAGGACCACTTATCCCCACACTCCTGTTATTTGCATGCAGTCTGACAATAACTCTACTTACCCAGAATATAGTAACCTATATATAAAGGATGCAAAAATGTATTTATATAATGCTTACCACTTTCTCAAGGATATTAATGGTGCTGTGGGCCTTTATGTTTTACACTGAATTTATTTACTTCTACTTTTGGGTACTGTCTAGGAGAAGTTGACCTTTTCTGGGAAGCTACTACAGTCAGTTCTGCGGTAATGCTTGCTTTGAAAATGCAAATTTGTTCCAATGCTATTGATATAGAAGCGGACGATGTGAGCATAATGGGAATTCTATTTGCTTATGCGTGATTTTGTCTGTGAGAAACACTAGATGAACACAGAAGACTTCCCCCAGCTAAACCTAGTTACACAAGAATGCACAAAACCCACAGGCATCTAGCAACCTCCTCAGTTTACAATGTATTAATAGGCTACACCGTCAACATCTGGAGTTACAACTCCCATCTGATTTCAGATAGCCCTCCATGCACCAGTTCACAGTAATACTCACAAGCTCCAACTTCTGACACCTGCTTCCACAAGCAAACTTCAGGTCTTCTCAAGAGAAAATGCCATATTTACTGTAGTGTTATCTATTTCGTAATCATTTAACATGTGTAAAACTGCTATCATTATTAGGTTCCTTTTTAATGTGTCATTGACAAATATTTTTAGTATTACATTCCTACTCACTTTTCCCCACAAGCCCTGTGGTTTTTATCCTTTTAACATATTTTTCTTTTTATTTTTTTAAAGACAGAGTCTTGCTCTGTTGCCCGAGCTGGAGTGTGGTGGTGTGATCATAGCTCACTACAGCCTCTGATTCTTGGGTTCAAGTGATACCCCTGCCTCAGCCTCCCAAGTAGCTAGGAAAACAAGTGCATGCCACGAGGCCCAGCTAATCTTTTTATTTCGTAGAGACAGGGTCTTGCTTTGCCCAGGCTGGTCTCGAACTCTTGGGCTCAAATAATCCTCCCACTTCAGCCTCTCAAAGTGCTGGTATCACAAACCAACGTGCCTACCCTCTATGGTTTTTAACTGCATAATTTTGCATCACGTGCTGACTTTTAGGAGCACATATGTTATAGCAGAGCTAACTGTATATGAAGAAAAAAGTCCTAACTTCTACTATTAAGCCTGATGTATCTACACTGATAGATATTACCTGTACTCACTGCCACTTCTTATTTAAACTGGGATGTCTGGTTAGTGGACTGCATTGATCAGCCCCTCAGAAGCTAGTCCAGAAACAGATACGTAAGGCCGGGTGCGGTGGCTGACACCTGTAATCCCAGCACTGTGGGAGGCCAAGGCGGGCAGATCACAAGGTCAGGAGATCAAGATCATCCTGGCTAACACAGTAAAACCCTGTCTCTACTAAAAATATAAAAAAATAGCTGGGCATGGTGGCAGGCACCTGTAGTCCCAGCTACTTGGGAGGCTGAGGGAGGAGAATGGCGTGAACCCGGAAGGCGGAGCTTGCAGTGAGCTAAGATCGCACCACTGCACTCCAGTCTGGGCGACAGAGCAAGACTCCGTCTCAAAAAAAAAAAAGAAAGAAAAGAAAAGGAAAGAAAAAGAAACAGATACATAAGGTTTTCAAGGTAAGAAAGAAGCAGAGGAGACACCATTACCCACTGAGAATCTACCACGAGCTACAGGCTAACACCATGTATG
This sequence comes from Homo sapiens, assembly GCF_000001405.40. NCBI lineage: Eukaryota > Metazoa > Chordata > Mammalia > Primates > Hominidae > Homo > Homo sapiens. The sequence continues at coordinate 69,905,955 of NC_000016.10, read as the reverse complement.
CAATCCTTGCCTTCATCCTTTAAGGTGGAATCACCATCACCACTGAGGAAACTGAGGCTCAGAGAAACTATGTAACTCTTCAATGGGATTCAAACTCAGCTCTGCCCCCCAAGCCCATGAGTTTCACCATGCTTTGCTGAAAGGAAGAATGGGCAGAAAAGGAAGATGAACTGAAATTTATAAGGACTCTACTACATGGCCATGTGCCAGGTGGCTTCCCAATCCTGATCTCAAAGTGAGCAGCCTTCCCTAGCACTGGCATTGAGGTAGGATCAAGATGACTAGGGAGGAATTATACAGGTTGAGTAGCCCCTTCTCTAGATGCTTGGGACCAGAAGTGTTTCAGATTTTGGATTTTTTGTTTTCAGATTTTGGAATATCTGCAGAATACATACCAGCTGAACATCCCTAATCTGAAAACCTGAAATCCTAAATTCTCCAGTATTTCCTTTAAGCATCATGTCGGAACTCAAAAAGTTCTGGATTTGGGGGCATTTCAGAACAGGAACACTCAACCTGTAATGGGTCCACAGACATTTCTAGGCTCCATTTTAATCACAATCTTCTGCTCAGATCTGATCTCCTGGAAGAAGGTACACATTTTGCACCACTAGGAGGGCTGGCCCCAAGAACAGTGAGATCTGGAGGTTCTACACACCCCCCAAAGCGGACAACTCTTGGTTGAGGACCAGAGTGCTACTGTTTAAAGACAAACATTAGACAAAATAAATTTAACCAAGTTTATTTAAGAATGATCCAGGAACTGGGCAGCACTCAGAACCAGGAGAGGCTCAGAGAGCGCTGCCAAGCAGTGTGAGCGGCAAGTCTTTAGAGGCTGAACACGGAAGCAAGGTAGAGAAATCATCTAAACAGCTACAGCTGGGCGTCTGCCTTATTTGGGCGTGGTCTGATCAGCTGCCTGCCTGTGACTGGCTGGAACCCAGCTATTTGTTACAAAAAACATATACTCCTAATTTGGGTTTTGGTTGGTTTACGTACTAAGTTAGGTTGTAGTTTGCTATGTAAGAACTGGAAGTATGGAGACAGCTTCAGGCTAACGGCCTCTTGCTTACTTATTTAACATGACAAACACCATTAAATAGCATGTAGGGATGTTTTCTCTCCCGGGCATTCTTGCTCAAGGCTCTGACTGATGAGACTCCTGGGGATTTGACCCAGATGCCCTGGTTCCTCCCACTGCAAAAGGGAGATCTTCATATTTCATTTAGTATTTTACCAAAAGGGCAGGATCTGGCAAAAGTGGCCAGATGAAAATGCACACTAGGGCCAGGTACAGTGGCTCATGCCTACAGTACCAGAACTTTGGGAGGCTAAGGCAGGAGGATCACTTGAAACCAGGAGTTTGAGGCCAGCTTGGGCAACATAGCAAGATCCCATCTCTATAAAAAAATTTTTTTAAATAGTCAGATGTGCTGGCACATACCTGTAATCGTACCTACTCAGGAGACTGAGGCAGGAGGATCACTTGAGCCCAGGAGTTGGAGGCTGCAGTGAGCCGTGATCACACCTCTGCACTCCAGCCTAGGCAATAGACCCCAACTCAAAAAAAAAAAAAAAGAAAATGCGCACTGGGTATAGTTAAAGATCTTCTCCCTCTGAATGCCCTTCTGATTTAAAAGCAAAGGGGTAACAATATTGCCAGCTCAAGAGGCTGGTGTTTCGTCTGTGGGGATTTGGCAGGGCCTTCTAGCACAGAAGACAGCCGACATACTGTAGCTTCACAGCAATTCTCCAAATACCTTCTGTCTGCTCGGTAACAGAGGAGCAAATCTGATACCCTCTTTATTCATCTGAATTTGGAAATGAAGAAAGTCCTGAGAAAGATATTTGGCTTAAGGATAAGTATTAAAAAATGAAAGCGCTGAGCGCCAATGGCAGCAAGCCTCTCTTTTATAACATCTGCTCCTAATGCAATTTAAGTAGCTGAGAACTCTCCAGCACTCCCGAAGAATTTAGCTGCATCCTTCCCTTCCTTGAAAACAGTTCTTTGGGTAGTTTTGTGGCACAAAAGCCCTAATACTAGTACGCTCATTTTTCAGTCACTATTTGGAAAACTCTAATATTTGGGTGGGCTGCCCCTTTTATAAAGACAAAATATCTGTTGTAGCAATTGGAGCTTAAAAACAAAACTTAAACACATTTTTCTTTCTTTCTTTTTTTTTTTTTTTGAGACAGATTCTTGCTCTGTCGCCAGGCTGGAGGGCAGTGGCGCAATCTCGGCTCACTGCAACCTCCACCTCCTGGGTTCAACCGATTCCCCTGCCTCAGCCTCCTGAGTAGCTGGGACTACAGGTATGCGCCACCACACCTGGCTAATTTTTTTGTATTTTAGTAGAGATGGGGTTTCACCATGTTGGCCAGGATGGTCTCGATCTTCTGACCTTGTGATCCACCCTCCTCGGCCTCCCAAAGTGCTGGGATTGCAGGTGTGAGCCACTGCGCCCGGCCATTTTTCTTTTATTCCAAAAATTCTTTCAACTTTCATCTTATCAGCAGTCTCCACTTTTGACATCTTTTATGTTCATTTGAGACAAGGAGAGAAACACTGATTTTATTACACTTTGGCTAACGTTTTAATATGAAGGTAGGCTAATGCTTCAAATTCCATGAAATAAATGTCTGTAATTGACACAGTGGTATTCCCACACACTGCCAGAAATGAAATCAGTGCTGAGTCCTCTTCCCTTATATTCAACAGTTTCAGCAGGTCTTCAGAGGACACAGGCCCAGATAAGGCCCACCCTTCCATCTTTGATCACGGCTGATGCTGGAAATGAAAGTCTCTCTTTCAGGGACTATTATTGTCCCGCAAAGCTCAATGTCCTTCTATGAACCCCCTCAACTGGCTTAGCGAGAAGAATAGTTGCCAGAGGAACAAGACCTTTCTTCCATCACCTTTTTTGATATCATTTTTTCCTTTTGCAGTTGGACCCCTGCTCAGATTAAATGTCCCTGCGGGTCCTCCCTGATCCATGACCTGGCCTGCCTCCCTTTCTCACAGAACCTCACTCCTCCCTCACCTGCATGGCTATTCATAATTCACACAAATCTCTCCCCTTCATTCAGGCAGCACAGTCGGTGGATTCTATCACCAACCAGACGAGCCTCCTGATTCCTGTTCCTCCTCAGTGGCCGCTGACTCACATAGATGGAGCCTCCGACTGTCTTGGTTTGGTCCCCCCCATGCCAAGAAAGTGACACTGGTATCAATTTTTCATCAGCGCATCCCTGTCAGAGGTTATATTTCTGTCACTTATAAGCAACTCCTTCACACTGAGATTAAAAGGCTTTTCAATCAAACTACCCACGGGTCTCAACACTGCATCTTGGTCACATGGGTCATCTCCTGTCCCCCTCGATAGCTTCCGTTGATGCTCTCAGGAACAGTGTTCAAAGCACCAAGCTTGTTTTCAGTCCCTACCCAACACATTGCTCCTTGGCCTTCAATGAGTAACATTTGGTTGGATCATGGACTACACGAGGTCTTTGTACTTCAAAGTACTTTAAAAGCAGTCTCCGTCTGACTGCAATTAATCTTAGGTACTTTTTCCTTTCCCTAAATTACCTTTGCACTGATGGATTGTAGCTGCCCTTGGTTCAGTTGTATATGAACCATGTTCCAACCCTACGTCCCAATCCACTCACAATTGCCATCTTCACAGGTTAAAGGCTAAACATCTCCATCTCATTATTAGAATGACATCAGCATCTCTCTCATGTTATCAGACAGGAAATCATCTGGTCTCCTGAACCATGTTTTCTTGTCAAAGGTTTCCCAAAGGTCTTCAGGAAATTAATGCTCAATTACCCGTTGTTACAGTGTGTGTTCAACCATTCTGATCACCATATTTCTTGGTCAGATTCACCTGTTTGAACCAAATCAACATTTCACCAAGAATAGGATTAAGCTAAAAGGGATTAAAGCTGGGCAAAGAGTTCGAGTGAATTTTAGATAAATTCTCTATTTATATATTTATTTATTTAGAGACGAAGTCTCGTTCTGTCACCCAGGCTGGAGTGCAGTGGTGCAATCTCAACTCACTGTAACCTCCATCTCCCGAGTTCAAGTGATGCTCCTGCCTCAGCCTCCCGAGTAGCTGGGATTACAGGGACTCGCCACCACGCCTGGCTAACAGCAATTCTTTTCAAGTGGCCCTTATAAATTGATACACCAAAATGGTCAAAATTTCAGTCTTGGTAAGAGCATTATCAGCTTGTATTATTCATTAATTTGCTTACTTTTCACTGACACAAGCACTGGGCATTATTAGTAAAGCTAACTCAATCAAAATCCACTCTCTCCATTAGAAAATAAGACCATGTGAAACCCCGTCTCTACTCAAAATACAAAAAAATTAGCTGGGCGTGGTGGTACATGCCTGTAGTCCCAGCTACTCGGGAGGCTGAAGCAGGAGAATGGCATGAACCCGGGAGGCAGAGCTTGCAATGAGCTGAGATCGCGCCACTGCACCCCAGACTGGGCGACAGAGCAAGACTCCATCTCAGAGAAAAGGAAATAAGACCACACCTGAACCCTTTCACATCCTAAAGAAAAGATGTCTTGCTGGTTACTTAGACAAAAATTAAACTTAAGAAGAATACACTGGAAGTACTCAAGTATTCTTAAAGCTGCCTCTTCAGAAGTTCAATGCCCCACAGGCAAAAGCTACATAAAATCACATTTTTGTATTCTATGCTCCTATAATAAATGTTTCTGAGCCAAGTCCTATTCTTCCTCCAAGCTTTGGCCACTTCCGGGGAGAACCATAAGATTTATTTCTTCTGTAGGGATGTTTTCAGGCTGTTTTATGAGTCAGCAATCTGTCTGCAGTGGAATATAATTCCTGTGCACTGTGTTTAGTGCTTCAGTAGGTCCTTTGTAAACTGGGTAGGAAATGTGTTAAACTCAGTCCTTCCCCGAAGGACCCTTCCTGAAATAAGGAACTAGCCTTTAAATCTAAGCACACTAACCTTTTAATAACTCAACAACCAGCACTTTATGCCTCCAAACACAGGATGGCATGGGAGCAGCTACCAAAGCTCCTGAATTAAGTCTTTCTTCTTATCTTTTTTATCTTTACCAAAGCTCCTCAATAGAGGTTGGCAACACTAGCCAGGCACGGTGACTCACGCCTGTAATTCCAGCACTTTGGGAGGCCAAGGCGGGCAGATCACCTGAGGTCAAGAGTTCGAGACCACCCTGGCCAACATGGTGAAACCCCGTCTCTACTAAAAATACAAAAAATTAGGCAGACATGGTGGCACGCACCTGTAGTCCCAGCTACTCAGGAGGCTGAGGCAGGAGAATCGCTTGAGTCCAGGAGGCGGAGGATGCAGTGATCTGAGATCGCACCACTGCACTCCAGCCTGGGTGACAGAGCAAGACTCTGTCTCAAAGAAAAAAAAAAAAGTTGGCAACATTAAAATATATGCATCTATAAAAAATTCTTTTAATTATCTTTTTTAAAAATAGAGACAGAGTCTCGCCATATTACCCAGGGTGGTTTTGAACTCCTGGGCTCAAGCAATCTTCCTGCTTCGGCCTCCCAAAAGTGCTGGGATTACAGGCGTGAGCCACTGCACCCAGCCTCTAAAAAATTCTTTTTAACATTTTTGCAGATAAAAGGTTGGCAGTATAGGGACAGTTACTATCAAGAACGATCAATGGGAGCAAAAATGGGTACACTCTTTCCAAAGGGCAATTTGGCCAAAAAACCTTTATTATGTGAATACCGTTTAATTATTTTTCTTGTGAATGGCCCTTAACTCAGCTACTTTACTTCTAGGACATATCCCAAAGAAATAATTAGGTGTCAAAAATTTAGCTATAAGTGCATCTGTTACGTCATATTACAGCAGTTACAGAAAAACTGGAAGCAACCTAAACACCCCCAAATGGAGAGTTAATCAAATAAATCATGTTATTCCTATAATGGGTATTCATTCCTTAAAAATAACATTGTAGATAAATATTGACTTGTTCAGGTATTTACAATATATTGGGTAGAAAAGGCAAGTTTAAAGTAATATGACTAAGACAATCAAAATTTTGTTTAGAAATTATATATTGTTTTTCATCAAATCTAAAATGCCATCGATTGTAAGATTATTAAACATAACACTAAGAAAAAAAACACTGCCAATTAAATTATGCCACCCCAGTGCCTATAAACCACAACTTGATTTTTTTTTTTTTTTTTTTTTTTTTGAGACGGAGTCTCACTCTGTCACCCAGGCTGGAGTGCAGTGGTACAATCTTGGCTCTGCAACCTCCGCCTCCCGGGTTCAAGCAATTCCCTGCCTCAGCCTCCCGAGTAGCTGAGATTACAGGCATGCACCAATACACCTGGCTAATTTTTGTATTTTTAGTAGAGACAGGGTTTCACCATCTTGGCTAGGCTGGTCTTGAACTCCTGACCTCAGGTGATCCACCTGCCTCGGCCTCGCGAAGTGCTGGGATTATAGGCATGAGCCATTGCACCCGGCCCACATCTTGATTTTTTAAACAAGTTAAAATGTGAAATAACATGCATATCAGAATAAATAAAATGTGGAATGTGTATAAAATTTGTGTTGTTGTTGTTGTTGCTGAGATGGGTATCTCACTATGCTGTCCAGGCTGGTCTTGAACTCCTGGGCTCAAGCAATCTGCCTGCCTAAGCCTCCCAAAGTGCTAAAGTTACAGGCAAGAACCACCAAGTGTGGCCTGTAACATTTTTATGTAACTTAGGAGTAGGGAAGAATTTTAGACAAAACACAAAAGACACATGAAAAAGATTACAGATTTGGCTATTTAAAATTATTAACTCTTGTACAATAAAAGGCACCATAAGCAAATTGAAAAGACAAGCCACAGACTGGGAGCAAATATTTGCAATGCGTATAATTGAGAAGCAATTTGTACCTAGCATTATTAAGAATCCTGCAGATTGGCTGGGTGTGGTGGCTCATGCCTGTAATCCCAGCACTTTGGGAGGCCGAGGCAGGTGGATCACCTGAGGTCAGGAGTTCAAGACCAGCCTGACCAACATGGTGAATTCCCGTCTCTACTAAATACAGAAAAAGTATCTGGGAGTGGTGGCACATGCCTGTAATCCCAGCTACTCCAGAGGCTGAGGCAAGAGAACTGCTTGAACCTGGGAGGCAGAGGTTGCAGTGAGCCAAGATTGCGCCATTGCACTCCAGCATGGGCAACAAGAGTGAAACTCCGTCTCAAAAACAAACAAAAACAACAACAAAAAAGAATCCTGCAGATTAAAAATAAATATATATAAAGACAAATAAAAAATGGACAAAAATAAATAGGCAATTTATAAAAGAAGAAACCAAAGAACCTAATAAAGACATGTAAAAAGAGGTTCAATCTCAATAGTAATCAGGGAACTTCAAACTGAATCCTCAAAGATGTACCATTCATGCCCATTAGACTGGCCCACATGAAACGAACCTGACAACACTAAGTTTTAGCAGGAATGCTTATGCATGCTCACAGGAGTATGAATTGGTTAGGTGACTCAGGCAATTTGATAATACCTACTGAAGTTGAAGATCTTCATTTCCTATAATGCAGAAATTCCAGTTGCTGTACAAATCTTTAAGAAATAACTGGCTGGGAGTGGTGGCTCACACCTGTAATCCCAGCACTTTGGGAGGCCGAGGTGGGCAGATCACCTGAGGTTGGGAATTTGAGACCACCCTGGCTAACATGGCGAAACCCTGTCTCTACTAAAAAAACAAAAACTAGCCAAGCATGGTGGTAGATGCCTGTAATCCCAGCTACTTGGGAGGCTGAGGCAGGAGAATCACTTGAACTCAGGAGGCGGAGGTTGCAGTGAGCCGAGATTGTGCCACTGCACACTCCAGCCTGGGCAACAGAGCAAGACTCTGTCTCAAAAAAAAAAAAAAAAGAAAGAAAGAAAAGAAAAAGAAAAAACCACATACACAAAAAGGCATGCACAGGAAAACTTTACTGCAGCCATTGTTTCATTGTGTTTTTTTTGTTTTGTTTTGTTTTGTTTTGTTGTTTTGAGATGGAGTCTCACTCTGTCGCCCAGGCTAGAGTGCAGTGGTACGATCTCGGCTCACTGTAACCTCCGCCTCCCTGGTTCAAACCATTCTTCTGCCTCAGCCTCCTGAGTAGCTGGGACTACAGGCATGCGCCACCACACCCGGCTAATTTTTGTATTTTTAGTAGAGATGGGGTTTCACCACATTGGCCAGGCTGGTCTCGAACTCCTGACCTTGTGATCCACCCAGCTCGGCCTCCCAAAGTGCTGGGATTACAGGCGTGAGCCACTGCGCCTGGCCTACTGCAGCCATTCTTTCTAGCTGTCAAGAAACAAGTAAATGGATAAATTTTTATCTGTTCATGTAACAGAACACCGTATAGCAGTTTAAATGCATGTCCCAAGTTCCATGTATCACTGTATACAGGGAATGAGATCAGAGAGTTCATGGAAGCTTCAGCTGTACTGGTAACATCTTATACATCAAGGGGTTAAAAAGAGGTGGTTAAAAAAAGACCTCCTCAGGTGCCGGGCACAGTGACTCACACCTGTAACCCCAGCACTTTGGGAAGTTTAGGGGAGCAGATTGCTTGAGCCCAGGAGTTCAAGACCAGCCTGAGCAACACGGCAAAACCCCATCTCTACAAAAAATATAAAAATTAGCCTGGCATGGTAGGATGTGCCTGTGGTCTCAGGTACTCGAGAGGCTGAAGCGAGAGGATCACCTGAGCCTGGGAGGTCAAGGCTGCAGTGAGCTGAGACCACGCCACTGCACTCCAGCCTGGGTGACACAGATTCTGTCTCAAAAACAAAACACACAAACAAAAAAAAAAAGACGGGGAGAGACCTGTAGCAAATGCAGCACAGAGCCAAAGATGATGAGCCACAGGTATTTTTTACATTCTTCTCCATTTGTATCTGCATGCTTACAATATTTTACAATAAAAACGAATGGATTTTAAAAGCATATACTGGAAGATTATCAACTTTTGGTAGATGTGTGTTATACGTGTATCTGTATATGTGGTGCCAGGCAAATTGCTTAAGTTCTCCTCACTTGCAAGATGAGGATAAAAGTAGCTCTCTCACAGAGGGAAGACTGCATGAAATCATCCAGGTAGGAAACTGGGCAGTCCCCAGCACCTTAGAAACACTTAGAATACATGGTAGCTGTAGTTAGTGTTTAAAAAAAAAAAAAAAATACACACAAGCTGCAGAAGAAATACCAATGGTCAGCTCTGGGGGGGTGTTTGTTAACTGTTGTTATTATGTACTGTTCTTCTCCCACCTCCTATTTTTTTCTAATTTTCCATCAATGGGCTTTTATAATAAGATCAGAAAAAAACTTTAAAAAATTTTAAGGGCCACTGAGAATGTGATATCATTTTCCCACTCATGTAACACATCACTCCCTCTCTTTGGAAGCCAAGTTGTATGCTGGGTACAGGGAACACAAAGACGGACACAATATTCTTTACTCTTGAGGAGCTCTCAAGAAATTGCAGTAAGGATGGGCACGGTGGTTCACACCTGTAACCCCAGCACTTTGGTAGGCCAAGATAGGAGGATCGCTTGAGCCTCCAAGAGTTCAAGACCAGCCTGGGTAACATAGCAAGACCTTGTCTCTACAAAAAGTACAAAAATTAGCTGAGCATGGTGGCGCATGGTAGTCCCAGCTACTTGGGAGGCTGAGGCAGGAGAACTGCTTGAGCTAAGGAAGTTGAGGCTGCAGTGAGCTATGATCACGCCACTATACTCCAGCCTGGGTGACAAAATGAGACCCTGTCTCCAAAAAAAGGAAAGAAAGTGCAGTAGAAATGAAAATGAATAATTATGCATGAATACATACACATAAGGTGAAAACATCTCATGGCCCAGCCTCCGACAACAGTAGAATCTTTGGAAATAAGAGTTTAAGTTCTGAGATGGTGATGAGGAAGCCAGAAACACACACTATTCCATGTGACCTAAGCATGTAACAATCCCTGCAGAGTCACAAACTAACCATACTAAGCAAAGAAACAAACTGGAGGAAAGACACAGACGCTCAGTGTAATCCTTTAATCTGATGCTACTCAAAGAATGGTCCACAGCCCAAACTGTTACTGTTCTGTGACCAGAAAAGTACTGAAGTTTCTAAGCACTTAGAAACTTTTTTTTCTTTTAACTGAGACAGGGTCTCACTCAGTCATCCAGGCTGAAGGGCAGTGACTTGAACACAGCTCACTACAGGCTCGACTTCCGGGACTTATGCGATCCTCCTGCCTCAGCCTCCAGAATAGCTAGGATCACAGGTGCACACAGCTGATGTTTTTGTTTGTATTTTTTGTAGAGACGAAGTCTTGCTATGTTGCCCAGGCTGGTCTCGAACTCCTGGACTCAACCAATCCTCCTGACTCGGCCTCCCAAAGTGCTAGATTACAGGCATGAGCCTGGCCCACTTTAGGAACTTTTGTACCGATCTGACATTGCTGTAATATCCACATGTGTGCTCAATAGATTCGTCTCATTGAACAGAGTATAGAATTAAAGGATTCACAATAGACAGACTATTTTAAAATAAATTAAAACAAAACAACAACCAAAAAGGACTGTTTTCTCACAAATAGTTTTGAGCAGCTCAGTGTTAAAACTCCTTGGGTAAGACTCTTTGGCTAGTGCTGAAGTTGAGTTTGGAATGAAATTCAATGGCAGCGCCTGGTTTATAACTTAGCAGAGAAGCTCCAAATTCCAACATCTCTTAGAGTGTCCCCACAAACAAACATCCAAGAACTCTTACAAGGCTGTCGTCCTTGATAGTGTCTTAAGGGCCATCTCAAGAGAGTGCCTCTGGATATCCATAATTGGGCAGGGGGGTAGAGGAGATGGCAAATCCGAAAGATCCAGAAAACATCCCTCCTCAATTAATTCCACTCGGAGGCAGGAAACAGACGGGGCAGCCAATGGCTGCGGGAGAAAAAGCATGGTGTGAAATGGCAGAGCTGAAGTAAGTCGGCAGTCCAAACACAACGCCCTCCGTTATGTAAGAAACCACAGTGGCGTGCTGGCTGCCAGGGCAAAATAATGTGCCTCTGTGTGTGTGGGACCGAGGGAGCTGCAAAGACTGTAAGGGACACACTTGGAGTTTATCTAAGCCATGTACACACAGTTGGCTCATTGATAATGAGCACTGGGTCCCCAAAGTGGGCTGAGCGCTGAGAAAAAACAGATACAGGGCCTGCAGACCAAAGCAGCCTCGCTTCCCATTGCCCACGGCCTGAACCACTATCTCACTAGCCCCTTCAAACCTTCCTGGCACCCCTTCTTTCACAGACATTTGCAACCTGAAAACTTCATACCCTTCCAGTTGGCTTCTTTCACGCTAGTTAATTTAAAAGCTATGGAAAGCAGGAGGGTTTACAGATGGGGACAGAGAAAAGGGATGGGGAGTGCTGTATTTGGACATCTTCAGCCCAGGTTTCAGCAGCCTTCAGTTCTTAAAACGTGCAGACGTGTGTAACCACATATGGCCAAAGTCTCATCTGCTGCATATTTCAAAAAGACAATGCAGCCAGGTGCGGTGGCTCATGCCTGGAATCCCAGCACTTTGGGAGGCCAAGGCGGGAAGATCGCTTGAGCCCAGGAGTTTGAGATCCGCATGGGCAACAGAGTGAGACCCTCATCTCTACCAAAAAAAAAAAAAAAAATAGCCTGGGTATAGTGGCATGCGCCTGTAGTCCCAGCTACTCGGGAGGCCGAGGCAGGAGTATTACTTGAGCCTTGGAATTTGAGGCTGCCATGAGCCATGATCTTGCCACTGCACTCCAGCCTGGGTGACAGAGCGAGACTCCATCTCAGTTAAAAAAAAAAAAAATGCAGCAACCTGAAAAATACAGCCATGAGATCCCCAAGAGAACCTTGCTCCTGTCACTCAGTGAGGGAGACTGGATGAGTTGAGAAGATAAAGTTAGAAAGACAGAGTCCCCTGGAGGGCCCAGAAAGCAATCAAGCTTAGCTCAAATGCCTCAGTGAAGAGGAGCCGTGCTGCACAGTATCTGCCAGTGCAGGAAGAGCGATCCTTTATGAACAGAGAAGAGCATTCTGAGGGCTGGGTGCAGTGGCTCACTCCTGTAATCCCAGCATTTTGGGAGGCCGAGGCAGGTGGATCACTTGAGGTCAGGCGTTCGAGCACAGCCTGGCCAACATGGTGAAACCCTGGCTCTACTAAAAAATACAAAAAATTAGCTGGGCGTGGTGGCGCAAGCCTGTACTCCCAGCTACTTGGGAGGCTGAGGCAGGAGAATTGTTTGAACCTGGGAGACGGAGCCTGGACCAGCAGAGTGACATTCCATCTCAAAAAAACAAAAACAAAAACAAAAACAAACAAACAAAAAAAACAGCATTCTGAACTATGAGAGATGCATATTTGAACCCAAAGCCAGTCAAGCCAGTGAATGACAGCATTAGGCTCAACTTTCTTGCCCTTGGGAAGAAAATGCAATATTGCTGTCATAGCTGTTCTTTCTTTGAGGCATCAAAGAGGCAAAAAACATTCATCTAGGTGAAGGAAAGAAAAAAAAAGATGGCATTTAAAAGCACTCATCCATTCATTGCAAACATGTCTTGGGAGCCTACTCTGTGCCAGGCTCCCGGCCACCTTGGTGTGCAGAGCCAAGAATAGCAGAGAGGCAGAAAACAAGCAATGACAGGTGTGAGAAGAGTGACAGAGGAAGGACACACTTCTTCTTGTCCACCAGGGATCCGGGAGGGAGTCCCAGAGGATTTACTGATTAAGTTGACACTTGAAGATGTATAGGAATTAATGGACAAGATGGCAAGGAAGGTTTCAGAAAGAGTGACCAGCATGGGGGAGGATCCTAAGTCCGGAGAGAGGGTGATGCATTTGTCAAATTAAAGTTAAGTTATCGTGGCTTAGGCAGAGATGTGGAGTGGATCCCACCGAAGGCTTGAAGGGTAGGTGGGGTCATATTACACAGGCCTTTTTAGGCCTTATTAAGGATTTGGGAATTTATCCCCAAAGACAATATGAAGCCACTGGAGCATTCTAAATGGTGAAAGGTCATGCTCAGAGTTTTATTTTTAAAAGTTAAAACAGGGCCGGGCGCAGTGGCTCATGCCTGTAATCCCAGCACTTTGGAAGGCCAAGGCAGGAGGATTGCTTGAGCCTAGGAGTTTGAGACCAGCCTTGGAAACATAGGGAGACCTTGTCTCTGTGAAAATAAACAAAATTAGCTGGGTGTGGTGGCAGGCACCTGTAGTCCCAGCTACTCAGGAGGCTGAGGTGGGAGGATCACTTGAGCCCGTGAGGCTGAGGCTGCAGTGAGCCAAGATTGCACAACTGCACTCCAGCTTGGGTGACAGAGTAAGACAATGTCTCAAAAAAAGAAAAGTTAAAATAGATTGGGAAAGGGTAAGAACAGTCACTCGAGTGACAGATCATGGTAATTTGGTCTGGAATATTGCAAAAGCATGTAGCCAAGTGGGCAGATTTGAGAGTTGTTTAAGAGAATCATTGTTTCAATGAGAACATATGGACACAGGGAGGGGAACACCACACACCGGGGCCTGTCAGGGGTGGGTGGGGGGCTAGGGGAGGGATAGCATTAGGAGAAATACCTAATGTAGATGACAGGTTGATGGGTACAGCAAACCACCATGGCACGTGTATACCTATGTAACGAAACTGCACATTCTGCAAATATATACCCCAGAACTTAAAGTATAATTAAAAGAAAAATCATAAAATAAAATTTTAAATTAAAAAAAAGAGAGAATCATTGTTTCATTTAACTATTTCCTGGAGTCCCACTATGTGCCAGGCTAGGTGCATATGTGCTAGGTGCTGGGCATTCAGAGGCAAATAAGAAAGACACAATCCCTGCCCGTATGGCACCTAGAGTATGGTGGAGGAGATGGTCACTTAATAAATCGTATGCAAATTACACCTGTGATAAATGCAAAGCAGGATCAGTATGGGAAGCTGAGACAGCACAGTCTGGAGGCCCAGAGGCAGGGCTTGATGACTGAACGGATGTCAGGGTCAGGGGAAAGATGTATGACTTGAAGGTCACCTGGGCAAATGGTGGCACCATTCCCAGGAGGGGGACCAGGTTCTAGCCCGGATGGGATGGGTAAGATGATAAGTTCTGTTGGGTTGAGATAGCTACATGGAACTGTCCAGGTAGTGAGTCAGGAGAGAACTGGGCTCAAGAGGCAGATATGGACTTAGCATCAGATCCCAGAGGCAGCCAAGGGAATGGCTGAGTCGAGCCAGGGGGAGAACTGAGTGACCAGGGCACGCATCATGAAACAGTCTGGTAGCAAGAACCATTTCTTGTTTAGCACTGCATCTGCCATACCCAGTACCTGACCTGCTGTCTCTTAAATAGTAACAGATATTCTGTCTAATGAAAGAATCAACAGTGTAAAACCTCGAATATAGAACTTGGGCACTAGTAGATACTCAATTCAGCTGCTGCATTTATATATCCTCATAAAAGATAAAGGCATTCTGCAAACTCAAGAAGATGCAGTTCCTAAGAGATAGCACTCCAATCCCTTTGCCACAACACACCCTTTGTTGGTATTGGAATTAGAAATGACAGATTTCCTTCTCTCATTGGTCCCCTGACTCTGGAACACCAGGGGTAAATTAATAACCCGCCTTGCCTGGATCTCCTAAACTTTTAAGTAAACTGGGGTGGGGCTGGCAGGCCTATGAACTGGAAGGATCGCTGGCAGAAATAGTACTCTCTCTGGCTTCCATCAGCCAACCAAAAGCCTGCCATGCTCCCTCTTAGACACTCAGCAGTGCTAGTCAGTCTCCAGGTAGGTGGCTGACGATCTCCAGGCCCCGAGTCAGCCCACAGAGCCCTCCTAGCCATCTTAGAGAAGAGCACGTGGAAGCCATCTGGGTTGGAAAATTGGGTCTCCGACACCCTTCTCTGGACCATCGTACATGTTCAAGTGGGGAGCAGCCTCCCCAGGCCCACATGTGGCCCTCATCACGTTCTAAATGCCCCAAGGAAAAGATGCTGTTTAGGCTCTACCTCAGAAACGTGTTTCAGCCTCTGGCAGGATGAGGGAGGGGAATCGGCTTCCCTGGGCTGCTCGATCTGCCAGACTTAGAATAAAGAGCGTTTTCAGAGCCTGGAGTTTTCCAGCTGCCTGGAAACAGGAAGTGCCCAATCCCCGAGAACAGTAACCCTCACACACGCCCTACATAAAGACATGTTGAGCCATTAGCCCTAATTGCCTGTGACTGACACAGGAGTGAGGCCGGCCTTCCAGGCATTCGCTCAGCGGAAAGAAAACAAACAGCTCACTGGGGACACAGGCGGCCATTTTCTCTCCTTTCTGCCAACATGATTCTGCATTGTTCCCCCCAAATTATAACATACAGGCTTGAAATTACAAACCAAACAAAGGTCTTTCGAGTATTCCTTACCACATACAAAAGAGAAATATCTCTATAGGGAGTAGCTGGACACAAAGCAATTGATTAGTGAGCTTTTCACTTTAACCTTCACTAAAATCAAAAACCTCACAAAAAAACATCCCAGAGCTGCCTCTCAATCCTGCCAATTCTCTCCAGGTTTGAGGTACAAAGGTATGTGGAACAGGACTTTCTGAACAGACGGGAGTTAGGTAGCGTGGCGCATGCTAGGAAAACAATACGTACGTAGTAAAGGTCACATGTGCCTTCCGATAAAAGATTTTTGTTTTGACAACTGGGTTTTTGAAAGTGGCTTAAGCCAGCCTGGGCAACATGGCAAAACCCTGTCTCTACAAAAAAAAAAAAAAAAAATTATCCAGGCATGGTGGTGCACGCCTGTAGTCCCAGCTACTTGGGAAGCTGAGGTGGAAGAATCGCTTGAGCCCAGGAAGTCAAGGCTGCAGTGAGCCAAGACTGTACTACTGCACTCCAGCCTGGGCAACAGAGTGAGACCCTGTCTCAAACAACAACAACAACAATGAAAGTGGCTTAATAATAGAATAAAGAGATGGGATAAGGGAGTGAAAAAAAGAATAATACAGCACCTTGTAGTCAAGTAAGAGGCCTTACACCCTTCTTTTTTCCTTTATGAATCACAACGGTTCACAGGATACACACCACCAAGTCATCGTCAACCAGATCACCAGCAACTAGAGTGACACAGATGTGGGTTTCCTCCACACCAAACTGATAACCAGGAGAGGCAGTGAAAACTGGCCCCAACCATGATCAGAGCTGCGAAGAAGGGACTTCACCTCCCGGTTCAGAAGCATGCCCTTCCTTTAGGGCCCCTTCACAACCACTCGGAAAATATCACTTACCAGGTGTAACACCCACCAATCAGTGAGGGCTTCATGTTCACCATCTTATTTGAGTCCCTTAACTTCCTGGGGAGATATGTATGATGATTATCTCCACCTTATCAAGAGGCTAAGTCATTCGGCCAAGGTCACATGGTGGGGGGATTCAAACCCAGAGCTGTCTGATTCACAGGTCCATGCTTATAATCTCCACTCACCATATAACCAAACTTGAACTTCCCTTTGGCTTACAGGGGCTGTCTTCTTATCATCCAAGGTCTTTGCTGTCAGATTTAATTTTTATTTTTGAGACAGGGGTCTCGCTTCATAGTCCAGGCTGGGGTACAGTGGTGTGATCATAGCTCACTGCTGCCTCTAACTCCTGGCTCAAGCAATCCTCCCACCTTGGCCTCCCCAGTAGCTACGACTACAGGCACAGGTCACTGTGCCCACATTTGTGTGTGTGTGTGTGTGTGTGTGTGTGTGTAGGCAGGATATCACTATATTGCCCAGGCTGGTCTCAAACTCCTGGCCTCAAGTGATCCTCCCACCCCAGCCTCCCAAAGCAATGGAATTGATTGGCACGTGAGCCACCACGCCATCTGACTGAACTAAAGGATGGCAAGAGGGCCGGGTGTGGTGGCTCCTGCCTGTAATCCCAGCACTTTGGGAGGCCGAGGCAGGTGGATGATGTGAGGTCAGGAGTTCGAGACCAGCCTGGCCAACAGGGCGAAACCATATCTCTACTAAAAATACAAAAAAATTAGCCAGTGTGGTGGTGTGCACCTGTAGCCCCAGCTACTTGGGAGGCTGAGGCAGGAGAATCACTTGAACCCAGGAGGCAGAGGTTGCAGTGAGCTGAGATCGTGCCATTGCACTCCAGCCTGGGTGACAGATTAAGACTCCATCTCTAAAAAAAAAAAAGGATGGCAAGAAAACTTGTAGTTTATGTTAACTTAAGTCCCGATTATGAGAATAACATACAGCAATATTCACAGCCTAAAACCCAACTCCTCCGTGGGCTGATACGATAAAATTCAAGAGAGAAAAGCTGTTTTCTAGGCAGGATCTAGGCGAACATCCTCCAATGATTCAGGAAAGCAAAATGAGCTCCTTGTTCCGTAAAAGCCACACTCTTTGAGTCAAGCTGTTCATTTCAAGTCACAGTACAAGGTAGCATTGATTCTGCCCCAGGCGACTGAGATTCTTTTTAAGATTTATGTAGAACAAGCAGTTCTTCCACACCTCCCTTGCTTCAATGCACAGCAGCCTCCCCAGAGGCTACTAGCCACTAGGTAATAAATAACCACGTTGTTTCCACCCCCGTAAAGGAGCCTCAGTCTTTGAGGAGGAGAGATCTGTTATGGGACAGAAGACTACTCACCCAGCAGGCAGAGCGTCGGGGGCCTGGGCAGCCGCTGGGAGCTGCTGTGTACCCGAAGTGCTGGGTTCCTCTCCTTCAGCCGGTGTGGCTGGGGCAGGGAGAGAAGTCGTGTTGGGATTCGGGGTCACACTCAAGGGTGCAGCAGGTGGGGACGTCACACCAACAACGGAAGGTTCTTCGGGATCAGTGGCTGTTGTGGGTTCATCATTCACTGAAGATGCACAAATCATACTTTAAAGATCAACTAAGAATGAGAATTTTATTTATACTTGCTAGGTTTTTCACTTAATAGGCTAACATGGTATCTACAATGTTACACTACATGTATTGGGCGACAGCAAAAAGTTTTACAAAACATGACTTTGAAAAGTACAGCAAGTCATTAATGCCTGTCCAAAGGAAATCAGGATGAATCCGAAATAAATATATTAACACTACCTTTTTTACATAACTTTATCAAGTTTTTCTAACATACTGTGGTTACATTTACATTTATTGCAACAAAAGAGTAGCAGGAAAGATCAACATAACAGGAATGTGTTGGGGCCAGGCGCAGTGGCTCACAACTGTAATCCCAGCACTTTGGGAGGCTGAGGCAGGCGGATCACTTGAGGTCAGGAGTTCGAGATCCACCTGGCCAACATGGCAAAACCCCGTCTCTGCTAAAAATACAAAATTTAGCTGGGCATGGTGGCGCACACCTATAATCCCAGCTAGTTGGGAGGCTGAGGCAGGAGAATCGCTTGAACCCGGGAGGCAGAGTTTGCAGTCAGCCAAGACTATGCCACTGCACTCCAGCCTTGCAAAAAATTTGCCTGACAGCAAAATTGTGTCTCAAAAAAAAAAAGTGTTGGGGCTAAATGCAGCAAGGCCAAGTTTATAGGGTCACATCCTTTTCTTTAAATTTGTCATTTGTTTGCTAGACATGACTAGCACCTTCTTTCAAAAAGCTCATACACACTAAAGAGGCAGAAAACTTCCAGTAATGTGCTCATTCTTGTAAAGGCTCATGCTCAAAGTAGGAAGCAAGAAGGGCTCATAGCTAAGGGTCTTCTCTCTGAGATAATAGACAATGAGACAGAAGTGAAACACACTAGTCCCCAAGTCTCCCTATTTCACCATCTCTTCACCTCTTTGATGATCACTTACGTTCACAAGGACCCCAAGGTGCATTGCAATATCCTCTAACTCAAAAAAGGATCAAATAAGGTTTCAAAGAACTGTGGTTTTTTGGAAGTGATAAGCTATATGCAGAGAATTTTCCATATATATGATTGCATATGTGTACATGTATACTAGAAATTCATAGGAAAACACCTTAGTCATCATTTAGCCTCATCTTCCTAATGCAGAAATTCTTTTTGTTGTATCCCTAACAAGTGGCTATCCAGATTCTTCGTGAACGTTTCTTACAGGGAGCTCACTATAGAATCATCCCATCATTGAACAGATGTACTTGCCAGAAAGTTGGTGAGGGGTTGTTTTGTTTTGAGACACAGTCTCGCTCCGTCACCCAAGCTGGAGTGGAATGGCGCCATCTTGGCTCAATGCAACCTCTGCCTCCCAGGTTTAAGCAATTCTCATGCCTCAGTCTCCCAAGTAGCTAGGATTACAGGTGTGCGCCACCACACCCAGCTAATTTTTGTATTTTTAATAGAGACGGGGTTTCACCATGTTGGCCAGGTTGGTCTCGAACTCCTGGCCTCAAGTGATATGCCCACTGCAGCCTCCCAAAGTGCTGGGATTACAGGCATGAGCCAGGGCACCTGGCCCAGAAAGTTGTTTGGTTTTTTTTTTTCTTCATGTGAGGCTGATTCTATTACCTGGTCTGAGTCTCCCCATCTCTATCTCCAAAGCAATTCAAAGTATCTAGGCCGGATACCTAGATACTTTGCCTCTAATTCCAGCACTTTGGGAGCCTGAAGCAGGAGGATTGCTTGAGCCCAGGAATTCCAGACCTGGGCAACCTAGCGAGGACTCATCTCTACAAATAATTTAAAAGAGTAGTTGGGCATGGTGGTGCCCACCTGTGGTCCCAGCTACTCAGGAGACTGAGGGAGAATCACTGGAGCTGAGGAGGTGGAGGCTGAAGTGAGCCATGATTGCACCACTGCAACCCAGCCTAGGTGACAGGGTGAGACCCATCAATCAATCAACCAACCAATCAATGGCTACTGTTTCATGTTAGTATTCCCTCTTCTAGTAAAGAGGCCTACCATTTCTTCAGTGTTTCTAGGCAACCCCCCTTTCCCGATCATCTGGCTGCCCTCTTCGAGATATCATCTACTGCCTCTTCTAGCTAATCATATCAGGAACTAAACATAATAAATCAGATACCATGAGGCCAGCAGAGTCAGATTACCAACTTAAATACCAGGTAACATTTCCAGAACACCAGCATGTGCAGGAAAGGTGCAAAGCACTTTAGATTATCTCATTTAGGCCTCACACGCAACCCCACAAGTTAGTTACAATTGATATCCCCACTTAACACTTAAGGAAACTATAGCTCAAAGAGGCTACAACACCTCTCAAGGTCATATAGCACCTAATTCACACCCTGGTGTCTGCCTCCAGAGCCTAAACCACTTGTCACTATGCTCCACTTCTCCCTCTCTGCACATCCTCTAATTCAACCGAAGATTATAATAACTCTTAGCAACCATGTAAAAATTGGCACACATGGAACTGGTGGTCAGCTGAAAGTCAAATTTCTTCATATGATGTGATGGATACCAAGCTAGATCTTAACAAACAGGTAAGAGCCTGATGCTAGAAATTGGCTATGATTTATTTGCTTGTTTTCTCTGAAGTATATAAAATATTGCCTGGTACACAGGCTAAATTAGTTGTTTAATAAATGACTAAATCTTGTGCAATTAATGTTTCCCTAACAGAAATGCAAGGCTTGATATTTATATTCCTATTCTATCTCAGGCAAGCCAGTAAAACACAACAGATGGCAATTCACTTTATGCACAGCTATACATTTTACTCAATTTTAAAAAAAACACTATGACTTTTTTCAGAGCTAGATGAATTTATTCTAAAATTTATTAGGAAAACTAAATACACAAGAATAGCCATGAACATTCTAAAGAAGAAGAATGTGTGTGTGTGTGTGTGTGTGTGTGTGTGTGTGTGTGTAGGAGGAGTTTGTAAAAGAGTGGTGTGTGTGTGTAGGGGGAGTTTCTAAAGTATTAAAACATACTACAAAGCTACAGCAATTAAAACAATGTGGTACTGATGTATGAATAGGCAAGTGTCAATTAATAAGAAAGTTCAGAAATAGGCTTAAATAATTAAATAATTCACTGAAGCCTGCAAAATAGTAATATTCTAATTCTACCACACCTTCTTCATTTATTAGCTACAATACTTCTGTAAAGAGAAACCTCCCCATATCAACTATTTGGCTTCCTGGAGGTTCAGTTTGTAAAGAAAAGGCAGGAGAAATGCTTGCTTCTTTCCCTTTGTTTACCAGTCTTCAGAATGAGTTGATTTCCTTGCATCCTCTAAAAATGAACAATGAGGTTTCATTTTGTTTAAGAATCTTTATGAGGCACTGGATTCAAATATGTTTTAAAATATTTCAATCCATTGTTTTTTGTTTTTTGTTTTTAAGATAGGGTCTTGCTCTGTCACCCAGGCTGGAGTGCAGTGGCACAATTATGGCTCACTGCAGCCTTGACCTCCCAGGCTCAAGCAATCCCCTTGCCTCAGCCTCTCAAGCAGCTGGGACTACAGGCTCATGCTACCATGCCTGGCTAATTTTTAGTTTTATTTTTTGTAGAGATAGGGTCTCACTATTTTGCCCAGGCTGGTCTCAAACTCCTGAGCTCAAGCGATCCTCCCACCTCAGCCTCCCAAAGTGCTGGGATCACAGGCATGAGCCACTGCACCCAGCCTAATATTCTTTTTGATCCTAAAATTGTCCCCATCCTTGGCTGGAGTTAGTGGGGAAAGGGGAGGTGAACGAAGCTCTTCAAGTTAGCTTCAAATACTATGGGAACATTCTAAGATAACTACTAAACGAAAAAGTGCAGAACAATGTATAATTGTGCTATCATTTGTGAGTTTGTGTGCATACACATGTGTGTGTTTTTTCAAGGAATATATATACATACGCTTGTATATTCCAAGAATATCTTTGAAAGAACCGCAAGAAACACAACAGTGGGCCTTGGAGGAGGAAACTGAAGGTGAGCAGAATAGGAAAAAGACATTCTTTATACTGTCTAAGCTTTTATTTTTTTAAAGTTTTAGTAACATATAACTATTAAAAATAATTATTACGAAATAGCTGACCACGAAAAGAACAAAAGCAGAGCCCCCATGGCATGCCAGGGCAGAAGACCCTCCAATCAACACTACTCGGATCTGACTGTTTATGCAGCTGCAAATCTAGTTAGGAAGGTTCCCTCCAGGGCTGTACATGTCCACAGGCCTAACCAAGAGCCTCTGAGTCAACCTGGTTCACCCATAGTAGCTCTTCTGTTTAACAGTTTTTGCAGGGTGGGGTGCGGGGAGGGAGAGCATCAGAAAGAATGGCTAACCGATGCTGGGCTTAATACCTAGGTGATGGGTTGATCTGTGCAGTAAACCACCATGGCGCATGTTTAACCGATGTAACAAACCTGCACATCCTGTACACGTACCCCGGAACTTAAAGTTGAAAAAAAGAAAGTTTGTGCTATACCTTGAGTTCAGATTTGGAAACAGAAAAATATGAAGGCTAGATATCCTAGCATGGACAAGCCTTCTGTGCCCACGAATACTCACGAGTACCCTTCTTCTGCCCTCAAAAAGTAGGAGTAAATGAGTGTGTGTGTGTGTGTGTGTGTGTGTGCGCACATTCTTAGAACATGAAAGCTTGAAAGAACCTCAGGAGTCAATCCACCCCATCACAACTCATAGTCAGCAGAAATTAAGTTCTAACAATACATTACTGGCCCACGGTCACCCTGGTCAACCAGGGACAGGGCACCATACTCAAGTCTAATGAGGCTTCAAATAGAAAAACTGGATTGTCGAAGACAAGGAGTTACAAGTCCATCATGCCTTACAGAATTGCTGTATTAATTTTTTTTTTTTTTTGAGATGGAGTCTCACCCTGCCACCCAAACTGGAGTGCAGTGACATGATCTTGGCTCACTGCAACCTCCACCTCCTGGGTTCAAGCGATCCTCCTGCCTCAGCCTCCCAAGTAGCTGGGATTACAAGCGAGTGCCACCACGCCTGGCTAATTTTTGTATTTTTAGTAGAAATGGGGTTTTACTATGTTGGCCAGGCTGGTCTGGAACTCCTGACCTCAAGTGATCTGCCTGCCTCAGCCTCCCAAAGTTCTGGGAGTACAGGCATGAGCCACCGCACCCGGTCTGCTGTATTAACTTTTAACTGTATTCAATATAGCCAATGTTCTCTAACTTTTAATCCTAATTATTTGATGTACACCCATATCTCCCCAAAAGGACTGCACCCATCTTGAGAGCGAGGGCAGATTTGTTTCCCGCATTTTTCACTACTTCCACTCTCTGTCCCTTGTGTTCTTGCTGCATCTCTTTGCCCACATCGGCCTTCTTCCCTGGACGCCCTCCCGACCCCTGCGGCCCAGGGAAAGCACTCCACACTGTGAAGCCCACAGCACCCATGGTCTCAGCTACACAGTCGCACAGCCCCTGTGACATGCTGTTTTGACTTTGCTGATGTGTGGTTTCAACTTCTTTTCTGGAACAAGATCATAGGGCAGAGGCCTTATCTTATATGCTTTACATTGTCCGTAATGCTTAACATTTGATAAATATTTGTTCAAGAAATACTTATTCAATAAGCCCAATAATCTAGCAAAAGAAAGATATTTGATTGAATAGGTGAGTTTCAAAGGGAAAAGAAAAGAAATAAAAAAAATTAAAAACTAAAAAATAAAAGAAAGATATTTGAAATAAAACCACCTGACATTTGTATAACAATATCATTTACAAAACAGGTTCTTTAGGCTGGGCGCAGTGGTTCACACCTATAATCCCAGCACTTTGGGAGGCCGAGGCAAGTGAATCACCTGAGGTCAGGAGTTCAAGACCAGTGTGGTCAACATGGTGAAACCCCGTCTCTACTAAAAATACAAAACTTAGGCTGGGCGCGGTGGCTCATGCCTGTAATCCCAGTACTTTCGGAGGCCAAAGCAGGTGGATCATTTGAAGCCAGGAGTTCGAGACCAGCTTGGTCAACATGGCAAAACCCCATCTATACAAAAATTAGGCCGGGCGTAGTGGCTCACCCCTATAATCCCAGCACTTTGGGAGGCCAAGGCAGGTGGATCACTGGAGGTCAGGAGTTCAAGACCAGCCTGGCCAACATGGCAAAACTCTGTCTCTACTAAAAATAGAAAAAAATAGCTGGGTGTGGTGGCGTGTGCCTGTAGTCCCAGCTACTCGGGAGGCTAAGGCAGGAGAATCGCTTGAGCCCAGGAAGGGGAGGCTGCAGTGAGCTGAGAGCATGCCATTGCACTCCAGCCTGGGTGACAGAGTGAGGCTCTATCTAAAAAATAAAAAATTTAAAAAATTTAAAACCACAGGTTCTTTTTGTTTTATTTTGGAATAATTTTGGATATTACTTTCAGAAAATCTGAAAAGATAGTATGGTCTTCACCCAGTTTCCCTTAATAATACTATCTTATATAATCATGGCACATTTGCCAATGC
Source organism: Homo sapiens (assembly GCF_000001405.40). Lineage (NCBI taxonomy): Eukaryota > Metazoa > Chordata > Mammalia > Primates > Hominidae > Homo > Homo sapiens. The sequence continues at coordinate 69,881,548 of NC_000016.10, read as the reverse complement.
TAAAATAATAATTAGTATACTACTATTAACTAAACTCCAGACTTTATTTGGATTTCACCAACTTTTGCACTAATGTTTTATTTCTGTTCCAAGATCCAACCCAGGATCCTGCATTGCCTTTAGCAAGTTTACTTTTATTAGCTCATTGATCCTCCCAATGCCCTTATGAGGAAGATATTATTATTCCCATTTCACTGCAGACAAAACTGAGGCTCACAGAGGGACCACTCAGAGAGGTGTTGTGCAGTCAGCAAGTAGCAGAACCAGTACTCAAACCAGAACACCACGAAGTAAAAACAGTGGGCGTGGGGAGCGAAGACAGCTTTGATGTTTCCCAAATGGGAGGAAAAGTAGGGTATCAAGGACCGGGAAAGTGGGGTACCAAGGAGGGAAAGTGGGGTACCAAATGGTAAGCAGTAAGATGGCAGTTGCATGGCCTCTGCTTTCTATAACCTTGGGTATTTCACAAGGTTCCCTCTGTGATGTTGGTGAAACATTCTAACTTTATGAATCACATATTCATTCAGGACTGGGACACACTCTAGTCACAGTTAGCCAAAAAAAAGATCAGGAATTGGAAATTCTTTTGCTTAATCCTAGAGACACTGCCAGTCCACTGTGTGTTCCAAGATGCTTAGGTGCGTGTGGTGTATCACAGACTCGTGGTGGACACTCAGGACTTCTCGGCCCTGCACTCAGGCACGTAGAAAGCCAGCACCAATAACAACAGAAGTTCTTTCTACTGAAGATCAGCTCGTAACATGTGGGCCACAGTAAAGCAGTTGGTGTCTTTCACCCGTGAAACACAAGCAACTGCACTGCCAAGGCAGCTGATCAGTCGGCTCTTCACGACAGCAACCAAAACTGGACAAAGATTTCGTAATTAGCACGGCATGGGATGAGTGAAGCTCATATAAAGAAAAACAGTTATATTACGTGAGGAAAAAAGGAGCAAAACTTAAAAATGGACGAAGCCATACTGTGTTACCTGATTGATGGGAAGGTAAAATCCTTCCCCGGTGTATATACAGATGAACACAGTTCCTACTTACATCCTACTGTGCTTCAAAGAATTCAAAGTCTGAAATTTGTTTTGAAAATGTATGAACGATCAAAGAATATCATGGAGGAAAAAAAGGCAAAACTAGCTCTTCCAGACATTAAAGAAAATACGATAACACATCAGTAATAAAAATCATATGGGACTTACTCAAAACAAGAAACAAATTCTCACTGTATGTAAGAATGTTAAAAGTGATCAACACTAAAAAAAAAATCACAGTAAAAAATGACACTGTTTACTTAATGTCTTTGTGACAATAGGATCCCAGCATAGAAAATAATTTAGACCCAGTCCTCATTTTATATACATGTCTATATAATATATATTATGTATAAATACATATTTATAGTTATATATTATAGTGACACATATAACACTATAAATTCTAATGGGATATTTATTTTGATAACGTAACATCATGAAGAAAGCAAGCGAAAACAGAAAAAAGTATTTATCTCTGCAGAACCAATGTGGCCATAAAGAAAAAAAAAAGTATCTCATTTTATAGATAAGAACTTTTACATTATTGACGCAAAAACCGAAATTATACACATTTTTTAAATGCACAGGCCTAATTATTTTTAAAATTCTTAAATCCTTTTCTGCAATACTCACAGAAGTAAGATAAAATGCAAAACAGTGATATGGGAAAACTTATAAATGTAACAGATAAAATTTGCAGCTACACACGTCATGCCCATTAGCATGGGCATGACATGTTAAATACAAAATCACCATAGTAATTCCACTCCTAGGTATACAACCAAAAGAACTGAAATCTTGGGCTCAGATACTTGTACAGCCAAGTTCTCACCCGCATTATTCCAACAGCCAAAAGGTGGAGACAACCCAAATGTCCATCTACAGATGAATGGAGAAACAAAATGTGGTATGTATATACAACGGAATATTATTCAGCCTTAAAAAGGAAGGAAATTCTGACACACGCTACAACATGGATGAATCAAAAATGCCACATTAAGTGAAATAAGCCAGACACAAAAGGACACGTTAATCCACTTATATGAGGTATCTAGAATAAGAAAATGCAGAAACAGGAGAATAGGGGTCACCATGGGCTGTGGGCGGGGGCCGGTCAGGTTGGGGGGAAATGTTATTGTTTAATGGATACAGAGAATCCGTTTGGGATGATGAAAAAGTTCTGGAAATGGACACTGGTGGTTATAGTTACCCAACATTGTGATTATAATTAATGCCACTGAATTACACACCTAAAAATGGTTTAAATGGTAAATTTCATGTTATGTGTTTTTCACTACAATTTTTAAAAATTGTACCTAGAATATACTAAGAACTTATATAAACCTCTAAAATAAACTTCTAAATCTCGGAAGGACAAATGATCAAATACTATGAAAAGAGACACAAGAAAAAAGAAATAGTTAAGCAACTAGTAAATGAGAAAACGCAACGAGGTTAAACTTTTTAACCAATGAGGTGGCACTTAATACTATTAGCAAAAAATTATAAACCGATATTTACAAGGCTGCAGAAAAAATAAACCTCATATACCACTTTATGAATATTTTATACTACTTTGGATATATGATTGATCCTCTTAGAAAGACGGTCTGCTAATACACACTAGAGCTCATTTTTAAAATTCACATCCTTTGTCTTAAGAATTTCACTCAAGAAACAAAGCTATATACAGGTATTTACAGCAGAATTTTGTAACAGGGAAATACACAAGAATTAAGGAATGGTTAGATGAATTATGGAACATTAACTGCAAAATAGTATGAGGTCACTTTTAAAAAGCAAAGAAGAGCACATAGATACATGAAACCATGTATAAAAACAGGCTGGGTGCAGTGGCTCACGTCTGCAATCCCAACACTTTGGAAGGCCGAGACAAGAGGATCGATCCAAGCCAGGAGTTGGAGACCGGCCTGGGCAACAAAATGAGACCCCCATTCTATAAGAAAATTTTAAAAAAGAAAAATGAAGTGAAAAATGTATATATTCATGCTGCATAATTAAAACTCCATGAAATTATTCATAAAGATAAAAGCTCTGTGCCAGGCACCCTGCCAAACACTCTGCATGTTTTATATACAGGCATACCTTGTTTTGTTGAGTTGCACTATGTGATTTTTTACAAACTGAAGGCTTGTGGCAACCTGACATCCAGCAGGTCTATTTCTCAATCATTTTTCCAACAGCATGAACTCACTTCATGTCTCTGTGTCACATTTTGGTAATTCTCAGAATATGTCAAACTTTTCCAACTTAAAATTTTTCGTTATTGTTATTTATATCCGTCATGGAGATCTGTGACCAGTGATCTTTGATATATTAATATTGCCATTGTTTTGCAGTGCCACAAACCCCATCCATATAAAATAGCAAATTTGGGCTGGGCACGGTGGCTCACACCTGTAATCCCAACACTTTGGGAGGCTGAGGCGGGTGGATCACCTGAGGTCAGGAGTTTGAGATCAGCCTGGCCAACATGGTAAAACCCCAGCTCTACTAAAAATACAAAAATTAGCTGGGCACGGTGGCACGCGCCTATAATCCCAGCTACTGGGGGGGCTGAGGCAGGAGAATCGCTTGAACCTGGGAGGCGGAGGTTGCAGTGAGCCAAGATCATGCCATTGCACTCCAGCGTGGGCAACAGCATGAGACTCCATCTCAATAAATAAATAAATAAATAAAAAGCAAATTTAATAATAAATATTGTGTGTGTTCTGACGGCTCCACCACCTGGCTGTTCTCTCTCTCTCTCTCTCCTTATACCCTACATTGGCCTCTAAGTGTTCAAGCAAAAGGAAGAGTCATATGTCTCTCACTTTAAATCAAATACTAGATATTATTAAGTTTAGTGATAAGGAAGGTGGGTTGAAAGCCAAGACAGGCCAAAGCTGGGACTCTTGTGACAGTTAGCCAAGTTGCGAATGCAAAGGAGAAGTTCTTGAAGGAAATTAAAAGTGCTACTCTGATGAACACTTGAGTGATAAGAAAGTAAAACAGCCTTACCAAGAAAAGTGATAGGGAGAAAGCGATAGGGAGTAGTCTGAAAAGAAGATCAAACCAGCCTCGACATTCTCTTAAGCCAAAGCCTAATCTGGAGCAAGACCCGAACCCTCTTCAATTCTATGAAGGCTGAGAGTGGTGAGGAAGTTGCAGAAGAAAAGTTGGAAGATAGCAAAGATTGGTTCATGAGGTTTAAGGAAAGATCCCTCAAACACAGCGTAAAAGTCCAAGTGAAGAAAATGCTGAGGAAGAAGCTGCAGCAAGCTATCCAGAAGATCTAGCTAAGATCATTGACGGGGTTGGCCACACGAAACAACAGCTTTTCAATGTTGACGAAAGAGCCTTCTATTGCAAGAAGATGCTATCTTGGACATTCATAGATAAAGAGAAGTTCATGCCTTCAAAGCTTCAAAGGACAGGTTGTCTCTCTTCTTAGCAGCTAATGTTGCTGGTGATTTTAAGTTGAAGCCAATGTTCACTTAACATTCTGAAAATCCTAGGGCCCTTATCAATTATGCTAAATCTACTCTGCTTGTGTTTTATAAATGGAGCAACAAAGCCTGGATCACAGCACATCTGTCTGCAGCATGGTTTACTGAATATTTTAAGCCCACTGTTGAGACCTACTGTTCAGGAAAAAAGATTCCTTTCAACATATTACTGCTCATGGATAATGCACCTGGTTACCCAAGAGCTCTGATGGAGATTTACAAGGAGATTAATGTTGTTTTCATGCCCGCTAACACAACATCCATGCTGTAGCCCATGGATCAAGGAGTCATCTTGCCTTTCAAGTCTTACTATTTAAGAAATACATTTTATGGCTGGGCACAGTGGCTCACGCCTATAATCTCAGCACTTTGGGAGGCCAAGGTAAGTGAATCACTTGAGGTCAGGAGTTTGAGACCAGCCTGCCCAACATGATGACACCCTGTCTCTACTAAAATACAAAAATTAGCCGGATGTGGTAGCAGATGCCTGTAATCCCAGCTACTTTGGAGGCTGAGGCACAAGAATCACTTGAACCCGGGAGGTGTAGGTTATAGTGAGCCAAGATCATGCCACGGCATTCCAGCCTAGGCAACAGAGTGAGACTGCATCTCAAAAACAAAAAACGAAAAAAAAAAAAAACCCCAAAAAACATGCCCCAAAAAAACCAAATACATTTTATAAGGCTATAACTGCCTTAGATCATGATTCCTCTGATGGATGTGGCCAAAACCCATTAAAAACCTCCTAAAGGCTTAAGCCTACAATCCCAGCACTTTGGGAGGCCAAGGCAGGCAGATCACCTGAGGTCAGGAGTTCAAGACCAGACTGGCCCACATGATGAAACCCCATCTCTACTGAAAATACAAAAATTAGCTGGGTGTGGTGGTGCATGCCTATAATCCCAGCTACTCCTGGGACTGAGGTATGAGAACTGCTTTAACCCAGGAGGCGGAGGTTGCAGCAGTGAGCTGAGATCATGCCACTGCATGCCAGCCTGGGCAACAAGAGCAAAACTCCATCTCAAAAAAATAAAAAAATAAAAAATAAATAAAAACTAAAAAGGACTCACCATTCTAGATGCCATTAAGAACATTTGTGATTCATGGGAGGAGGTCAACATATCAACACAACAGGAGTTTGGAAGAAGCTCAAACCCTGATAGATGGCTCTGAGGGGTTCAAGATTTCAGTGGAGGAAGGAAATGCAGGTGTGGTGGAAATAGCAAGAGAGCTAGAATAAGAAGTAGGCCTGAATATGTGACTAAACTGCTTCAATCTCATAAGAAGACTGGAATAGATTAGGAGTTGTGTCTTATGGATGAGCAAAGAAAGCAGTTTCTTGAGATGGAATCAACTTCTAGTGAAAATGCTGTGAACACTGTTGAAATGACAACAAGGATTTAGAATATTCCATATACTTAGTTGATAAAGCTGCAGCAAAGTTTGAGAGAATTGACTGCAAATTTGAAAGATTTTCTACTGTTGCTAAAATGCTGTCAAACAGCGTCGCATGCTACAGAGAAATCTTTGATGAAAGGGAGAGTCAACTGATGCTGTGAACTTCATGTTGTCTTATTAGAAATTGCCACAGCCACCCTGACCTTCAACAACTACCATCCTGATCAGTCAGCAGCCATCAACATCGAGGAGAGACCTTCCACCAGTGAAGAGATTTCCACTGGCTAAAGGCTCAGATAATTGTTAGCATTTTTAGCAATAAAGTATTTTTTAATTAAAGTGTATACATTTTTTAGACATAATGCTGTTGTACCTTTTATGGACCATAGTATAGTGTAAACATAACTTTTATATGCACTGGGAAACCAAAAAATTCATGTGACTTGCTTTTTTGTGATATTCACTTTATTGTGATAGTCTGGAAACAAACCCATAATATCTTGAAGGTGTGTCTGTAATTTATGCCTTATGACAACTTATGAGATATATACTTTTGCTGTAATTTTTTTTTTTTTGACACAAGGTCTCACTCTGTTGCCCAGGCTGGAGTGTAGTGGTGCCATCTCAGCTCACTGCAACATCTGCCTCCTAGGCTCAAACGATCCTCCTGGCTCAGCCTCCTGAGTAGCAGGGACTACAGATGCATGTCACCACGCCCAACTTTTGCCCTAATTTTATAAATGAGAAAACTAAGACCTAGCGAGTCACTGGGCCTTAAACGCATTAAAGATGAAGAATCGGAATCTGACCACGGCTGATGCAACTTCTGACTGATGTGTATGGAAATTACATTTAGGGAAGAAGTAAAATATGTAAAATTTGGGGGTAAAGTCTTCAATAAAGAATTAGCAAGTAAATCATCCCATACAAGTCTCAATGAAGGGCTATGCCATTCGTCTATTTCTTGATTCCACCACTTCTAAAACTTAGAAATATAATATTTATACAGACGGGCTGCCATTCACTCTTGTTTTATAAAAATGGATACTTTATGGTTGTGACAACATAAAAAAACCACCTGGAACCCAGCTCCGGTTTGGCCTCAAATTTCTTTTTCATGCATAACTGCAGTGCGCAGCCAAAAAAGGCTGCTAAATAAATCTCGCAAGTCTGTGGAAACTCTTCCAGGAGGCAGAGCTCCCCACCACCACCATCTTGGAACTGGTCCTCAGAATTCTCACAGCAGCAGCCCGAGGGATGAAGATGTCCTCATTCACACCCTCGACCCCCCTCTGGTCCTGCGCTGCTGAAGAGGGGAGCTTCTGCCTGCTCCCCACGGCAAAGGTGACACTGTTCTGTACCCTTGGGGCAGACGTTATATAAAGTACAGGCTGCCTGTGAGGTAAAGGTGAACCACCATCACAGCAGAAAGGGGAGAGATGGACATCAAGCCCTCAGCACTGGAGTGGGCAGAAATCCCTAAAATACAACTGCCCTTCAGAGATGGATCTTAGGAACAGGTTTGGGCACTGAGAGACACCACCATGAAACACTTCCAAGGCAGTCCAAGGTTAGAGACGCCTGGCTTTTGAAGACACGGCTGGCACCTGCCTTGTCTGCTAGAACATAAGGTTCCTAGAGATAAGGACAACAAGTAATGGTACCTAAAAATAAATGTAGGGGAAATATAGCTCTATTGAAATGTCCAAGAGTGACTCAAGGACCATCACCAAAGAAAATCAATTCACCAATAGTTTTTATAGGAAAAGCAGAGGTAGCTGCGGGAAACCATGATCTCAATAACACAGGCATCTGGCAGAACAAAGCTGCTAGTAGCTCTGCCATGGCACCTGGGAATCAGCTGGTTCCTAAAAGCCAGTCCCCCATCCCCATTTGTAAACACTGCCCTCCTCCACAAGCCACTGAGTTTTCTAAGAGAAAAATGCTCGCAGAGCTGCCTATGGTTCTCTATACTATGGCTCACGGCCATCACTTTGCTGTCTCCTTCACACAGACAGGAAGGCCAGGCTCAGCTACCACCGGATGTTCCAGCACAAGGATACAGTGGGTGGCACAGGGGCGCCAGGCAGCTGAGACGGCAGCCCTGGGACTCCCCACCTGCAGCTCCTCCTCTTCCCCAAGGCTCAGGGTGGGCTAGTCAGTTCACTCAAGTCCTTCAGGCAGCTCCCAAACTTCAGGGAGGAGGTCAGGCCACTGCACTCACAGTGCGCTTTGTAGGACACAGACCACTCCATCTTGTGGTCCACAGAAGATGACAGGGTACCCAGGCAACAGCAGCAGCCACGGGGACTCTGAAGCCCCCATATGGTGCTGCCACAGAACTGAAGGGTATTGCAAAGGAACCCAAATCAATTTCTTCCACTCAGTAAGTTTGTCACAGAGGTCACTTAACAATGCCACAACAACACTTCCGTGAAAAGCCATGCTGCTCTGGGTCTCCTGGCCTTTACGCCACACCTCTGCTGTCACGAGCACTAGAAAACTATCTCAGCGTCACTTACCAAATTTCAACACCTGCATTCCTCTACCTACAATTCATCCAAGCGAAACATCTACATCCCAGCCCAACTGCCCGAAATGAAGACAAACTACCAAACGACCAGCAGTCTCTAAAGATTTGACAATCTTTGAGAAGTTTATAGAAATGAATGGGTTTGTTTTTTCTTTTTCCTTTTTGACTCTGTCCTGATGAGAGAGAGGGAGAGCAGGACGGAAAATGAGTTGTTTTGAAATAGGTCCTTCCCGTCTCACTTACGGGGAAGCAGAGCCAAGTGTGGGGAAGTTCCATGCGCACGTGGACGGCACTGTCTCCTCTCAAATGGGGCCCCCATCGGGATGGCCCCTGCACACCCCCAAGTAGTTACCTGGCTCTGCCCCAGTCAGCATCTCAACCCATTCACCAGTGGTGCCATCATCTGACTCAGCTCTTAGCAACAATACTTAGTCCTACATTTCCTTAGTCTGATAATTCCCTTACGTGAAGGAAATAAAAAATATGCTATGTATAAATGAGATATCCTCCCCAACATGAAATCCAATGCAGATAAGAAATGAATAGAAAGGCTAGGCGCAGTGGCTCACGTCTGTAATCCCAGAACTTTGGGAGGCCAAGACGGGCGATCACAAGGTCAGGAGATCAAGACCATCCTGGCTAACACGGTGAAACCCTGTCTCCACTAAAAACACAAAAAATTAGCCGGGCGTGGCAGTGGGCGCCTGTAGTCCCAGCTACTCAGGAGGCTGAGGCAGAAGAATGGCATGAACCCGGGAGGCGGAGCTTGCAGTGAGCCGAGATCACGCCACTGCACTCCAGCCTGGGCGACAGGGTGAGACTCCGTCTCAAAAAAAAAAAAAGACATTTCTTTTTATTGTCTTTATAGAAAGACAAGACTTTTTATTTCTGTGCAAATGAGTATTTTAGAAGAGCGCAGTCATATGGAGAATAACCTTGGCTGTACAGAATATGCCAGAGAGAGAAGAAGATGGGTCAGTAGAAAGACTGATGGATTCAAATCCAGTTTAGTCCTAGAGCCTTCTGACGCCCACCCTCTATTCTGACACAGTGGGCAGGATCCCGTGTCCACGTTAGAACGGGTGAGAGCCCACAGCTTCAGTGCAGGCTGGCGTGCGGTGCCATCACTCACCTGTGCCATTGGCCAAGCCACTGTGGCCTGAGTTCTTGACGGGCTGGCGGTGCCGGCTCCGAGCACCGGGGCTTTGCTCGCCGGTTGCTGGGGTTGTTCTGGCTGAAGCACCCGAATGTCTGTGCGTCCTGGGGGTTCAAAGTAGAAAGCAGACAGACATAAGTCACTGTGAAAAGGACAGAAGTGTTTCCTACCTAAGTCATCATATTCCCTTCTCCTGCCATTTATTGGAAACAAGACCTTTAATAGCCCCTCTAGTTTTGGACTAAACAGAAGCTGGTTCCAAGCAGAGAGACCCAGGGAAGTTTCCTTTTTGGTAAAAGCTCAGAAGGTAACTTTGTGTAAACTTTTCCACTTCAAGTAAACAAATCCAGAGTGAATTGCCCCTACATCTGAAATAATTGGCAAAATATCCTGTGACCATCACATTATTTTTATTGGGCTCAAATGTTACAAATAAACAAGAATCACTGGACAGGCTCAGATGAAATATTTCCCCCATTAGGCAAGAAGAGCTCAAAACTTATCCAAAGCAATTTTCTCTATAGCTAGAAAGATGATTCCCTTGGCAATAAAAGTCAAGGGGCATTAAACAACTTTTAGTCAATGCATATGTTGACACTTTTTGTTGTTGTCATTCACTTGTTTGTTTAGAGACAGGGTCACACTCTGCTGCCCAGGCTGGAGTGGCACGATCATAGCTCATTGCAGCCTCAAACTCTTGGGCTCAAGTGATCCTTCCACCTCAGCCTCCCCAGTAGCTGGACTATAGGCACACAGCACCACGCCTGGCTCATTTTTTTATTTTTGGGGAGATGGGGTCTTGCTATGTTGCCAAGGCTGGTCTCAAACTCCTGAGCTCAAACGATCCTCCCACCTCAGCCTCCCAAAGTGCTGGGATTACAAGTATGAGCCACTATGCCTGGCCTAGACATGTTTTATCTAGAAAAGATGACTCAACAATCCATCCAAGTAAATGAGAAGCAATGCAGAAATCACAAAGAAAAGTGTGGAATTTAGCAGCAGAAAACCTATCAGACATCTTCAGAGAACACAAGGCAACAGGCAGCATGTGCTCTCAAGTTCTTTTTGCAGCTTGACTTTGCCCACTCAGTGAAAATGTCTAAGCCTCCCTGTCCTTCGGTTCATCTGTTTCACCAAACGAGGCTCTTCTACTACTTAGTAAGCATCTACTACTTTGCAACTGTGAGATGTTTCAAATACCATCCAGTGAAGAAAAGATCACCCCTCTCCAGACAGAGAAACAGAGACCCAGAGACAATTTGTACCATGCAACATGGGGCGATAAAACTACTCTCAACAATAAAGGTGGCTGGGCACAGTGGCTCACGCCTGTTATCCTAACACTTTGGGAGGCCAAGGCGGGAGGATCACTTGAGCCCAGGAGTTTGAGACCAGCCTGGGCAACATAATGAGACCCTGCCTCTACAAAAAATAAACAAAACTAGCTGCACTACCGGTGCATGCCTGTAGTCCCAGCTACTCAAGAGGCTGAAGTAGGAGGATCATTTGAGCCCAGAAGGTAGAGGTTTCAGGGAGCCAAGATCACGTCACTGTATTCCAGCCTGGGTGACAGAGTGAGTGAGAGTGTCTCCAAAAAAAAAAAAAAAAAGGATAAATAAATAAAGGTAATAATAATGGCTACAGAAGTATATAATATTCACTGAACTCTAACATTATGTTCCAGGCACTGTGTGTGCTATGCATTTACATATATGTTCTCATTTAACATGGGAACCCTAAAGGTAGATTAATATTATTATCCCCGCTTTACAGATAAGCAAACAGACACAGAGAAGCTCTACAGAAAGTAAGCCAAATGATGCAAAGATTCATGTACAGGCAGTTTAATGTCAAGAGCCTAGGCTCTTAGGTCAGAAGATGGGACAGGAAGCCTGAACTCAAGCTAAATTCCTCTTGGGCTATTTTTTTGTTGGTCATTTGGACAATGGTGAAATTAAGAGCTATAATAGAAAGTTCCCCATTGGGAGGATCCACCTCCAGCAGAACGACCCTGCTGGGAGTCTTTGGTCCAGTGTGTTGAGGCAGTCAACAGGAAGCTCCTTGAGGGATATGAACCACCCAGACCAGCTACCTTCTCTAAAGTAAGAAACAGAATTTGACAAGATGAACATAAACCAAAATCTTAACCGTCATTATCTTTGGATATTGGGAATAAAGAAGCCCTTTTGTGCTCTTCTAGATTTTTCCAGCTTCCTTCATTGAGCTTGTATACTTGTGAGTAAGGAAAAAAACATGACTTTTTGGCTGGGTGCAGTGGCTCACACCTGTAATCCCAACGCTTTGGGAGGCTGAGATGGGACGGCACTTGAGCTCAAGAGTTTGAGACCAGCCTGGGCAACACAGGGAGACCTCATCTCTAGCAAAAAATTTAAAAAATTAGCCAGGTGTGGTGGCGTGCCCCTGTGGTCCCAGGTACTTGGGAGGCCAAGGCAGGAGGATCACTTCAGCCTGAGAGCGTGGCAAAAGAGTGAGACCTTGTTTAACAAAAAAAAAAAATTAAGTTTTTCTTGCCCCCAATCCCCAACAAAAAAAAAAAAGGAGAAAAAGGGAGAAACGTAGCAAACTCTGGAGTCCCTCATACCTAAACACTGCATGGCAATGGAGACAGAGTACGACTGAACTGTGGAAATACTCAATGTGGACTCTCTTTTTCCACCTTAACTTTTTCCCTGAGCTAATTTCATAAATCAAAAGCTGTTGGCCGCACACAGTGGCTCATGCCTGTAATCCCAGCACTTTGGGAGGCTGAGGCAGGTGGATCACCTGAGGTCAGGAGTTCGAGACCAGCCTGGCCAACATGGCGAAACCCCATCTCTACTAAAAATACAAAATTAGCCAGGCATGGTGGTGAGCGCTTATAATCCCAGCTACTTCAGAGGCTGAGGCAGGAGAATCACTTAGAACCCGGGAGGTGGAGGTCGCAGTGAGCCGAGATTGTACCACTGCACTCCAGCCTGGACAACACAGAGAGAGACTCTGTCTCAACAACAACAACAAAAAGCTGTCAACCACACCTCAGTCAAAGATGAATATTTCAAAGTTCCCACTTCATGGGAAGAAATGTTCACCTTAAGCATTTCACCACAGCTCCTCCTCAAAAGTGGAATGAGCACAAATGAGTTCCAAAGGGAAAGGCAGGCAGCCCTCAGCAAGCTGGTGTGTGTGTATGTGTGTATATCTGTGTGTGTATGTCTGTGTGTGTGTGTGTGTGTGTGTGTGTGTGTGCACATGTGTATGTGTTGAGGGCAGAGAGCTTGAGGGAGAAAATTGGTTAATAGAAGGTTTGTTTCAGCCAAGGATCCCTTTACTAGGACAAAAAGCCTCTCTGATTTGGAACTTGCAGCCCCCAGGAGCAAGCTGGACCCCTCAGGGAGCTGCAGGACCTGCAAAACGTGCACTGTCAACCCCTCAGACAGACATGTCCATGATCAACTCCAGCCCCGGGTTCCCTGTCCCTCTGCAGAGCAGCTGGGCATGACAATAGGGTGGGTCCCATTACTCCCTGGCCCTGCCCTCCCTTCCCAGAAAGGGCATGTGGTCAGCATGGAGAGAGAATACTTTCAGAAACACTTAACCACTAATGATAGCGGCTTACCCTGAATGATGGGCTGGGCAGGGCGGGATCAGCCCTAAGCTAGGGGCAGCTGGGATCACTTTGCATGAACTGCCACCTCCCTGCCCGTGGCCAGCCACCACCCCCCAACACACACACAAACACCACATCCCCTCTCCCCAGATTCTCCCCTTGCCCTAAATCTGGAGTTTCCAGTTTTTGGCTCTTGTGTTACCTTTAAAATAAGATGCTTAAAGGAAGAAAAGGCCTCAACATCTGAGGCAACTCCTCTCTTTGGCAGTTTCCTCTCTTGGAGAACTCACTCAACCCATAAAAGATGGGATCATATTGTAATGAAAAGCTGGCCCAGATGCTGAAACCACACATCGTGGGCCAAAATAGCACCCAGACAAATGCAGGGTGATGGCTGAGACAGCCAGGCTCGGCTCTGCCCATGACTTCAACCTTGGCCCAAGCCCCCTCACCATTTAGGGGGAGGGGACGAGTTATACAGCCCCCAGGGCAGGCAGAAAGCAGTTAGAATGGCAGTGCCAGTCAGGCCAAACTCCACAAATGGTTTTAAGTCAACTCATTACAGAAATTCAGCTCTCTTTGTAGCTCGCCCTTCTCAGGATGCGGTGTGTCCTCACTCAAGGTCCTCTCTCAAGAACTGAGGCCTCCTGAAGGCAGGCCAGCCACGACCAGGACCCACGCTCCCCAAAGTGGTTCTGACACAGATGAGGTCCCCAGGACAGAGCTGCTCACTGACACTTGGCATTTAAGCTTTGATGGTCAAAGCCCTGGCCTCCATCCTCAGCTACACCCTGACAGCCAGAGCCTTGGGTGTCATGGGACACCTGGCCTCGCCCTTCATGAGGGCCGCTGAAATGTACTCAATCATCCTTTTCTGAGTGTTAGGCCCCATTCTAGAGATAAAACAGAGTCCCTGACCTCAAGGAGCTTCCACCTTAGTGGAAATGCTGTGATTTGTAATTCTGCTGAGACACAAATTTCTATCATAGCACACAATGCTGCTTTGGGGAAGCCACCTGCTGGTGAGTGAGCCTGGCTGACCACGTGACAGTGTTACCTCAGTGCAGCCTCGCTGACCATTGTCACCTTTGCAACAGATCATGTGGAGTAATTAAACAAAACAGGATTTTGTTTGTTTGGTTTAAAAAAAAAAAAAAAAAGCCTTGGCCAGGTGTAGTGGCTCATGCCTATAATCCCAGCACTTCAGGAGGCTGAGGCAGGTGGATCACCTGAGGTCAGGAGTTCGAGACCAGCCTGGCCAACATGGCAAAACCCCAACTCTACTAAAAACAAAAATTAGCCAGGCCTGGTGGCGCATGTCTGTAGTCCCAGCTACTCAGGAGCCTGAGGCAGAAGAATCACTCGAATCCAGGAGGCGGAGGTTTCAGTGAGCCAAGATCGCACCACTGCATTCCAGCCTGGGCGACAGAGCGAGACTCCGTCTCAAAAATAAATAAATAAATAAATAAATAAATAAATAAATAAATAAATAAATAAATACGGAACTGAAAGCAAGACCTCAGGAGAGATATTTGCACACGCAGGTAGACAACAGCATTATTCACAATAGCCAAGAGGTAGAAGCAACCCATCCTCGACAAATGGATAAAGTATGGTATATGCATACATATGAGTATTACTCAACCTTAAAAAGGAAGGAAATTTTGACACAGGCTACCACATGGATGAACCTCGAGGACATTCTGCTAAGTGAAAGAAGCCCGTGGCAAAAAGACAAATCCTGTGTGGTTCCATTTAAATGTTACCTGGAGTAGCCAAACTAATTGAGTGAGAAAGCGGGATGATGGTTGCAAGGAGCTAGGGAGAGGGGGAAATAGGGAAGAAATTTGTAGAAAGCAAAAATATCTAATAAAATGAGGCTAGGTGCAGTGGCTCATGCCTGTAATCCCAGCACTTTGGGAGGCTGAGGCAGGAGGATCAATTGAGACTGGCCCAGGCAATGTAGGAAGACTCCGTCTCCATAAATAAATAAATAAATAAATAAATAAATAAATAAATAAATAAATAAAATGTGAAACCTTTTTTTAAAAAGCATTTTGTGGCTTCATCAAAAATTTTAAACTCCTGCTCTTCTAAAGACACTGTCCAAAAAAATGACAGGACAGTCCACAATACTGAGAAATAATAATAAAATCCTAAGCTCCTCAACCAACTGAATGGACCCCCTCTTGGCCAAGAAGACGCCAGAGAAACCTTAAAAACCTTAATTCCCAGCCATGATGAGATGCGAGGTCAGAGACACCTCGTTACACCCCCTCCTTCCCTAGCCACCATAAGTCTTTCTTTCCTCAGTGTCGAACAAAAATCAACCCTCTCAAAAGACTTGTTCACTGCTGATTTCAACCAATGGCCTCACGCTGCCTTCCCTTTTGTGGTTTCCACACAGCAACTGACCGGCATTCCTTTCTGATAAGAGGCCACTGACTATGGTGTGGTTCTGGCCAGGCCACGGAGGCTGTGCACTCAGTATCTTTCTGTCCTCTGCTTCACCTTCTGATGGACAGGGTCTAACAGTAATACATTTAAATATTAAGTGTCCATCTCAAAGGGCAACAAGGGACACATGTAACAAACGTGTTAGTTTATGACACATGCATGTGTGTCCCCTTCATAAATATTTATAGCTTCTCCTATAACCTGATAAATATGTAAACTTAGCCAACCAGTTTAGCGTAAATTACTGTCTCATCTTTCCCTCCCTTGAAATGCCTGCTTTTTGGTTTCAGGTAGAGGCTCCACTTCCTGCCTGCAGGTTATGGTACCCCCCCTTTAGAAATGAAGCTCTCTTTTCTAAATTTATAGAGTTTGTGACTTTTATGGTTGACAATATATGTCTGATAAAGGAATTTTATCTAGAATTGATAGAGAACTCTTAAAATTCAGCAATCAGAAAACAACCCCAATATTTTTTAAATAATCAAAAGATTTGAGGCTGGGTGTGGTGGCTCATGCCTGTAATCCCAGCACTTTGGGAGGCTGAGGCAGGCGGATCACCTGAGGTCGGGAGTTCGAGACCAGCCTGGGCAACATGGCAAAACCCTGTCTCTACAAAAATAACAAAAATTTGCTAGTTATGGTGGCAAGCGCCTGTAGTCCCAGCTACTTGGAAGGCTGAGGCAGGAGGATGGCTTGAGCTTGGGAGGTGGAGGTTACAGTGAGCCGAGATCACGCCACTGCACTCCAGCCTACACGACAGAGCCAAACCCCGACTAAAAAAAAGATTTGAACAGACACATCACCAAAGAAGATCTACAGAGGGAAAATAAGCACAAAAAAAGATGCTCAACATCATAAGTTCTTCGGGAAGTGCAAATTAAAACTACAATGAGATATCATTACATATCTATCAGGATTGACAAAGTTTTTTAGGCTGGACGTGGTGGCTCACGCCTGTAACCCCAACACTTTGGGAGGCCGAGGCAGGCGGATTGCTTCAAGTCAGGAGTTTGAGACCAGCCTGGCCAACATGGTGAAACCCCTTCTCTATTAAAAATCGAGCCATTGCACTCCAGCCTGGGTGACAGAGCCAGACTCTGTCTCAAAAAAAAAAAAAAATGCAAAAATTCGTCAGGCATAGTGGCTGGCGCCTGTAATCTCAGCTACTCAGGAGGCTGAGGCAGGAGATCGCTTGAACCCCGAGAGGCCAAGGTGGCAGTGAGCCAAAATTGTGCCACTGCACTCCAGCCTGGGTGACAGAGCGAGACTCTGTCTCCCACAACAAAAAGAATGGACAGAGTTTTTATACAACTTACAGTAATAAGTCTGGATTAGGATGCAAAGTAATTGGAACTCTCATACATTGATGGCGGGAACACAGCCACTTTGTAAACTGTTTGGCAGTTTCTTATAAAGTTAAATATATGCTTGGCATGCAAACTGACAACCCTACTCCTAGGTATTTTTAAAAATTAATATTTTCAGACAGGGTCTCACTCTGTCACCCAGGCTGGAGTGCAATGGCGTGATCATGGCTCACTGCAGCCTCCTGGGCTCCTGCAATCCTCCCACCCCAACCTCCCAAGTAGCTGGGATCACAGGTGCGCACCACCATGTCCAGCTCATTTTTGCATTTTTGGTAGAGAAGGGGTTTTACCATGTTGCCCAGGCTGATATCGAACTCCTGAGATCAAGCAATCTACCCTCCTTGGCCTCCCAAACAAAGTGCTGGGATTACAGGCATGAGCCACCACACCTGGCCTCTCCTAGGTATTTACCCATGAGAAATGAAAACATGTTTGCATAAAAGCCTGTATGCAAAAGCTCATAGAGGCTTTGCTTGTAAGCGCCAAATACTGTAAGCAACTCCAAGTCCTTCAATTGGTGAATGAGTAGACCAACTGTGGTACATACACATAGTGGAATAAACTCAATGCATAAAAGGAATAAAGTGCTGGTACATGCAGCAACAGAGGTGAATCACAACCGCATTATGCTAAGTAAAAGACACCAAAGGCTATACGTGTACATTTCCATTTTTAAGATATTCAAGAAGAGGTCAAACTTAGAGAAAGAATACAGATCCATGCTTGCCAGCAGCGACGGGTACAAGGAGGAGCTGGCTACAAAGGGGCACTGGGGAACTTTCTGGGGTGATGAAACTTTCTGTATCTTTTGTTTGTTTGTTTCTTTGTTTGTTTTTGAGACGGAGTTTCACTCTTTCACCCAGGCTGGAGTGAAGTGGCGCAATCTCGGCTCACTACAACCTCTGCCCCCACCAGGTTCAAGCAATTCTCCTGCCTCGGCCTCCCTTGTAGCTGGGATTACAGGCGCCTGCCACCTCGCCCAGCTAATTTTTGTGTTTTTAGTAAAGACGGGGTTTCACCATGTTGGCCAGGCTGGTCTTGAAGTCCTGACCTCAGGACTTCACCCGCCTCGGCCTCTCAAAGTGCAAGGATTACAGGCATGAGCCATCACGCCCAGCCTTTCTGTATCTTGATTATGATAGTGACTACCTGGCTGTATGCTTTTGTCAAAACTTACAGAACTATACACTAGTAAGGGTAAATTTTACTGTTTGTAAATTATAGTAACTTAATAATTTAAAAAAGCCATTTGTGGAGAAAATGTAAAAGTGAGCAAAAGTTGTAGAAGGCAGGTATGGCGTGAGGGTATGGTCAAAAAAACAGCAAGAATGTGGATGGGAATGTGATTCAGGCAAAATTCAAGACCCTACAAACATTTCTAAATTAATACATGTAGGATTCTATAAAGACTAGGGACATATCTCTCCCAAATGCCGAGAATTCATGGCTAGGCCGGGGGTGGCGGCTCACACCTGTAATCCCAGCACTTTAGGAGGCCAAGGGCGGAGGACTGCTTGAGCCCAAGAGTGCAAACCCAGCCTGGCAGCACAGGGAGACCTCGTCTCCATAAAAAATTATTTTAAATTAGCCAGGTATAGTGGCAAGTGCCTGTGATCCCAGCTATGCGGGAGGCTGAGGTGGGAGAATCATTTGAGCTGGGGAGGTCGAGGCCGCAGTGAGCTGTGATCACACTCACACCACTACACTCTATCCTGGGCAATAGAGCAAGAGACCCTGTTTCCAAAAAAAAAAAAAAAAAAAAAAAAAAGAATTCATGGCTGGCTGGATACCAGGTTCCAAGCATACTTTTCTATCTTGGTAAAAGAGGCCCAGAATATGAAAGGGAGGTTCATTGACCCCAGATTCAGGCCCACTGGTATTCAAGTTCAGCAAAAGAGAAGTTTCAAGGTATAAAAACTGATTACTGGCCAGGCATGGTGGCTCATGCCTGTAATCCCAGCACTTTGGAAGGCCGAGGTGGTTGGATTGCCTGAGGTCAGGAGTTCGAGACCAGCCTGGGGAATGGAGGCTGCAGTGAGCTGAGAGAGATCCTGCTGCTGCGCTCCAGCCTAGGTGACACAGCGAGACTCCATCTCAAAAAAACAAAACAAGGGCCAGGCGCGGTAGCTCACGCCTGTAATCCCAGCACTTTGGGAGGCCGAGGTGAGTGGATCACCTGAGGTCGGGACTTCCAGACCTGTCTGACCAACATGGAGAAATCCCGTGTCTACTAAAAATACAAAATTAGCCGGGCATGGTGGCGAATGCCTGTAATCCCAGCTACTCAGGAGGCTGAGGCAAGAGAATCACTTGAACCCTGGAGGCTGAGGTTGCAGTGTGCCGAGATCACACCATTGCACTCCAGCCGGGGCAACAAGAGCGAAAGTCTGTCTCAAAACAAACAAACAAAACAAAACAACCTGATTATTGATTTTCCTCCTATAAAACAGGCACAAAAAGTAAAATTACCTAATAAAACTCCTCTCACATTCCAATCCGGGTAAGCGGTATTTGCCTAGGATTACTAGAACCAAGAGGGCTCCCCACCTCAAGTCTGTCCTTCCTCTGAGCACACTCTTAACTGGTCATTGTCTTTTAATAGCTGCATGGAAAAAAAAATTCAGTGGAGCTGGGCCAGTTTCCAGCAAGACAGAACCAGAAAGAAACAGGCACTTAAAATAGAAGCATGAAAAAATAAAAAAGGAAGCCGTAATGGGAAAAGAAACAGTGTCCACCACCCAGAGAAGCGCCAATAAATAAACCTACTCCCACCTGCACCCCCCTCAATTCTTCCTCCCCACTCAAATGTGGATTAGAAAAAAAAAAAAAAAGGAGAGGGCGGGTAAAAGGAGAAGTGAACCGGGAAAGGCACAATTAGAGTTAAAATGGGCCCCTTCTGGTCACTGCAAGCGCAATTTACGGCTCCATTCCACACCCTACCTCTGGACTGCCAGCCTCACAAATGACAGGGAAGGTAAAAATAAAATCGCTGCCAAGTCCATTCTAAATTACAGAAAGACTTCCGGAAGACAAACAATTTCCTTTTGCGCACCCTAGAGTACAGAGCAACCTTCTCAAAGGTGGCAATTTCATTAGACTAAAAAAACTCACCTTGAGAGAGAAGGTATAGTAAATGGTGACTTGTCCAATCTACTTCCAGGCCGTATGTTGGGCTTAGCTGAGAAGAGTGCTCAAATGCCCTCCCAAACTTCAAAGAGAGCTAGAGAGTTCAGAGGGGAAGTGTTCACCTGCTCAACGTGGCCATTGATGGCTTGAGGTACCCTGAACAGAGACAGCAGCCTGTGATTTGTCCTATGACCTGAGATCCCCTGACCCTGAATTATGAGTGCATAGGACACTGTTGCCGCTTAGGAGATGAGCATCCCCATCAACCTCCACTGTGCACAGGAGGAATCTCCATGGGGCTGGCCCCCAAGGAATGCAGAGCACAACCTGTACAGGTGCGCCAGAAAAGCCTCTTCACTTTCTCGCTACTGGCATCATTCCCTGTTTGAATCTGGCCCACTCACTGCCTCCTTTTACTATAGCTCCAGACCAGAAAGGACTACACAGGACCTTGAATGAATGGGGGACTACAGTATATTAGAGTGTTCTTTCTTTCCTTTTTTTTTTTTTAACTAGAGATCGAGTCTTGCTATGTTGTCCTGGCTGGTCTCAAACTCCTGGCCTCAAGCAATCCTCCAGCCTCGGCCTCCCAAAGTGTTGGGATTAGAGGCATGAGCTGGGTAGAGCATTATTTCTAAGTGTTCTGACACGACAAATCACAAGGCAGGAATTCAGCAGGACGGAGGCAGGCTCCAAAAAGAATATGTTCAATGGACATCCCTCAAAATACCTCTCTAGACCCCTACCAAGGGAGAGTCAGACCCTTTGCTGATCTACTTGCCCGGCATTCTCTTCCTGGACTTTCCACCCAGGTGGCCAAATTCCTAGGCCAAATCTCAGTCCAAATGTCCCTCATCTCCCAGGCTACAGTAAATTTCCTTTCATTCTCTCATAACATCCTAATTGTTCCCTTTATGGCACTGCTATGTGTCACTACACATTCATGAGGGCAGAGATCATGTCTTGTTTTGTGAACCTCTGGAGACTCAGCACCTAGTGTGTGCCTGGCCCACAGTAGGATTCAGGAAATATCTGTTGAATGAAGGAAAGATGCAAGCTGTCAGGTTCAAAATCACTCTTGGGCCTGTAACCTCCAGTACTTTGCATATTCTTTCCAATCCAGTCACTCATCACCTCCCCGACTCCTTTAAAGAATGGAATCGGACCACCACGCCTGGCTAATTTTTTTGATTTTTTTTTATAGCGATGGGGGTCTTGAACTCCTAAGGTGAAGTGATCCTCCCACCTCGGCCTCCCAAAGTGCTGGGATTACAGGTCTGAGCCACCATGGCTGGCCCATTAGAGAGAGTCTTTCTACTGTGGGGAGAATTTCTAAAATGACATCCCTCTCACTCTAGCCCCCCTCCAATGCCTAAAACCTGTGAATATGACAAGGTGCCACACCCTTGAGTATGTCGTCAAGTATGTCGTCGTGTACCACAGCAGACCTTAAGAAAGGGGATCATCGGGCGGGGCGGGGGTGGGGGGCGGTGCTCTCTCAGTCTAATTAGCATCACATCACCTCCTGGAAGCAGAGCGCCTTCTCCAGCAGGTGGCAGGAGAGAAAATCAGAGAGATTCAAATCACAGGGAGATCTGACACTCCTTTCCTGGCTCGAAGGTGGAGGGGGCACCGTGAGAAGGAATGCAGGGGTCGGGGCCAGGGGGAAGCTTAAGGAGTTGAGAGGGACCCCCGCTGATGGTCAGCAAGGAATGGGCACCTCAGTCCTACAACTGCAAATAACTAAATTCAGCTAAGGACCTGAATGACTTTTTTTTTCTTTTTCTTTTTTTTTGAGACAGGGTCTCCCTCTGTCGCCCAGGCTGGAGTGCAGTGGTGCAATCACAGCTCACTGCATCCTCGACCTCCCTGGGCTCAAGCGATCCTCCCGCCTCAGCCTCCTGAGTAACCGGGATGACAGGCATGCGCCACCATGCCTAGCTAATTTCTGTATTTTTTTTGTTGAGATGGGGTTTGGCTATGTTGCTTAGGCTGGTCTCAAACTCCTGTACTCAAGCCATCTGCCCACCTCAGCCTGCCAAAGTGCTGGAATTACAGGCGTGAGCCACTGTGCCCAGCCCTGAATGACCTTTGATATGAATTCTTCCCCAGTGTATGCAGATAAGAATGTTGTCCTGCCAGAGCCTTGATTTTGGCCTTGTGAGACCCTGAAGGGAAAAGTCAGCCGTGTGATCCTGGACTTATGACCTACAGAACTGTGAGCTAATAAATGGTGTTGTTTTAAGCCCTGAGTTTGTGGTGATTTGTTACAGAGCAATAGAAAATGAATGCAAATAAATGACAATTCAATTTCCACAGTAGAAGATGGAACTCTCAAATACATGCATGACTAGGGAACAGCCTTGACCCAGTTCTTGCTGGTCTAGTTCAGCAGCCCTCATACAGTTATGGCATCACTCTGTGGGATCCAGTGCCCATGTCGAAGGAGCAGCATTCCAGTGATCCTAATGTCCTCAAGGAGACACTCAATCCTAAGATTCAATAATCACTTGGGAATTTGAACACCTAGTATAAATGAGATATTACCTATTCTTAGAGGGTAAGTAACATTCTTTTCTGGCAGAGTTGAAGTACACGGACTTTACACCTTCTTTTCCCAAACAAGACTTATTTATGTGTCAATTCTTCTCTGATTCCAATACTAACCTTAAAAGCTGCAAGGATTTGAAAAGAACAGTCGGTGAAAAGCATTCAACACAGAAATATCAATCATGAAGAAAAAAACAGATGAAGCCACAGAGACTGTGCAGGCAGTGGGACCCCAGCACACTCTTGGTGGTTCACCTTGCAAGCACAAGGCGGCTGTGATAAAGGGCGCCCCCTCTTCTCTGTGGTCCTCAAATTATCGCATCTCAGGAGTCAAGGCGCCAGGGAACGTAAACCAGCAACATGACCCACCCAGAAGTTTTGGCGAATGAAGAGCAGGAACACGAGACTCTTTCAGCTCAGCAAATATTTATTGAGCTGCTACTACGTGCAGTGAGGCACTATTCTAGGTCCTGCTGGGGACACAAAGATGAATGAGGCACACAGAGCCGTGGCCTGGTGTTTGAGTGAAAGCTTCAGCACCACTTCCCCCAAGCCCCTTCCTCCCCAAAAAAACCACAAACCAGGTGGAAGAAATAACTCCTCGGAAGTCTCCAATTCATCATCCTTTTTCTAAGTGTAAAGAAAAATGTATAACTTTATTTAAAAGAAAACTTTTTTTTTTTACTGGTTCTAAAGGTAAAATTTCAAAGAAAAGGAACAAAACCAACCGGGCCCTAATCTCCCATTCTCCACTACAAAATAATGAGTATCTGCACCACATCCTACTCTAGGTTTTCACTAATTTCATTAAATTTTCTTTGTGTCATTTTGTCGTTATAGAGTTGTACTGTTAGGCCGGATGCGGTAGCTTACGCCTATAATCCCAACACTTTGGGAGGCTGAGGAAAGAGGATCCAAGACCAGACTAGGCAACACAGGAAGACACTGTCACTACAAAAAAAAATTTAAAAATTAGCCAGGCATGGTGGCGCACACCTGTAGTCTCAGCTACCTGGGAGACTGAGGTGGGAAGATCACTTGAGCCTGGGAGGTCGAGGCTGCAGTGAGCTGTGATTGTGCCACTGCACTCCAGCCTGGGTGACAGAGCGAAACCCTGTCTCAAAAAAAAAAAAAAAAAAAAAAAAGAGTTGACCTTCAAAGGCCATTTGAAAACACAAAACACACAAAGTAGACCCAAAATATAGACATGCTGTATATAAAACTCAGCATAAGGCCAAACAGAAAACCTTCAGGCCGGGAGCCAGTCAATGAGCTCTTGCTCTCTTCACACCACTGGATGCAGAATTTCACACTCCATTATCAAATAGTCAGGGAGCCAAAGATACCTTCAACCCATCAAGACTTTTCTTGAAAAGGCAGACCAAACACAGTGGAAAGTGGAAAGTTACGCCAGGCGTGGTGGCTCACACCTGTAATCCCAGCACTTTGGGAGGCCAAGGCAGGTGGATCACGAGGTCAGGAGTTCGAGACCAGCCTGGCCAACAGGTGAAACCCCATCTCTACTAAAAATACAAAAACTAGCTGAGCGTGGTGGAGCGCGCCCAGCTACTCGGGAGGCTGAGGCAGGAGAATCGCTTGAACCCCAGAGGCAGAGGTTGCAATGAGCCGAGATGGCGCCACTGCACTCCAGCCTGAGCGACAGAGTGAGACTCTGTCTCAAAAAAAGTAAAAAAAGTGGAAAGTTAGTCAAAGATGGGAAACAGAAACTGTAGGACAGACAGAAATTAACAAGAGGAAGAAAACAACTCTAAAGATATCAAGAATCACGAGAAACATAAATGAACTGTGACAGTTTAAAATCATATGGTTTTTTAAAACTCTAGTTAAATGCTGTTACAAAAAAACACTACCTAAAATATAAGTACCAAATAGGTTAAAATGAAATGAATAGGGAAAAAAATATGCCAAGTGGACACAAAACAAAAGGAAGCTGGGATAGTTAGGTTAACGTCACACCAAACGGGTTTTGTTGTTGTTGTTGTATTTTTTTTTTATTTTTTATTTTTGAGATAGAGTCTCCCTCTGTCACCCAGGCTGGAGTGCAGTGGCGTGATCTCAGCTCACTGCAACCTCCACCTCCCAAGTTCAAGCAATCCTCCTGCCTCAGCCTCCCGAGTAGCTGAGACTACAGGCACATGCCACCACACCCAGCTAATTTTTGTATTTTTAGTGAGATGTGGTTTCACCATGTTGGCCAGGATGGTCTCGATCTCCCGACCTCGTGATCCACCCACCTCAGTCTCCCACAGTGCTGGGATTACAGGCGTGAGCCACCGCACCTGGCCACCAAATGGGTCTTTTAATGATTTTTAAAATTAAGGTATAATTTACATAGAGTAAAATTTACCCTTTCTAAGGGTACAATTTGGCAAGTTTTACCAAATGTTTATAGTGGTGTTACCATCACCACAACTGAGACATAGAACATTCCCATTGCTCCCAAAATTTCCTTGTGCCCCTTTGCAGTCAATCCCTCCTCCAATGCCCCCACATCTTCAGATTGGATTTCTGTCCCTAGAATTTTGCCTTTTCCAGGATGTTATATAAATGGAATCATATAGAACATAAGCTTCTATGTCTGGCTTCTTAAGCTTAGCCTAATACTTTTAAGAGTCATTCACGTTGTTAAGTTACTTTTTATTTGTCAGACCAAATAAATATACATCTTTTTTAGAGATGGGAGTCTTGTTATGCTGCCCAGGCTAGACTCGAACTCCTGGACTCAAGCAATCCTCCCAGCTCAGCCTCCCCAGTGGCTGGGACTATAGGCACATACCACTGTGCCTGGCTTCAGACCAAATAAATTTTAAGAGAAAAAGCACTAAAAACAAGAATAACAAGATAAGGCCAAAACGTTCTATTCATCCATAAGACATATGTCAAATTGTACTCTAGATCCAATGAAATAACCTCGAAATACATAAAGCAGAAATTCATCAGAATGATCTGGCACCACCCTTTACCAGTGTCATCTCTTCCTATGACTCCACTTCCCCTTCCTCTCCAGTGGGACTGGCCTCTCCACTGTTCCTTCAACTCCAAAGGCACATTCCTAACTTAAGGCCTTTCCAACAGCCATTCTTCTGCCCAAACTCTCTTTCCCCAGATATCCTCATGGTTACATTCCTTGCCTCCTTCAAATCTTTGCTTAAAAGTCACCTTCTCAACAACACCTCTCTTGACTGCCCTATTTAATACTGCAACCGGCTCTTATATGATACATTTATACATATTTTTCGCATGAATCAAACTCATTTTTTAAGTAATAAAAATCAATAAAACCAAGGGAAAAAAGGAACACTCTGGGATTCTGCATTATTATAGAAACCAAGGCACAAAATGTTTCTAGAGAGGACTAGTCCATGATGTTAAACTGGCAGACAGGTCAGGGGGGCTTTGGTGACTGTCATTGCAGCAGAATGATAGAGGCAGAGGGCAGACTGAAGTGAACTAAAAAATACTTAAGAAATAAGGATGGCAGACCCCAAGAATATTGAGACAAATACCTCCACTATATTTTCAATAAGTTAAGGGTGAAGAAAAACTTCATGAAACCCAGTACATGTGAAGCAGAATATAAATTCTAGATTTTAGTTCTGTTACTATTTTTATCTAAAACAAAATGAAAAGCCGGCTGGGGCTCAGCGGCTCATGCCTGTAATCCCAGCACTTTGGAAGGCCAAGGCTGGTGGATCGCTTGAGTTCAGAGTTCAAGACCAGCCTGGGGAGACCTTATCTCTACAAAAAATTTTAAAAATTAGCCTACTGTGGTGGTGCACACCTGTAGTCCCAGCTATTTGGGAGGCTGAGGCAAGAGGATCACTTGAGCCTTGGAGGTTGAGGCTGCAGTGGGCCTTGATTGCACCACTGTACTCTAGCCTGGATGACAGAACAAGACCCTGTCTCAAAATTTTAAAAAACAAAAAAGAGGCTAGGCGCGGTGGCCCACACTTGTAATCCCAGCACTTTGGGAGGCCAAGGCAGGTGGATCACCTGAGGTCAGGAGTTCGAGACCAGCATGACCAACTTGGCGAAACCTCGCCTCTACTAAAAATACAAAAATTATCCAGGCGTGGTGGCAGGTGCCTGTAGTCACAGCTACTCAGGAGGCTGAGGCATGAGAACTGCTTGAACCCAGAAGGCAGAGTTTGCAGTGAGCCAAGATCGTGCCACTGCACTCCAGCCTGGGCGACAGAGCAAGATTCCATCTCAAAAATAAATAAACTTAAAAAAAAAAAGAAAAGCCTACATACAGAATTGATTCAACGTTTGAAAGGAGTCATTCTATTTAGGCTATTTAAATGCCACCAGAAAGGCAGTCACTAAACCAAACCCCAAATCACCACCTCCACAGACCTTGGCACTTTAAAAGGAGCCATCCAGTTCCAACAGAATCCGAAAGGAAAAGTCGAACCTCATCTCACCAAACCACAGCCACAAACACCATGGCTGAAGCACCCCTCTTTCCTCGCCATCCACATCTGTCTAAAGCATTTGCAGCCAGTTCTGTTCTGGTCTTCCATCAGCACATGGTCAAGCTACCAAGCTCTCAAGACTAGAAAGTCATTTCTCCAACACCCATACTCTTTTTATTGGCTTCTCTCTAAACTTGTCCCCTTTCGATCACAATTTTCTAGGACCAAGAAGTAGTAGAATCCAGATACAGATCTGGTTCAAGTAGAACTAGCACTCACGTGCCCTGAATTGTGCCCTTATTGTGGCCCTGTGGTTCACTGTCAGGAATACGATGTTTCTCTCTGTGTCTCTTCAGTTAGGTTCTCATTCCTCCTCCTATGGGTGCACTTTCAGAGAAATGACTCTGCCCCAGAGCCAGGCAGTACCAATGTTCCATAAACCCTGCTGAACACCAAAGCCGACCACCATGGGAGATGTGGTTTTAAAGTGACATCTTCATTAGCTCCCCGCCTCTTGCGTCTCTTGTCTCCATGAATGACAGCACAGTAGAGGAATCTGGGAGTACCCCCCTCCCTCCTTACCCTTCACCTTGTCTCATTAGCCAGCCATGCAGTCCTGCTTAATTACACCTCCTAGGTATTTCTCTTGTCTCCTCTCTATTCGCTACTGCCCAAGGCTAGTCATCAATTGTAACCTCACCAGTTCCTGCAACAGTCCTCTTCGTCAGTCCCTGAGTCTGGTCTCAGCCCCACTGTATCAGACATTCCCACCCTCTTCTATCCCATATGCCCGCCCTGACGCACTGCAGGGCCTAGAAGACTTCCAGACCCTCCTGCAGATAGGCTCTGGGTGTGATTTAGGTTGCACCAATGAGAAGTTCTTGCAGAAAGGTTGGAAAGCAGAAGGAAGGCAGAAGCCATTTGTCCTGTGGTGGTGGTGACTGGCAGGGGCTCCAGCAGACACCATGCCTCATCGCCTGCACACCCACTTCAAATACATAAAGCGGTTGCAAGGGCACAGTAGTTTCTTGGCATGTGAACTGGAGCTGCAAGCCTGTGAGCCTGTAACCAAAGACCTCAGGGAGACCCCTCACTCCTATTGCATCAGCCCATCCAGTGACTTTTATAAGCATCTAATTCCCCATATTAAATCCTTTTCTGCTCAAAATACCTAGAGTGTTTTCTGTTTCCTGCAATGAACCCCAACTGATATAGCTCCGAATTCATCCATTAGACTACTTTCCTGAATAATTTACCGCAGAAATAGCCTTACCATTGCCTTGCTCAAAATCCACTGGTTCCCTGTCTCCAAAGAATAAAATCTACAGTCCTCAGTAAAACACAAAAGACCCTTTGTGAACTGCTCTTGCCTTCAAACCATCTCCTACAGCCAGGGACTGGCAAACTTTCTGCAAAGAGCCAAATCGTAAATCTTTTAGGTTTTGCTGACCATAAGATCTCTGTTCTAACTACTTAACATACCATCGTAGCATGAAAGTAGCCACAGACAATATGAAAATAAATGAGTATGGCCATATAAAAATAAAACTGTATTTCCAAAAACAGGTGGTAAAGAGAATGAGAAGACAAGCCGCAGACTGGGAGAAAATATTGGCAAAACATATATCTGATAAAGAACTGCTATCCAAAATATACAAAAAATGCTTAAAACTCAACAATAAGAACATGAACAACCAGATTTTTAAAATGGGCAAAGGACCTGAACAGACACCCTGCCAAAGAAGATATACAGATGGAATATAAGCATATGAAAAGACTCTCCATATCATAGGCCGGGCAAGGCAGCTCATGCCTGTAATCCCAGCACTTTGGGAGGCCGAGGTGGGCGGATCACCTGAGGTCAGGAGTTCGAGACCAACCTGGCCAACATGGTGAAACCCAGTTTCTACTTAAAATACAAAAAAATTAGCTGGGCGTGGTGGCAGGTGCCACCCAGCTACTCAGGAGGCTGAGGCAGGAGAATCACTTGAACCTAGGAGGTGGAGGGTGCAGTAAGCCGAGATCACACCATTGCACTCCAGCCTGGACAACAGAGTGAGGCTCTTTCTCAAAAAAAAAAAGAGACTCTCCACATCATATATCATCCAGGAAATGCAAATTAAAGTGAGATATCACTAGATACCCATTAGAATAGCCAAAATCCAGAAAATGGACTACATCAAACCTGGTGAAGATGTGGAGCAACAGGAACTCTCACTCACTGCTGGTGGCAATGCAAACTGGTGCAGCCGTTTTGGAAAACAGTTTAGCAGTTTCTTACAAAACTAAGCATACTTTTACCATATGACCCAGCAATCATGTTCCTTTGTATTTACCCAAGCAAGTTAAAAACTTTGTTTTGTTTTGTTTTGTTTTGTTTTAGCTGGAATCTCGCTGCTCTGTCGCCAGGCTGGAGTGCAGTGGCGTGATCTCAGCTCACTGCAAACTCCACCCCCCAGATTTAAGCTATTCTCCTGCCTCAGCCTCCCGAGTAGCTGGGACTCCAGGAGCGCACTACCACGCCCAGCTAATTTTTTTTTGTATTTTTACTAGAGATGGGGTTTCACTATGTTGGCCAGGATGGTCTGGATCTCTTGACCTTGCGATATGCCTGCCTCGGCCTCCCACAGTGCTAGGATTACAGGCATGAGCCACCGTTCCCGACCGAGTTGAAAACTTTTATCTGCACAGAAACCTGCACACTAATGTTTATGGCAGCTTTATTATTCATCATTGCCAAAACTTGGAAGCAACCAGTAAATGAATGAATAAACTGTGGAGGAGGAATGTAAAAGTGAATGGATAAACTGTGGTACATGCAGACAATGAAATATTATTCAGTACCCAAAATATCAAGCCATGAGAAGACGTGAAAGAAACGTAAATCCCAATTACTAAGTGAAAGAAGCCAATCTGACAAGGCTATATACTCTATGATCCAGCTATACGACATTCTGGAAATGGCAAAACTATGCAGACAATAAAATATCAGTGGTTACAATGGGCTGGGGACGGGAGGGAGAGATGAATAGATGAAGCACAGGGCAGTGAAACTACTCTGTATGACAGAGTAATGGTGGATACATGTGAGGGCCAAGGCACGTGGATCACTTGAGTCCAGGAGTTCAAGACCAGCCTGGCCAACATGGGGAAACCTCATCTCTACTAAAAATACAAAAAAAAAAAATTAGCTGGGCATGGTGGTGAATGCTTGTAATCCCAGCTACTCAGGAGGCTGAGGCATGAGACTCACTTGAACCTGGGAGGCAGAGGTTGCAGTAAGCTGAGATTGAGCCACTGCACTCCAGCCAGTGGAATGACAGAGCGAGACTCTGTCCAAAAAAAAAAAAAAAAAATTAAAGAGTGAAACCTAATATACATTTTGGACTTTGAGTGACAATGATGTGTCAATGCAGGCTCATCATTCTAACAAATGTACCACTCTGGTGGGGGATGTTGATAGTGGGGAAGAGAGTATATATGTTTGGGGGAACCTAAAAGTGCTCTAAAAAAAACACGGCAGATTTCACCCAGCAAAAACAAACAAACAAACAAGAACACCAACAAAAAAGCAGATGGCAGGCTGGATTCAGCCTGCAAACCCTAGTTTGCTACGCTATCATCCCTAATATCTTACATGTCAACATTTCTAAATGACTTTTATTTCCTCAAATACATCAAGTTCTCTTACTCCTCCTTGCCTTCACTCATGCTGTACCCTCTGCCTGCAGTGACATCCCTGAACCCCACTTCGTCGGTCTGGCAAACTCCTTCAAAATACTGCTCAAATGTGGGAGGTCTTCCCCAAATCTCCCAGGCATATCTAGGTAATGTCCCACTACATTCCTCTTGCATGTGTACATACCATCACCATGGATCCATCACACTAGACTCTAACTCATCCATGCATCTGTCTCCTACTAGAGACACTCCCTGATGTCAGGGACCCTGACTTTTCATCATTTTTTTTTTTTTTTTGAGATGGAGTCTCAGTCTGTTGCCCAGGCTGGAGTGCAGTGGTGTGATCTCGGCTCACTGCAAGCTCCACCTCCTGGGTTCACACCATTCTCCTGCCTCAGCCTCCCGAGTAGCTGGGACTACAGGCGCACACCACCACGCCCGGCTAATTTTTTTGTATTTTTAGTAGGGACGGGGTTTCACCGTGTTAGCCAGGATGGTCTCAATCTCCTGACCTCATGATCTGCCCACCTTGGCCTCCCAAAGTGCTGGGATTACAGGCGTGAGCCACTGCGCCCGGCCGACTTTTCATCTTTTAATCACCACGACAGCTCAGAGCCTGGCATTCATGTATATCAAGTGAATATTGCCTTCAACGGCAGAGATTTGCCTTCCTTCCTCCTAGTTTATAACCAGCTTTCTGGCGCATGCCACATCTGGCATTATAAACATCTCTCTAGGCTCATACAGAGTAAATGCCAAATAAATATCTATGCAATAAATAAATGTATAATAAGGTACCATGTATCATTTTAATTGATGCAAAATAAACCAATGTATAAATGAGTGTGTAATTAATCTCCATGATTTTTTTTTTAAGAGACAGGGTCTCCCTATGTTGTCCAGGCTGGAGTGCAGTGGCACGATCATAACTCACTGCAGCCTCAAACTCCTGGCCTCAAGCGATCCTTCTGCCTCAGCCTCCCAAAGAGCTGGGACTCAGGCATACAGCCACCATGCCCAGCCATGATTACTTTTCAACGTCTGGCTTGGAGAATGCAGTGGGACCCTTGACCACTGTCTCAATCCTATTCCATATTTACCAACTGCTCAGAAGAAAGCCCTGCCTACAAGCAGGGACTTTGAGCAGGGACTATGTCTTAATTATAACTGAATGAATGAATGAATGAATGAATGAATGAATAAATAAATAAATAAATAACACTTATTCCATTGTCTTCCCCAGCAACAGAAATGAGGCAATACCCAGATTTTAAGCATAAGCTACTGCATGGGAGGACTTTCCTGCTGACAGGGCAACATCTCTAAATAACTGCAGTTCCCAATCAAGCAGCCTTTAGTCACCTCAGTGGAAGGAGGGGTGGCAACCGCCAGCCAACAATGACTGTGAGAATGGCCTAGTGCCCAAGGCTCAGCTCCTATCCACCCTCCACCCCTCCTCCCTGCTAGCTCTGCTTCCCAATTCTCCCCCGGCCCTCCCAGGACTTCCTGAAGTGTTCACAGTGGACTCACACCCGCCTGAGTTTATTTTTCTTTCCTTTCTGGGATAGGCTGTCTGCAGACACAGTTGATGATCTATTTAGAGCTCACCGGAGACGGTTAGGCTTTATAAGTCTCCGAGATTACAGATCTTTTAAATCTTCAGAGGCCGTTAATGCCAAGGCAAGGGAGCCAATAAATCTGATATGTTTTCATCAAAGCAGGACAAAAAAAGAAGAGTAAAGGAGTGAGAAAGAAAACTATCTAAGAGGCTCTGAAACTTTTCCATGTAAAAAAATCACTGGGAAAGACATCTTAAAATGCAGATTGTGACCAACACTGGCCACTACTGACAGCTGATGAGGGCCACAGGCAAATCCAAGGTCCCCAGGCCTACATGCACACACAAACACACACATACACACTCTCTCATGTGCGTTCACATGCATTCTTAAACAAAATAGCTTAAATACATATACACATAAGAAAGGAAAATAAATTGTTGAAGGCTCTATATATAGCTTCTTTTTTTTTTTTTTTTTTTTTTTTAGCAACAGCATCTAGCTCTGTTGCCCAGGCTGGATTGCAGGGTCTCCATCTTGGCTCACTATAGCCTCAAATTCCTGGGCTCAAGCAATCCTCCCAACTCAGCCTCCCAAAGTGCTGGGATTACAGGCATGAGCCACTGCACCTAGCTATTGACACTTCGCTTCTTGTTTGTTTGTTTTTTTTTTTTGAGATGGAGCTTTGCTCTTGTTGACCAGGCTGGAGTGCAATGGCACGATCTGGGCTCACCACAACCTCCACTTCCCAGATTCAAGTGATTCTCCTGCCTCAGCTCCCCACGTAGCCGGGATTACAGGCATGCGCCACCACGCCTGGCTAACTTTGTATTTTTAGAAGAGATGGGGTTTCTCCATGTTGGTCAGGCTGGTCTTGAACTTCCGACCTCAGGTGATCCACTCACCTCAGCCTCCCAAAGCGCTGGGATTACACCCAGCCTGCACGCTGAGCCACTGCGCCCAGCTGACAGCTTCTTAACTAAGATCCCTTATGTTAATCCCTATTAATGAAAAATTTTATGAATCAAAAAGCAAATTAAATGCATTCTTCTCATTTTGTTGTTGTTGTTCCATTTCCCTGTATGACTATGGAAATTTTACTGAGATTCTAGACAGAGGAGCCAGTTATTCAAGCCAGAGGAAGTCGTGAGGTGCTAGGAGGAGCAGCTCCACTCACAGACAGTCCTGTGGGCTTCATTCCAACTTGACTCCCTGCTATGGTTTGGATGCAGTTTGTCCCCACCAAAATTCATGTTGAAATTTGATTCCCAATGTGGCAGAGTTGGGAGGTGAGACCTAGTGGGAGGTGTTTAGGTCATGGGGGTGGATCCCTCATGAATAAATTAATGTCCTCTCATGGGGGTGAGTGAGTTCTCTCTGTTGGGAACCTGCAAGAATGGGTTATTAAAAAGAGCCTGGCCAGGCGCGGTGGCTCACAGCTGTAATCCCAGCACTTTAGGAGGCCGAGGCGGGCAGATCACCTGAGGTCGGGAGTTCGAGACCAGCCTGACCAACATGGAGAAACCCCATCTCTACTAAAAATACAAAATTAGTCAGGCATGGTGGCGCATGCCTGTAATCCCAGCTACTCAGGGGCTGAGGCAGGAGAATAGCTTGAACCTGGGAGAGAGAAGTTGCAGTGAGCTGAGTTTGCACCATTGCAGTCCACCCTGGGCAACAAGAGTGAAACTCCATCTCAAAAAAATTAAAAAAAAAAAAAATAAGAAAAATAAATAAAAAGGCAGGGCATGGTGGCTCATGCCTGTAATCCCAGCACTTTGGGAGGCCAAGGTGCGTGGATCGCCTGAAGTCAGGAGTTTGAGACCAGCCTGACCAATATGGTGAAACCCCGTCTCTACTAAAAATGCAAAAATTAGTCGGGCATGGTGGCATGTGCCTGTAGTCCCAGCTACTCTGGAGGATGAGACAGGAGAATTGCTTGAACCTGGGAGGCAGAGTTTATAGTGAGCCGAGATCGTGGCACTGCACTCCAGCCTGGGCGACAGAGCAAGACTCCATCTCAAATTTAAAAATAAATAAATAAATAATAAAAAGAGCCTGGCAGCAGGTGTAGGGCCTGGCACACACCTGTAGTCCCAGCTACTTGGGAGGCTAAAGCAAGAGGATCCCTGGAGCCCAGGATTTTGAGGCTGCAGTGAGCTGTGGGTGAGCCACTGCACTCTAGCCAGGGTGACAGAGCAAGACTCTAAATATATATTTCGTTTAAAGAAGAATAAAATAATGAACACTTGGGAGCCACCACCCAGGCAAAGAAACAACATGACCAGTATCTTAGAAACTTTCTCTGTACTCTTTTCTCATTACACCTGTCTGCCTCCTCCCAAGATAACCTCCTGAATTCAGGATTCATTATTCCCATTCTTTTTTCTTTTTTTTTTTTTCTTGAGACAGAGTCTCACTCCATCACTCAGCTGGAGTGCAGTGGCGCAATCTCGGCTCACTGCAACCTCCACCTCGGGGGTTCAAGTGATTCTCCTACCTCAGCCTCCCGAATAGCAGGGATTACAGGTGCACGCCACCATGCCAAGCTAATTTTTATATTTTTAGTAGAGAAGAAGTTTCGCCATGTTGGCCAGGCTGGTCTTGAACTCCTGACCTCAAGTGATCCATCCGCCTCGACCTCCCCAAAATGCTGGGATTACAGGCGTGAGCCACCACACCCAGCCCCATCCATTTTTTATAGTTTTACTGCCTCTGAAGGTATCCATACAACATGTATTGTTTGGCTTTGCATTTTTCAACTTTCTACGTATGACATCCTACTATGGTACTGTTTTCTATGACCTGCTTCTCTTGTTCAACATTATGTTTCTAAGATTCCACCATATGGATATAACCATTTTTCACCCATTTTTACTGTGAGACAGTATTCCATTATAAGAGTGTATGACAATTTATGATATAACTCTTTCTTTACATAATCAGACCTCTGATTCCATATTAACACAGTCTGTGGGCAAACAAATGTATGCCGCATGAATTGCTGGTGGCAGTCCCATGCTGGCTTCCATGTGCCAGACCAGATAAGTATTCTTTTTTTTTTTTTTTTTTTTTGAGATGGAGTCTGGCTCTGTCACCCAGGCTGGAGTGCAGTGGCTAGATCTCAGCTCACTGCAACCTCCGCCTCCCAGGTTCAGGCAATTCTCCTGCCTCAGCCTTCTGAGTAGCTGGGATTATAGGCACACACCACCATGCCTGGCTAATTTTTGTACTTTTAGTAGAGACAGGGTTTCACCATGTTGGCCAGCCTGGTCTCAAACTCCTGACCTCAAGTGATCTGCCCGCCTCAGCCTCCCAAAGTGCTGGGATTACAGGCATGAGCCACCACGCCCAGGCTTCATCTGATTATTCTTGAAGAAGAGGCAAGATCCCACTAAGAAATGGAGCTGTGAGACCTTGCTTAGCAAGCAAGTGGTGCTCTGCGGGATGAGCTTGGACGAATGAACCCCTCAGATAAAACCCTTTCACAGTTCCAGTTCTACAGCTTTACCAAGCAGAGGAAAGAAGGAGAGGAAAGGGTTGCTTTGACATCGCAGTCTTCACCTTCATGGGCAGGTCAGAGCACCTTTGTTTGATCACAGTGAATAGCACCCAAGTCCAAGAAAAACCTACCCTTCAGACAGCAAAAGCTAAATATTTAGTCTGGGAGACAGCAGGCAGAAGCCCATCATTCTCTCTGCCCCCAGAAAGCAAGGACAGCAAAGGACTGCCCTTGATCCCAAAGGTCTGATTCATCACCTCCCAACTACAGTCCTTGATGTAAACGCACCGGTAATGCCTCACTTCCCAGGCTTAGCAGGGAAGGGGGGTAGGCATGCACAAACGAGTCTCCAGATACAAAGAAAACCCACTGCCACTTCCACCGAGTGCTCCCGTTGTGTAAGGCCCTCTGACTGACATGCCTCATCTCAGTTCATTCCCACAATAACCCTGTGAGACAGGTGATACCCCCACTTTACACCTGAAAAAAACTGGGGATCCGAGAGGTTTTGTGACTTATCCAAAATCATATAGCAAGTAAATGACAGGCCAGGATTCGATCTGCATCTCCTGATTCCAAAGCCCTACACCTTTATCCAATAGACTCCTTGGCCACCGCCTACAGTCATAAGCATGTGTGCACAGTGACCTTCATACCTGCAACAGCAAAGTGGAAAGGGGGCTTTTAAGGAGGCAAAGAGACAGCCTTTGGATAATATTTGCAAAAATATTTCCTGCTGAATGGCAACAGGTTCCATGTGAGTGCAGAATGAATAGTTACTTAGATGGCAGAGGCCAGGGAAAACTCAGATGCTACACGTAGTAAAAGCCTGCAGCAGCTAACAGACTGCAGAGGACTCCGATAAGGCTTACACTATCGGAAGGTACCTTGCTCACCAGTAACTAACTAGCACTGAATGTCTACCACGTGTGATGGGCCAAAATGCATCCGATTTCCTGTTGCAGCCTGGCTGCTGCAACACCGATGACCTGGTGTCATTCTCAACACCAATGACAACAAACGAGGTTTAACAGGATCTCTGAATTTCAAGGTCGATCAACTAGAGGAATTCAGAGACCAGTAAATAGGTCAAGAATTTAGATCCAAACTTGTTAATAGCTGAATCTGACTTTGAGCCCCAAATTAAGTTATATGGGTGTGTTTGAGACAAACTTTCCAACTCAGCTAAAAGACTAAGATGTAGTTACTAGCACCAAAGCTGAGAAGGCATCACTCTCTAAAGAGTGAAATACTCAAGTATTCCTTCCTCTCTAAAAGAGTGAAATGCTCAAGTATTCCTCGCCCACCGCTGTTCTAGCTTAAGAAATTGTTTCCTCCAGTTCCAGGTGCCCATCATGGCTTTGTTGACACAAGATTTGCCAGTTACACTGTCATTCATCACCCCGTGAGACCCAACTATTGTAAGTCACCTACCGAGACACGGAAAACATGACTGGTCTTTGGGAGTGAGGCAACGCCTTTACAGTGACTTGGAGAAAAGAGAATGGGGAAATGGCATCTCTGCTTCTAATAAAGGTACGGAAAAAAGATCCAAACGTCCATCTTGTCTTGCTCCCGCCACTTGCCAGTCACCACAACCTCATAAGCCCACAAAACAACCAAATCTGGAGAAGCTGACAGCTGTCCTCAGAGGGATCTTTTAAGATGCTGCGGGTATTGGCTAAAATCATATTCCATTTTTCAAAGCATTATTCCCCCTCCCTAGGGTCTGTTTGGGAAGTTTTTTTGTTTTTTTGTTTTTTTTACAGACATAGTCTCACTCTGTTACCCAGTGCCCTGATGCTAGCTCAGTGCAGCCTCAAACTCTTGGGCTCAAGCAATCCTCCCACCTCAGCCTCCCAAGTAGCTGGGACTACAGGCACACACTACCATGCCCAGCTCATTTTTCTATCTTTTATAGAGACAGAGCCTCCCTAGGTTGCCCAGGCTGGTCTTGGAACTCCTGGCCTCAAGCGATCCTCCCACTTTGATCTTCCAAAAGAGCTGGAATTACAGGCATGAGCCACTGTGCCTGGCCTCGTTTGGGAAGATTTTACTGCCAGTTACTCACCTACTTTCCGCAAGTGATAAAGATTTACAAACTACATTCGTAGTTTGTACATTTAAGATTATTTTCCTCAAAATGTCCTCTAAATATCTGGGGATTTTGCACATTGCAATAAACAATAAACAAAGGTGCCAACCCTCTCCCCTCATCTCTTTATACTTAGAACTATTTTCCTGCCTAGACGTTCAGTTGCCATGGAAATGAGTTTGCACCACTAACACAGGTATAAAATGGGAATTTCAGTAAATAACATTACGTCATTTGTAATACGTATAACAAGTATAATATTTGGACTCTAAGCGTAGGAGGTCTTAACCAACATTACAAGGGAACCATGGGCCACCCCCAAAGCAGAATGCATGACAGA
The DNA here is from genome assembly GCF_000001405.40 of Homo sapiens. Lineage (NCBI taxonomy): Eukaryota > Metazoa > Chordata > Mammalia > Primates > Hominidae > Homo > Homo sapiens. The sequence goes on along the minus strand of NC_000016.10, from coordinate 69,843,187 downwards.
AAATTGCACAAAGAACCATTGCTCTAAGCATTTCTATGTGTATCCTGGAAGAATAACTGTGGCTGCAGCCCCGGACATACAAAAAAGCAGTCAAGTTTCCTGTTCAACAGTTCCTTTTATCCAATAACCTACTTAGCCAGTCCCAATCTTCATCAAGGAGCCTCTGACCCTTCTAAGAATCCTGAATTCTTTCACAACCATAAAAAAGAATAAAAAATAAGTCAGATACAGTGGCTTATGGCTGTAATCCCAACAGTTTGGGAGGCCAGGACAGGAGAATCGGTTGAGTCCAGGAGTTCGAGACCAGCCTGGGCAACATGGTAAAACCCTATCTCTACAAAAATAAAAAAATTAGCCAGGCATGGTGGCACATGCCTGCTGTCTCAGCTACTCAGGATGCTGAGGTGGGTGGATTGCTTGAGCCCAGGAGGTCAAGGCTGCTATGAGCTGTGATGGTGCCATAGCACTCCAGCGTAGGCAACAAAGCAAGACCCCATATCAAAAAACAAAACAAAAGAATGAAATCATGTCCTTTGCAGGGACATGAATATAGCCGGAGAGTGGAGGCCATTATCCTAAGCAAATCAATGCAGAAACAGAAAACCAAATACCATATGTTCTCATTTATAAGTGGGAGCTAAACATTGAGTACACATGAACACAAAGATAGAAATAATAAACACTGGGGACTCCAAAAACAAGGAGGGAGAGGAGCAAGAATTGAAAAACTACCAATCAGGTACTATGTTCACTATCTGGGCAATAGGATCATTAGAAGCCCAAACTTCAACATCATGCAATATACCCATGTAACAAACCTGTACATGTACCCCCTGAATCTAAAATAAAAACAAAAATTAAAAATCCAAATTCAATTAAAAAAAAAATAAATAAGGATCCTAAGCTCTGGACTCCTCTATTAGCTTTCTTAACTACTGAGTCAGTTACAAGATCTCTGGAAATCTCCAACAGTTTCTACCATAAAATGTTCCCCGCCATGTCCCAACATGTTTTCAATAGCTCTAAGCAACTTCTTAGCTCTTTGTCCTCACCAAGGGGGGTCTTACCGGGATCTTCCACCAAAGCAGTTTGTGCTGGGGGGCTGGTGCCGGTTCTCTGGAGCTACTGCTGTTCCACTGGAGTCTCTCGAAGGCAGCTGTGATCCTAGAAAGGAATCAATCACAAGAAAAGACAGAAGCATTGAGGAGCTCAACTCGTGTTTGAGATTTGACGGCCAGGAACAGAACTCCGTCTGTGTGTTAGAGTTGCCCACCACCACGGGATATGGACATCCGGCAAGCTGCAGCCACCAGGAGAAGAGGAACAGGGACGATCATATGGATCCGATCCATGCCATGGAGCAGTGGGGCTCAAACCTTGGAAACAGCTTCTCTTCTCCAAGACATTGAAGAACATCCAAGGCACTTACAAGCACATTGCCTTATCCATTAAATGAATCTGAGCCTCAAAAACGTGAGATAGAGAACAAAACCCTAACCATGCAAAGTAGGGGCCAGAAATCGGGGGCATTTCTCCATAATACACCCAGAGAGCTTTTACAAAGCCAAATCAGATCATCATAGTCTTCTGCGAGAAACCCTTCAATAGCTGTTTCTCAAGATGAGGTCCAAAATCCCTACCAAATGTTTCAAGGCTGCGTGATCTGAGTTGACCTGTTTCTCTGATCTCACCTCCTCCATTCTCTCTCCTTCTTGCTCCTAATAATCCAACCACGCTGACTGCCTCTGTTCCCACCACAGGCCAAGCCACCCCTTTACCCCACACTCCCACCTTGGCCTGTCTAAACTCCTCATCCTCCAAGTCTCAGCTTCCTCAGAGAAACCTTCCCTGACCCCGCAACTTAGATGAGATCTCCCCCAACAAAGTACAGGAATCTCATAGCACCCTGTGGTTTTCACTGATAGCTTTTGTTACAATCACAGCTATGTAATTATCTGTGTGTTTACTCATTTGATATCTAACTTCCCCTGCCCTCATCAAGGAGACTGTAAACCTGAAGCAGTGGAGACCATGTGAATTTGGCCCACTGCCATCTGGCTAGGGCCTGGTCTAAGACCTAGTGCATACCAGAATACAATTACATATATATGTGTTGAATGAGTGAATGACACATGTTTTTCTCCAAGCACCAAAGCACCCCAAACACCGATCAGTCCAGTTAAGGGATTTTTCTCCACAGTCAAGGCCCATCCGGCCACTGAGATTCCAACCAACTGCCCTTGAATTGCAATTCAAATTGCACCCCTTTGAAGCTACAGAAATCCTGCTTGGTGTCTGGAAAGTGCCATGGTTACATCACATCTAACAAAACATTTAATGAGAAAAATTATGGAGAAACCCAACCCATTTCAGACCTCGGACTTCATGAAATAATTTCCTGCTAGATCCAAAGGTGACTAATTTCAGACTAGATCAAAAGAAACAAACTACCAACATTCGGGACAGAGCAAGGGACACTCTCCAAATTCCCTGCTCTGTCTGTATTTTGCTAGTGTGTATCTCTAGAAGAACACAGCGTACCCTTCCCAACCAATGCCTCTCATAAAAACACCTTCAACCTCCCCAAAAAGTGTAACTGTATTGGGAAGGAAAATAATGGGCCAAAGTCACATTTGATAAAGATATTTCATTTTCCAAAGTCCACATGGGATGAAAGATGTTTTTCTCTGCTATCAAACCAAACAATTACATATTTACAAAGACTGGACATTTACTGTGACCCTTGAAAATTCATGTTGTGATACTGATCCACGGAGCTAAGAAGAGTCCGGGCTAGCTATGGGCCAGGCTGAGTGGGAATCAAACCAAGATGGCCTAGTAAGAACCAAGCTCTCAGCACCTCCTGGCCCCCGCCCAGCCCCACCCTGTCCCGGCACAGTCCTGAGGAGCAGGGCGGCACTCACCATCTGTCAGGGCACTGCCATTAGGCACATTTCCCAGATCAACAGTTGGCCCGTCCAGGAAAATTGTCAGCTCTCCGCCTGAGACAACGCTGCCTTTGTTCTCCGTCTGCAGGTTCAGGGTCAGCTGCATGTTCTCCACTGTGGGGTACAAAAGGCAACATGGATGGGCTAAAGAGAATGCACCCCAAGTTAAGATTCTCTAAATTAGAAGCTTTCATTTCACCTTTGCTGGCTTCTCTGGGAATGCTTTCTCCACATCTTCACATTTTGCCTCGTGGCATGGAAAAAAGAGTGGGAAGGAATATGTCTAATGAAATCACTGTTGTATCAGGCTGGAGGGGAAGCTGCACTCTTTCTAAACATTTCATATCACTGGGTCAGCACCATAATTTCCACATTACTGATGTATTAGTTTGTTTATACTTGCAGGACTGTGAGAAAAGCATAGGGATATTGATGGCGTACAGACGAAGAAATTAGTTGCAAGTAATATCCCCCTGCCCATAGAAACCGAGGAGACCCTAAGGAACTGTCAACAGGAGGCATCTCCATCTAGATGAGGGATTGCAGGGGCTTATTCTTTTCTTATTTGTGTTAAAACATGATGTTGTTTTTTAAAATTTTCAATCCTGAAAATGTATTGTCTTGAAATAAGGAAAAAAAAGTTAAAACAATGAAACTTCAATACAGGCTAATCAGCCCCATCAGTGACTTAAGGAGAGAGAATTGAGAAGTGGCCCAGAGCACCCCGTCCCCAAGGATACCAGGCAGATTCAGTCCTGTGGGTGACTGTAGCAGAAAAACAGAACAAGCTGACTGGAGGCAGAAGCACCAAGCCCTAGGCAGGCTAGAAACTGCTGCATACACACCCTCCACCCTGCTACTGAACTTGGCTGTGCTGAATAGCTTCTGTCTAGTTAAGTGTTTAGTCCACACTGAATATTTCAGTTCCCTTCAGTTCAGTCCAGCCAGGAGCTATGGCCTTCAGTTCAGGGCCGTTTAATAATTACCAAGAGGGAATCAGCCTTTATGAGGATTTCCACGGGGTCCGTCCACTCCACACCTTACAAAACCACATATCTGAACCTCCCTCCCCACCCGCCCCACCCAATCCAACACTTTGTTTTATTTCTTAGTTGCTACTGCATGATTATAAGCTATCTTACCTGTCTTCTAGAACAAGGTATAGTATATATAAATGTCTCCATAAGCACACTAAGGTAAATTTCAGCACTTTCTAGAGATAACCCCCCTTCCCCCACCCCCCCAAAAAAGACTGCTCTAAATCCCTCTACAGATACAACCCTTTAAGAACTTAGCAGAAAATTCTGGATCAAGTCAAAGATCTATTATAATAAGATAGAAACCAGTTACCCTTTGGGTTTTCAAGCTCTCCTAAGCGCTCTACCTTCCCTTAATCTCTCTTCCCTGCCATGGATCTCTCCAATTCTTTTCTGAGTGAGTCTGCTGCTATTTTCAGCCAGTTCCACTGAGGGCCTTGGTGAGTACTAAACGTTTCTATAAAATAACACTTGTAGTTTCCAAAGGAAACGAGTTCCTTCAAAAGCCAAGGAGTATGGGAAGGAACTGAGGCCTTTCAACCCCCAGCCACCTCTTGCCATCCCTGGGAGTGGCCACTTGGGAAGCAGCTGCTCCAGCCCCAGCAGAGCCTAACCCTACAGCTTAGTCCACATCCTGAATGCAGCCTCGGGAGAGATCCCTGGCCAGGCTGCCCAGCTAAGCTGCTGCCAAATCTAGCCCCCTGAAACTATGCAATCGTAAGTGTTGATTATTGTGGGCTTTTTTTTTTTTTTTTTTAAGTCAAGGAGGGTCTCCCTCCTCTATTACGCCAAGATCCAGTACCTAAGTCTCTGGCAATAGGGTTTTTAAGCACGTGGATTAAGAGGGGGTGTGGTCAGGCACTCCGAGTTTAATTCACAGTTCTAGTCCCTGAGAGCTGTGCACCGTGAAGCAAACTACCTAACCTGAGCATCAGTCTCCCTACCTGCAAAACAGGGGTAATCATGGCACCTTTTTCAGAGGACTCTTGCAAAGAAGTAAATGGCACCTACCGAGTTCCTAATAAGCTGTCATTTTTATCATCTCCCTGTTGACTTCCTGTGTTTAGGAAGAGTCCTAATTCCTCTTGGTCTAACTTCTCATTCACTGTATTTGTTTTTTGTTTTGCTTTTTAATTTTTTTTTTATAGAGACATGGTTCACTATGTTGCCCAGGCTGGTCTCGAACTCCTGGCCTCAAGCAATCCTCCCACCTTGGCCTCCCAAAGTGCTGGGATTACAGGAGTGAGCCACCGCGCCCTAGCCTTCATTCATTTTATAGTCATTCTTCTCTTGATCCTTCTGATCCTTCTGAGACTTTTTTGGGCTGTGACCACAGAATCTTCCAAGGTAAGCCACAGACCCATCACGCAGACAAACTGTCCTTTCATCTTGTTTCCAGGTCATCTCCTAAAGGCGCCCAGCCTTCTGGCTCCAGGACACACACCGCTATTGGAAGCGTGCTGAGGGATGAGCATTCCGGAAGGCTCCTTGATTCCTGTCCTGATACCTCAAAGGTCATCGTTTCATAAATGGAGTGTTGGCACTTTTTTTTCCTCCTTCCTGGAGGACTGATAATGTTCAACAGGAGAGTGGAGGAACCCAAGGCCTCTTGTTGCTAATTTCTACCCCCGTGACAGTCACACTGCCATGGGCCTTGGACAGAAGGCAGAGAGATAGCCTGAATTTTCCTCTCCATGGTCTCATCTCAGGGATCCAAGTTAGCTCTTCTATCTGGTTTATCTACTCATTGTCTCCAGTGGAATCATTATATATTTGAAGGCTCAGAAGCCATCATACAACACCTTGAGACACATTTTGTCTTCAAAAAGAGCCAATGGGCTGGGTGCAGTGGCTCATGCCTGTAATCCCAGCACTTTGGGAGGCTGAGGTAGGAGGATCACCTGAGGCCAGGAGTTCAAGACAAGCATGAGTAACACAGTGAGACTCTGTCACTAAAAAAAATTAATTAAAAGCAGCCAGCCAGGCTCAGTGGCTCATGCCTGTAATCCCAGCACTTTGGGAGACCAAGGAGGATGGATTGCTTGAGTCCAGGAGTTCAAGACCAGCCTGGGCAACATGGTAAAACCCCATCTCTAATAAAAATGCCAAAAATTAGCTGGATATGGTAGTAGGCAACTGTAGTCCCAGATACTGAGGAGGCAGAGGTGGGAGAATCACCTGAGCCCGGGAGGTCGAGGCTGCAGTGAGCCAAGATCATGCCAGGGCACTCCAACCTAAGCAACCAAAATGAGACTGCGTCTCAAAAAAGTAAAATAGGACTGGGCATGGTGGCTCATGCCTGTAATCCCAGCACTTTGGGAGGCTGAGATGGGCTGCGATGGGTGGGTCGCTTGAGCTCAGGAATTCGAGACCATCCTGGGCAACATGGTGAGACCCTGTCTCTATTAAAAATACAAAAAATCACCCAGGTCTGGCAGGGTGCACCTGTGGTCCCCACTACCTGGGAGGCTGAAGTGGGAGGATTACTTGAGCCTGGGTTGGGGGCATACATTGCAGTGAGCCAAGATTGCGCCACTGCACTCCAGCCTGTGTGACAGAGCGAGACCCTGTCTCAAAAAATAAATTAATTTAATTTAAATTTAAATAGCCAATGAGGAGAGAGAGGGCCTTTTTTCTTTAAACTAAACTTTTGAGAACATAACCCTCCTCTGTTCTATTTGAGACCTCTGGCTGTCACCATGATAACCAAGTGATCTAATTTACTGTCACTGAGAGCAAAGCAAGGCAACCTGATGCCACATGCTTCACATGAAAGAGGGGGATAGAGAAACATTAAATGATACCATGAGGAAGCAATCAGATGCCAGAATGTGAGACATCCATACAATAACTGTCCTGAACTCCTGAAAATGTTAATGTCATTAAATTCATTTAAACAAAAAAAAAAAAGGAGGCAGGATGGAGACTCTTCTAGATCTAAAGAAAACCAACAAATGCCATGCGTGAATTGTGACTAAACCTTGGTTTGAAAAAAATACTCTTGGGATAAATGGAGAAATTTGCATACAAACTGAATATTAGATGATGTTTGAAATTATTGTTAATGTTTTTAGGTTCAATAGTAGTACTATGGTTTTATGCACAGGCACGGTGGCTCACGTCTGTAATCCCAGCACTTTGGGAGGCCGAGGTGGGTGGATCACCTGAGCCCAGGAGTTCGAGATCAGCCTGGCCAACATGGTGAAACCCCATCTTTACTAAAAATACAAAAATTATCCAGGCATGGTGGCACACACCTGTAATCCCAACTACTTGGGAGGCTAAGGCAGGAGAATCACTTAAACACGGCAGGCGGAGATTGCAGGGAGCCAGGATCGTGCCACCACATTCCAGCCTGGGCAACAGAGCAAGACTCTGTCTCAAAAAAAAAAAAAAAATTTACTTTGGTTTTATATGAGCATGTCTTATTCTTGGGAGACGCAAGAGTAGATGAGAATGATATATGCAGTTATTTTCAAGTGACTTTTTAGAAGAATAGGGTGAAGTTTTGGGGATTAAAGTGTCATGATATCTGCAATTTACCTTCAAATGGCTCAGGAAAAAAAATACACCCAGCCATATACTATAATAACATATAGATAAAACAAATTTGGCAAAAAAATGTTAACAAGAGCCAGAAATAGGTGGATGGCATTTGGGTGTTCACTGTATCACTCTTTCAATTCTTCCATATGTTTGCAAATTTCATAATTAAACATTGGGGAAAGGTTTTTTTAAATTGGCAAGGTTATTTAAAAAATTAAACTTCAGAGAACAGAACACCTCATTATTTGCTTTTTAAAAAAATTGAGCCAGAGGAACCCTATAATACATAATGGGACTAAAGAAACCATTAGCTAATTGAGTGACAGATTCGAGCATACAGGGGAGGCTGAAAGGCGTAAGTGTGGCTGGAAAACATATACTAGAACCTTAGTTATAAATAGCAGTCTTAGCCACCTCACCTCTGGGGCCCTCTGTTTTCACTACAGCTGTGCAGACGGCTCTACAGAGGCCCTTTCTCTTCCAGTATGTCTTCCTGCTGCCTTTGGAGGCATTGCTCAAAATCAAGAAACCCATGAAAAAGTAGGTTTAGTGAGTCTATTTCCATAACTGGAATCTGAGTTAGCATATAGGAAGCTCACAAGCTCCCCTCAAGCTCATCAAGCCCTGCTCTATCTGCATCCGTGCTGTTCACATCCGTGCCTTGAGCACCTACTATTCTAGTGACTCAACAGGAACAAGATGGGCAAAAATCTGTGCTCCTAGAGCATTTACATTCTACTTGGCAGAAACAGACAATAAGCAATTTCTTTTCTTTTTTTCCTTAAAAAAAAAAGAAAATTGCATAATCTGTTAGAAGGTGGCAAGTGCAGGCTGGGCGCCATGGCTCACGTCTGTAATCCCAGCACTTTCAGAGGCCAAGGCAGGCGGATCATTTGAGGTCAGGAGTTTGAGACCAGCCTGGCCAACATGGTGAAACCCTGTCTCTACTAAAAATACAAAACATGAGCTGGGTGTGGTAGCGGGCACCTGTAATCCCAACAACTCGGGAGGCTGAGGCAGGAGAATCGCTTGAACCCGGAAAACAGAAGTTGCAGTGAGCCGAGATTGCACCATTGCACACAGCCTGGGCAACAAGAGCGAAACTCCGTCTCAAAAAAAAAAAAACTAAAAAAAAATTTTTTAATGAAATAAAAAAATTTAAAAAAGAAGGTGGCAAGTGCAATAGGAAAAAATAAAAGAAGGGGGATGAAGAATGTTAAGCTGGGAGAGGATGTGGGGTAGAGAAGAAAAACCTCCCTGGGAAGGTGACAATTGAGCAAAGACTAAAGGATGGGGGAAGTCACGTGGGTATCTGGAGGAAGAACATTCTAGGCAGAGGAAAAAGCAAGCCCAGAGGTGCTAGGTGAGAGAGCATGCCTAGCATGTCTGGGGAATGGCAGGGAGGCCAGGGCAGCTGGAGTGGAGCGAGGGAAGAGAGGAGCAGATGAGGGCAGGAGGTAGCCAGAGCCTCCCAGTCAGGCCTTGGGACAAGGTCCTTGGAAATTGCTCAACATGGGACGGGACTCCGTTACAGGGTTTTGAGCAAGGAAGTGACCTGATTCCTGCTGTAGCACAACCAGTCTGGCTACAGGAGAAGGGCTGAGGTACACAAGACCAGGTAGGAGGTCACTGTGGTAATCCAGGCAAGAGCAGATGGTGGTTTGGGCAAAGGTGATGGCAGTGTCTTTAAGAAACACAGTGTCTAAGAAGATTCTACCCTGGCCTCCTCCCTAGCATGAGTTAGAAAGCCCCAGGACTCCCCACCGAGCACATCAGCCAGGCCCCGCAGGGCCACTGATCTCTTGGAATCAAAGCTTTGGGCAAGTCACAGGCAGGGGCTGCAAACAGTGCCAATTTAGAGCATGGCTAGAGGAAGTCTGATTCAATTAGGACTAAATGGAACATATATAATGAAAATATTCAGCTGGCAAGAGGCTCAGGTTTCAGCAAGAAAGCCAAAGGCCTAAGCTCATGCTAACTTCAGTAATCAGCAAACATACTTCTTCAGCTATACGACTGCACCCTTCTGTTCTAAGTAATAACTGGTTACCAATACCTTCTAATGCTACTTTATGGAGGTCGACAGACAGCAGTAAGGCTGAATATGAGAATCTAGGGAAAAGACTCTGGGAAGTCCCCAGGGACTGTGCCCTTTGAAAGACAGCCCTTTAAAAGCCAGCATACCAAGAGAGACAATCAGACACCATGTGCCTCCTGATGGAAACACATATCACCACACCAGAGAAAAAAAAGAACCAAGGTCAGTCTCAGCCTCTAGATCTGCCCATGAGGGACAGAGAGACACACAGACCCACACTTTAGGGAGACACACAGCAAAATCCAAAGTGTGGGAAACTGTAAAGGACACGCTGTCCAGTTTCTTCAACAACACACTGCAAGGAGTAAAAAGAGGGAGGACTACCTCTAAGTTAAGAGAGACTGAAAAGATATATCAATCTTGTTTGGTTCCTGACTCAGACAAACCGATGGCTTAAAAAGGCTGAGCACAGTGGCTCACGCCTGTAATCCCAGCACTTTGGGAGGCCAAGGCAGGGGGCTCGCTTGAGTCCAAGAGTTTGAGACCAGCCTGGGCAACAAAGTGAGACCCCATCTGTATAAAAAATAAAATAAAATAATTAGTTGGACGTGGTGGCGTGCACCTGCGGTCCCACCTTCATGGGAGGCTAGGCAGGAGAATCACTTGAGCCCAGAAGGTCAAGGCTGCACTGAGCCATGTTTGCATCACTGCACTCCAGCCTAGGCAAGAGAGCAAGATCCCATCTCGAAAAATAAAAATAAAAAATAAAAAGGTTGGGCCAGGCACAGTGGTTCACACCTGTAATCCCAGCACTTTGGGAGGCCAAGGCAGGCAGATCACTTGAGTTCAGGAGTTCAAGCCAGCCTGGCCAACATGGCAAAACCCCATCTCTACTAAAAATACAAAAATTAGCCAGGTGTGGTGGCACACATCTGTAATCCCAGCTAACTTGGGAGGCTGAGGCACAAGAATCACTTGAACCCAGGAGGCAGAGGTTGCTGTGAGCTGAGATCCATGTCACTGCACTCCGGACTGAGTGATGGAGTGAGACTCTGTCTCAAAAAACATTAAAAATTTTTTAAAAATAAAATGAAAGGGTTACACTACAACTGGGGACATGTAAAAACTGACTAGATAGTTCAAAATATTAAATGATTACCATTGAGTTTTCTAGGTATGAAATTGGCATCATGGGTTGGGTTTTTAAGAGTTCTTATCTTTTAGAGAAATACACTAAAATATTAATATTTATAGTTGAAGTATGTCGGGATTTTCATAAAATTAATCCAGCAGGGGTGGGATGGGAAGTTAGATGAGACAGGAATGGCCCGTCATAGATGGCTACTGAACTGGGTAATGGCATGTGGGGATTCATCGACTGTTTTTCCACCTCTGTGTATGTTTCACATTTCCTATAACAGTTTTTGTTCTAGTAACTGGCCACTATCAAACAAAACAAAACAAAACAAAACAAACAAACAAACAAAGAAGGCAGGGCGCAGTGGCTCACACCTGTAATCCTAGCACTTTGGGAGGCCGAGGCAGATGGTTCGCTTGAGCTCAGGAGTTCGAGACCCGCCTGGGCAACATGGTGAAACCCTGCCTCTATTAAAAACACAAAAATTAGCTGGGCGTGGTGGTACCTGCCTATACTCCCAACTACTTGGGGGGCTGAGGCGGAATAATCGCTTGTGCCCAGGAGGTCAAGGCTGCAGTGAGCTGAGATCAGGGTACTGCACTCCAGCCTGGGTGACAGAGTGACACTGTCTCAAAAAAAAAAAAAAAAAAAAAGGTTTTGTTTTTTTCCATGCCAGCATGCCTAAGGTACTAACAGCAACTATAACAATAAAAACTTGCAAGAATTTGACAAAATATAGTTTAAAATATAAAAAGGTAGAAGACACATCAGTCAAGCTGTTTGGGGAATAACTCTCACTCTTATTTTTCCTCCCTTCAAAGCCTCAGATTTGCAAGTGGCTTCAAGTTAATAATTTCCTATTGAGAAGAGTTTGTACGTGCAGCAAGGATGAGTCATATTTTTCTAAGAGTTACTTTTTCCCTTTCTTGACCTGGATTTTTAAAAATATGTTGTTTGCATGTGGTACTAATAAATATAGATAAATAGGGCATGGAAATTGCCGTCCTTATTCCAACAAAAGAAAAAAAACTACATAAACTGTAACTGCCAGACCATGCTACTATAATGCAATTCCGTTACAAAATCCAGAACTCTTGCCTGGAGAGTTTCACAGCAAATGTACGAAAGAACTTTCTAGTTTGGGGTATTTTCTCATTATTGTCCCTCCCCACCCCATACCACCGAAATGTATGTGCATGTCAAAGGAAAAATAGTTCTGTTTTCTTTTGGTTCCTAATTCAGAATACAAATGATAGGATTTACCTGGAAATTTGAGAAACATGAAACAAGAAAGAAAGGAGAATTTTTTAAAGGGAGGCCAAGGACGCCAGGATTAAGAGTCTCTGAAGCCCGATGAAGATGTGACTGATTTGGCCATTAACATAAGACCTGCTTAGTGAAACAAGCCTCCTTCTTCCTGCCTCCCTCTGCCCTCAATCCCATAGGCCCATCAAAAGCGGGTGAGAGTAAGCAGCACTTCATTAACAGGCCCGTGTTCATTCTACACATAACTGCAAACACTGGTACACAGAGGAAGGGAACCGGGGGAAATTCCAGAAGGGCAGAGAGTAAACAGTCTCCTTTCCATTCCCCAGTTCCCTGAAACTCAGACACACACAGGCTGGAGTCCACCCCAGGTCTAGAGAGAAGGCTCTTTCACATTTCCTTTGCAGTAAAGGAAGCCAGATGATTCCAGGATTTACTGTTACGATGGCTCTTCGGCTTCCAACCTTAGCCAGAGCCTAACAACAGAAAGTCTCTTCTACCCAGCTAGGCCAACAGTGAACACTGGTATTCCTGTTGGGGCACCAATGCTGACTCTGCTTACTCCACCTCCCCGCGGCCCCCCAACACTCACACTCTGGCAGGGTCTTACCCAGAACCCAGAATGTAATGAGAACTCTGGCTTGGTCTTGCAGTCTCTTCTTTGGGCTACTACCGCTGGGAATCTACCCTTTATCATTGCTAAATTAAAGTTTTGGTCTCCTGAGGGTTGTATGAACTCTTCTAGAGAAAATAGCCTCATTTTTACAAAGCCAGTTTACAAACTTTTTCTCTGTTTCTTGTTCATTCATTCAGGAAACATTTCCTGGGCTGGGCACAGTGGCTCATCCCTGTAATCCCAACACTTTGGGAGGCCGAGGCAGGAGGATGGCTTGAGACCAGTTTGGGACCAGCCTGGGCAACAAAGTGAGACCCTCATCTCTATAAAACAGAAAAAAACTAGGCCGGGCATGGTGGTTGTCGCCTGTAATCCCAGCTCTTTGGGAGGCCAAGGCAGAGAGATCGCCTGAGCGCTGGAGTTCAAGACCCACCTAGGCAATGTGGTGAAACCCCATCTCTACTAAAAATACAAAAACTAGCCAGGCATGGTGGCATGTGCCTGTAATCCCAGCTACTTGGGTGGCTGAGGCAGGAGAATCACTTGAATCCAGGAGGCGAACGCTGCAATGACCCAACATCGCGCCACTGCATTCCAGCTTAGGTGAAAGAGTTAGACTCTATCTGAAAAAAAAAAAAAAATTAGCTGGGCGCAGTGGCGTGTGCCTATGGTCCCAGCTACTCAGGAGGCTGAGACAAGAGGATTACTTGAACCCAGGAGGTTCAAGTAACATTTGCTGGGTGCCCACTATCTTCCAGACAGTGCTTGAAGCTATGTTATCATGGAAAATGGAAACAGACGTTGTCCCTGCTTTTAGGAACGTTACAATTAATTCAGTGGGAGAAGTGGAAGTAACAAGGAAATGTAAAGTTGCAACTGTAAGAAAAGGTTTCATGCAAGAGATATTAACATATGGTCCCCTGAGCAGCCAGATGCTTGGCCTGGTCAGGACATCAGGAAAAGTTTCTTGAGAAACTGATAACTGTCATCTAAGTTTCAAGAAGACAGCTAGCAGGGTAGGGCAGGGCAGGGAGGAAGACCATCCAGGCAGGGGAAATGTTGTGTGCAAAGGTCCTGTGGCACAATGAGCTGGGTGCATTCAGGAAAGTGGGCAGAGATGAACGGGGCTGGACTGGAATGAGATCCAAATGGGTGGGAGGACTGAGTGGTCACTGGACATTGCAATGCCTTGTGACATGCTGTGTTAGAGAGTTTTTCTGTAACCTAAGAGCCACTGCACAGTGCTAAAGGGTTTTTTAACTGAGGTGTGACAAGATCAGCCTTGCTGGATTAATAATCATTCTGGCTTTGGTGTGGAAAACAAGCCGGAGGAAAGGAAGGACAGAAACAGGCAGAGCAGACAGGAGGCTGCAGATGAAAATTTTGGCAGCCAGGAAAGGACTAGAGCAGAAGTGGAGCTGAAGAAGTGGGCAGACTTGCAAAAGTAAAAATCAAGATAATCTGAAAAGAGATTAGAAAACGGGGTGGGCAAGAGGGGTCGGGTATCGAAGACGGCTCCTGGGATTCTAAAGCACTTAACTGGACAAATAGAGGCTCTATATGATGAAATACAGAATACGGGAACAGGACCAAGTCTGAGGAGGTGACTTGCACATGTTGAGGTGCTTCTGACAGGGAAACACCTGTCAGGGAACACCACAGGGAAACACCAAGAGAGTCGTCAGATACGTGGGAAGAGAGCTCAGAAGTGATTCAAATCTGTGGCTCACCTGCACACGGTGGTTTGCATAGAGAGGAAGGTGAAACAGAGATGAGATCATGGAAGAAGAGGATGGAATAATAGGAAACTCCCATATTTAACAGTTAAATAGATGATGACCTTGCCAAGACGGGTGGATCACCTGAGGTGAGGAGTTCAAGACCAGCCTTGCTAACATGGCAAAACCCTATTTCTACTAAAAATATAAAAATTAGGCCAGGCACGATGGCTCACATCTGTAATCCCAGCACTTTGACAGGCCAAGGCAGGCGGATCACCTGAGGTCAGGAGTTCAAGACCAGCCTGACCAACATGGAGAAACCCGTCTCTACGAAAAATACAAAATTAGCGGGGTGTGGTGGTGCATGCCTGTGATCCCAGCTACTCAGGAGGCTGAGGCAGGAGACTCGCTTGAACTAGGGAGGCAGAGGTTGTGGTGAGCTGAGATCGCGCTGTTGTACTCCAGCCTGGGCAACAAGAGCGAAACTATGTCTCAAAGAAAATTAATAAAAAATTAATAATAGATGATGACCTTGCAAGAAAGACAGAGAAGAACAGCTAGAGAGATGGGAGGAAGATCAAGAAGGGTTCCTGGGAAGGCAGGAAAGGGGAGCCTCTAAGCATGGATGGGGCATCTGCCCTTAGGAGGAGGGAAAGAAAGGAAGGTGGATTGGGCACTCATGTCCTCATTTCAGTACATAACGGACTCACCAACCAGGACCACCCTTATTTCTCTTGATTCAGGGTCCCAGTGCTCTATAGGCAAGGCCCATCCAGCTACACACATTTTCCTTTACTTAAAAAAAAAAGTACATATGCACACACAATTCAGCACCAGTTACCCATTACAGTCACCCACGTAACAAGGTACCCCAGAAGGAGTCTCGGGAACCAGCTGTGGATCCTCTTAAAACAAGATACAAAGATTTCATCCGTCTTGGTAAATCTCTCAAGCCGTAGCATATTTTAATTTTTTAAAAGGTACCTGGGGAAATAAATACAGATCTGGGAAGGTTAAGTCTTTAGAATAAATTATCAGTTCACATCATTACTGCTGCCTTGTCATTAGTGCTCCTCATCTCCGAGGGGAGGGAGAGTCCCTGCCACACCATTAATCCCCTGCCCAGGCCCTGCCTGGCTCCAACAGATCACCCATGCTCTGTGCCCTCAGGGAACCGCAGCGGCCACAACCGCCTCTCTCAGTTGCCTGGTATCAAAGCCATGTTTATAAACACCTTCCAAAGAACAAACCTCCTTTTAAATGTTCTTTGCAGAGCAAAATGTAGGAGTCCTCTTAGAAAATTATTTTTTAAGGTTACAATTCTGCTTTTAAAAAAATTCCCTTGTATACATTGGAGTTTTTTTACAAATTATAATTTCAGATGAGGGACCTATTATGCCCCAATTAAGATTTGGATTAGTGATTATAAAGCGTATACAACAACATGGAAAATTATTCATACCACAAAGTTAAGTTTTTATTTTTTTTGAGATGGAGTCTCTGTCGCCCAGGCTGGAGTGCAGTGGCGCGATCTTGGCTCACTGCAACCTCTGACATTATAGAATGCACCCTATTACTAAAATCATGTAAAAATAAGTATACAAAGGGGCAAAGAAATAAATGAACCAGGGAAAAATGATAAGTTGTGTTTGAGCAGTAAGATTATGAAACAAAGATTTTCTTTGTTCAATTTCCATTAATTCCACAGTAGTTTTTTTTTTTTCATAATTTCCATTTCAGTTAAACATTAGACATGTATGCAGGAGTGTCAACAAGTGAAATGACACAAGGCATGAGATTTTCTTGCAAATACTTCCCCAAAAGATGGGAGCTAAAGATGAAGGACAAGTAGATGTGTGCTGGTTATCATTTAAGCTGGGTAACTGGTGCTAGATGGTCCATTATTCTCTCCGCCCCCCCCCCTTTTTTTTTTTTTTTTGAGGTGGAGTCTCGCTCTGTCACCCAGGCTGGAGTGCAGTGGCACGATCTCGGCTTACTGCAAGCTCCGCCTACCGGGTTCACACCATTCTCCTGCCTCAGCCTCCTGAGGAGCTGGGACTACAGGCACCTGCCACCATGTCCGGCTAATTTTTTTTTGTATTTTTATTAGAGACGGGGTTTCACCGTGTTAGGCTAATTTTTTTTTTTTTTTTTGTATTTTTATTAGAGAGAGGGTTTCACCATGTTAGCCAGGATGGTCTCGATCTCCTGACCTCGTGATCCACCCGCCTCGGCCTCCCAAAGTGCTGGGATTACAGGCCTTAGCCACCGTGCCCGGCTCCACTTTTTTTTTTTTTTTTTTTTTTGAGACGGAGTCTCACTCTGTTGCCCAGCCTGGAGTGCAATGGCACTATTTCGGCTTACTGCAACCTCTGCCTCCTGGGTTCAGCCAATTCTCCTGTCTCAGCCTCCCAAGTAGCTGGGACTACAAGCACCCACCATCACGCCCGGCTAATTTTTTTGTGTGTATTTTTAGTAGAGACAGAGTTTCACTATGTTGGCCAAGCTGGTCTCGTACTCCTGGCCTTGTGATCTGCCTGCCTCGGCCTCCCAAAGTGCTGGGATTACAGGCATAAGCCACTGCGCCTGGTCTACTTTTTTTTTTTTTTTGAGACGGAGTTTCACTCTTGTCACCCAGGCTGGAGTGCAGTGGTGTGATCTCAGTTCACTGCAAGCTCTGCCTCCTCAGTCCAAGCGATTCTCCTGACTCAGCCTCCTGAGTAGCTAGGATTATAGGCACCCACCACCACACCCGGCTAATTTTTGTATTTTTAGTGCAGATGGGGTTTCATGATGTTGGCCAGGCTGGTCTCAAACTCCTGACCTCAGGTGATCTGCCCACCTCAGCCTCCCAAAGTGCTGGGATTACAGGCATGAGCCACCGCGCCTGGCTGCTTCTACTTTTATTTATGTTTGAAATTTTCCATAGTAAAAAGTTTAAAAAGTATTTTCCAGGCAGGGTGTGGTGGCTCACGTCTGTAATCCCAACACTTGGAGAGGCCAAGGTGAGAAAATCCCTTGAGCCCAGTTTGAGACCAGCCTGGGCAACATAGGGAGATCCTGTGTCTACAAAAAATGTAAAAACTTAGACAGGTGTAGTGGCATGCACCTGTGGTCCCATCTACTTGGGAGGCTGAGGTGGGAGGATCACTTGAGCCCAGGAGGTCAAGGCTGCAGTGAGCTGTGATCGCACCACTACACCTCAGCCTGGGCAACAGAACAAAACCCTGTATCCAAAAAAAAAAACCAAAAAAAAAAAACCCACTTCTGCTATATCATATCGTCTTTACAATAAATAATATTAGCTTTCAAAATAAAAAATAATGTGCTCATCAAAAAAATTCAAATACAGAAAGGTAAACTATGACACCTACTCCACAAATGCACACATTCCAAAGCCTTTCCCATGGTATCGCCACTTTAGTTTTTTGGTTTTTGGGGTTTTTTTTTTTTGGAGATGGAATCTCGCTCTGTTGCCCAGGCTGGAGTGCAGTGGCACCATCTCAACTCACTGCAACCTCTGCCTCCTGGGTTCAAGGGATTCTCCTGCCTCAGCCTCCTGAGTAGCTGGGACTACAGGTGCCTGCCACCATGCCCAGCTAATTTTGTATTTTTAGTAGAGACGGGGTTTCACCATGTTGGTCAGGCTGGTCTCGAACTCCTAGCCTCAAGTGATCCGCCCACCTCAGCCTCCCAAAGTGCTGGGATTACAGGTGTGAGCCACTGCACCCAGCCAGTATCGCCCACTTTGAAAAACTTTGTATGAAGTCATTGCAAACACAAGCACAAATATACACATAAAAGCTACAGATGCAAGGCCGAGCACAGTGGCTCATGCCTGTAATCCCAGAGCCTGAGGTGGGTGGATCACCTGAGCTCAGGAGTTCGAGACCAGCCTGGCCAACAAAGTGAAACCCCATCTCTACCAAAAATACAAAAATTAGTCAGGCATGGTTGTGCATGCCTGTAATCCCAGCTCCTTGGGAGGCTGAGGCAGGAGAATCACTTGAACCCGGGAGGTGGAGGCTGCAGTGAGCCAAGATCACACCACTGTACTGCAGTCTGGGTGACAGAGTAAAACTCTGTCTCAAAAAAAAAAAAAAAAAAAAAGCCACAGGTGCAAAGTTGAGGTCATTCTAGGCCCAAAGCTCTGCCCTTTGATTTTTCACTTGTAATCTATGAATCTTTTCAAATATATACAGATGCACTCTATCCACTCAAGAGGGTTTGGGGATTCCTCCCTCCAAGAGAATGAATTCATGCAATACATGTGTTATAAACATTAATTAATTGAGGGAGAGAGGAAAAGGGCAAGAGGAAGGAAAAAAGGAAGGAACAAAGGGAAGGGGGAGGGAGGGGGAGGGGGGAAGGGAGGGAGGGAGGGATATTATTTTCTGAGAAGTGTGTGCCTTACTGTCCTGGATGTAATAAACAGCACTCCCAGGCCAGGCCAGGCACTGAAGTCAGAGTCCCACTCTGTACCTAATAGTGGCACTAACTGCCCACTTATGTGACTGTGACACTCTTACTCTGGTCCAGGATTACCTTCCCTTTTGACGGACCACTCTCCCACAAAGAATAAGCCTCCTACACTAAGAAAAATACTCCAAGAATCCTGGTAGTCTGAAGGAAGAGGGAAAATTAAACACTGCAATGAGATAAATGAGGTCTGATGTTAACATGGCTATTCCGGCAGCCACAGCACCTCCCCTGGGAGAACCTGGGAGGCTGGAATGGACGGTCAGGCGGAAGCCGCCCGAATGACTGGTGCGGAGCAGAGGCCCAAACACCAGATGAAGTGTTTCAGTTTTGTTTTTGGCAAGGGGAAGGAAACAGCTCACATTCAGGCAACAATCTCATTTTCCTGTCACCAGGTCAAGGCCACCATTCCCGGCCTGCAGCAGGTGTTCATTTAGGGCCTGAATGCTACACGGCTGATGAGAAACAGCACAGGCCCTTGGAGAAGATGGCCCAACGCCCCTGTGCCACAGGCTCAAGAGGAATGGAAGAAGTTTCTAGAACTGTACAAATATAACCCTACACTAATGGTAACCTGATTTCGCAGAAAAGTTTCTTCTGAAGACAAGGTGATGTTTTAACAAAAATTTTTGGCTGGGCACGGTGGCTCAAGCCTGTAATCCCAGCACTTTGGGAGGCTGGGGCAGGCAGATCACTTGAGGTCAGGAGTTCGAGGCCAGCAGGGCCAACATGGCAAAACCCCTTTTCTACTAAAAATATAAAAATTAGCTAGGTGTGGTGGTACACACCTGTAATCCCAGCTACTTGGGAGGCTGAGGCAGGAGAATCGCTTGAACCCAGGAGCACAGGCTGCAGTGAACAAGACCGCACCACTGCACTCCAGCCTGGGCAAGAAAGCAAGGCTCCACCTCAAAAAAAAAAAACACAAGAAAAAGAGAAAATTTAAATCAAAAAATTTGTAAATACAAATAAATAAATAAAAGAAGAGAAGTTTCCCAGTCTTTCTCCAGGGACTCAACCTCTAGACCTGCACTGTCCAATATGGGGGCCACAGCTACCTGCAGCCATACTTAGAAGGTGGCTGGTATGGATTAAGATGTGCTGTGTGTCAGAAAGACACACCTGAGGCCAAAAAGTATGTAAAATATCTCATTAGTACTTTTCTTTATACTGATTACATGTTAAAATAGCATTTCAGATATGTGGAAATAAGCTACATTATTAAAATTAATTTCACCTGTGTTTTTGTTTTTACTTTTTTCTTTTTTGAGACACAGTCTCGCTCTGTTGCGCAGGCTGGAGTGCAGTGGCGCGATCTTGGCTCACTGCAATCTCTGCCTCCTGGGTTCAAGTGATTCTCCTGCCTTAGCCTCCCAAGTAGCTGAGATTACGTGCCACCATGCCTGGCTAATTTTTGTACTTTTAGTAAAGATGGAGCTTTGTCATGTTGGCCAGGCTGGTCTTGAATTCCTGGCCTCAAATGATCCACTGGCCTCAGCCTCCCAAAGTGCTGGGATTGCAGGCGTGAGCCACGGTGCCTGGCCTATGTTTTGACTTATTTTTAATATGGCTAGTAGCAAATTCTAAATTATACACACACCTCAAATTCTGTTTCTATTGGACAGCACTGATCTAGCACCTGCCTCCTCCCTGCCGTTGGCCTCCTGTGTGACTTGACAGCAACCAGCTTGTTCCTGCCTCAAAGCTTCCCACATGCTGTTCCCTCCACCTAAAATGATTTTCTCTTGTTCCTCTAGACGATTCCTTTTTCTCTTTCTGGTGTCCAGGTGTCACTTCCTCCAGGAAGCCTTCCTTGATAAACACACATGCATGAACACACACACACAAACACACACACACACACACCCCACCCAGGCCAGGCAAAGTCTCCCATGATGCATTCCCAGATCATCCTGTACTTTGCTCCATCGCATCTGTCACAACTGGAATAGTTTGCACCATTTGTTCGACTTTCTGTTTTCCTCTCTAGAGTCTAAATTCCAGGAGGACAGGGATGCTGTCTGCTGTTCACCACTTCAGCGCCAGCCTCTAGCTCGGAATTCAAAGGTGCTTACTGCACGAAAGCTGATAAATCAGCGTCAGGCCCTGCCCCTGCTACAAGCAAGGCTCATGATCCTAAGAAAATGCCCTACAGAGAAGAAAGAAACTCTCACACAAAACCCTGACCCAACACGAAGAAACTCTTAAGTCTAAGAAGGAAAGAAAAGCAGGGGTCAGGCATGATGGCTCATACCTGTAACTCCAGCATTATGGGAGGCTGAGGTGGAAGGATCGCTTGAGCCCACGAGTTTGAGACCAGCTCAGGCAACAAAGGGAGACCCTGTCTCTACAAAAAATACAAAAAAGCTGGGCATAGTGGTGTGCATTTCTGGTCTTAGCTACTCGGGAGGCTGGGGTGGGAGGATCGTTTAAAGCCAGAAGTTTGAGGCTACACTGAGCTATGATGGCACTGCACGCTAGCCAGGGTGACAGAGTAAGACCCTGTTTCTTATTTAAAAAAAAAACAAAACAAAGAAAAATAGCCGGGCATGGTGGCTCACGCCTATAATCCCAGCTCTTTGGGAGGCCGAGATGGGAGGATTGCTTGAGGCCAGGAGTTTGAGACCAGCCTGACACAGTGAGACTACATCTCTACAAAAAAAAAAAAAAAAAAGTAAGAAAGAAAAGAAAGGGGAGAAAAAATGTCTTGGCCACCTACTGCAGACTAAAATGCAAACAGTCACAATATACCTGTAGAAAAGGAGTAAGAGGAAAGGCCTTGGCCAGCATTCAGCATTTGGAGCAGAATCACCCTTTGCTCAAATATGTGTTCCCACGAGGCTGACCGACTTCCAAAGCCGACACCTCACAGAACACTCTGGAGGCAGCAGCCTGGACCAGGGGAAGGGAATCCTGACAGAGAGCTTTTCTTCTCTCTTCAGGTGAGGCTCCACAAGGCAGCCTCTCAGCCAGCACTCAGTGACACAGGGTGCAGGATTGTTGGAACATTCGTTGCAGGGCCTCCGTGTTTACTTTTTGAAACTTGTGGCTAAAAGGACCTTTTCTTTCCAACAGCTCTCAGCTGATACCAAAGCCAGGAAAAGGGCCCCGGCTGCAACTTTGAGAAGTTGAGGGTGTGGGGCTGAGGGAGGGGGTTGCTTTTGGCATCTTTGGGAATTCCTTGAGGTTCTGGCCTGGGCATATCTGCCTGAGGTGCAGGATGATAGAAAGCGACACACAGAGGGCTTTTCAGAGACCGCTAAAGACAGCCTGAAATCCCAAAGCCTGGCATCTGGTGCCAATCAAAAAAACAGTAGTCGCTGATGTAACTGCAACTCGATCAGGGCAAAATGAAACAACGGCTTGCATTTGGCGGCTGGAACTGGGCTCAGCCCATAGCCTCGCCGGAGTGGGCAGCACGCACCACACTGGTCCTGCTGTCAGCCTCCGAGGTGAGCCGGACACTGGCTGCAAAGACCTAAGTCACAGGAAAAGACGTTCATCCTCAGTAATTAGAGGAGAAAGTCACTCTTTCAACGTCGTGTGTGTGTGTGTGTGTGTGTGTGTGTGTGTATATGCATGTATTCATGGTTTTGTGTTGTAGGTACACAAAAGTGAACAAAATTCACAAAACGCCTGCCCCCATAGACCTTACATTCTATTTGTGGAGGACAATGAATGAGAAAAATAAACAAAATAAACAGTAGTATATGGGGAGAACCGCTTACAAGAAAATAAAGCAGAGAAGAGAAACAGGGAATGCTGGGGAGGAGTAGTCACAATTAAGACAGTTTTTTCAAGGCCACAATATACAATACGTGTGGTCCTATTTTTTTTTTTTTTTAAGAGACAGGGGGCCAAGAGCGGTGGCTCACGCCTGTAATCCCAACACTTTGGGAGGCTGAGGTGGGTGGATCACTTAAGATCAGGATTTCAAGACCAGCCTGGCCAACATGGTGAAATCCCATCTCTACTAAAAATACAAAAAAATTAGCCAAGCACAGTGGCACATGCCTTTAATCCCAGCTACTCAGGAGGCGGAGGCAGGAGAATCACTTGAACCCAGGAGGCGGAGGTTGCAGTGAGCTGAGATGCACCACTGCACTCCAGCCTGGGCAACAGAGTGAGACTCCATCTCAAAAAAATAATAATAACAAAAAATAAAGAGACAGGGGTCCCACTCTGTCACCCAGGCTGGAGTACAGTGGCATGATCACAGTTCACTGCATCCTCGACCACCAAAGCTCAGGTAATCCTCCTGCCTCACCCTCCTGAGTAGCTGGGACTACAGGTGTGGACAACCACACCTGGCTAATTTTCCTATTTTTTGTAGAGGGTCTCACTATGTTGCCCAGGCTAGTCTCGAACCCCATCCATCCCCTGCCCCCGCCTCAGCCTCTTAATGCACTGAGATCACAGGCATGAGCCACTGTGCCCAGCTGTATGATTCCATTTCTATAAAATGTCCAGGAAAGGTAAATCTACAGAGACACAAAGTAGATTCGTGGTTGCCAGGGGCTGGAGGTGGAAAGGGGAATTCACTATAAATGGGCACAAAGGATCTCACTGGGGCGATTGAAAAATTCATGGCAATGACTGCATGACTCAGTAATGTTTTTTTAAATCACTGAATTAATGATTTTTAAAAATCATTTTAAAATCCCTGAATTACATGCCTTTTTTAAAAGGCATGACCAGGTACAGTGGCTCACACCTGTAATCCCAGCATTTGGGAGGCCAAGGCAGGAAGATTGCTTGGGGCCAGGAGTTCAAGACCAGCCTAGTCAACATAGTGAGATCCCATCTCTAGAAAATTAAATTAAATTAAAATGAAGACAGTATTATCAAAGAAGGCCTCACTGAGGTGATATTTCAGTGGACTGGAAGGGGTCAGTTTCAGGAGAGATTTAAGGCCAGTGCCAAGGGTCAGTGGCAGGAGAGCAGCACCGGGCTGGAGAAACAGCAGGGAGACCTGTGGCCCGAGGGATCTGGAAAGCGGAGGAGCATGTTTGAGATGAGGTAACAAAGGAGTAGCAGACACACATAAAGGCATCACAGGGGGCCGGTGGGCTCATAGGGAATGACTTTGGTTTTTATGGAGTAGCAATACAATTTGACTTCTGGTTTGAATTATTCTGGCTGCTGCATTCAGAACCGTTCCATAGGAAGACAACAGCAGATGCAGGGAGACCCATTAAGAGGCCTTTGCAATAACAGTCAAGAAGTGACTTGGACATGGGTGACAGCAGCAGTCACAGTGACAGATGGTCGGATCCCAGAATATATCCTAAAGGCAATGCAGACAGGAGGTGCTGATGGGACAGAAAATGAAGTCAAGGAAGGCACGGAGGATTTTAGCCTGAGTGACACAGAATTGTCACTGCTTCAAGATGTAGAAAGCTGTGGGAAGCAGGTGACTCAGATTTCAACAGTTCACTTGAGGATGTTAATTAGACGTAAATACTGTCTTTGGTTGCCAGGGGAGAAGCCCTAGCTGTGAGTTTTGGGCATATAGGCCAAATTTAAAGCAAGGAGGCTGGATGTGCTTGTGAATGAAAGGGGGGTAAATTAACAAATGAACACAGGACAAAGCCACCATGGAGCACCCCCATGTTTGCAGACTGGGGAAGAGAAAAACGAGCAAGGGAGACTGAATGAGAGTGACCAGAGAGATGGACAGAAAACCCACAGATTGTGGCACCCTGAAACCAAGGCAGAACATATGTCAAGCAGGAAGGATCGATTCATTGTGTCCAATCTATAAGGCCAGTGATTACAGCTTGAGAAGTGACCATTGGGTTTAGCAACACGGAGGTCACTGGCGACCTTGGGACAAGCAAATGCAGCAGAGCAGCAGAACACCTCACTGGAGGTTCCTCAAGAAGAAAAGGAGGTCAGGCGCCGTGGCTCACACCTGTAATCCCAGAACTTTGGGAGGCTGAGGCAGGCAGATCACTTGAAGTCAGGTGTTTGAGACCAGCCTAGTCAACATGGTGAAACCCCATCTCTACTAAAAATAAAAAATTAGCTGGGCGTGGTGGCAGGTGCCTGTAATCCCAGCTACTTGGGAGGCTGAGGCAGGAGAATTGCTTGAACCCGGGAGGCAGAGGTTGCAGTGAGCCAAGATCACACCACTGCACTCCAGTCTGGGCAACAGAGCAAGACTCCATCTCATAAAAATAAAATAAATAAATTAAATAAATAAATAAAATAAAATCTAAAATATAAAACAAAATAAAATAAAATAACAAAGAGAAATCACTTTGCCTAACAGACTAAGGTAAGTTAAAAAGACTGACAACACCCAGTGCTGTTGGAGATACAGGGAAACAGGTATGTGGCACCCTTACAGTGTGTAAATTGGTCCAGACTCTGCCATGGACACAGGCAGCAGGCATCAAAAACTTGAAACACGCCCACCTTCTGACCCAGCGACTGCATGCCTGGGAATTTACTGTAGGGAAAAAAAAAGAGGAGCATAAAGGTATCTTTACAAGAATTTAGGCTGGGCACAATGGCTCACACCTGTAATCCCAACACTTTGGGAGGCTGAGGAGGGAGGAAATGCCAAAATTAGCCAAGCATGGTGACACAAGCCTGTAATCTCAGCTACTCGGAAGGCTGAGGTGGGAGGATCACTTGAGCCTGGGAGGTCAAGGCTGCAATGAGCTGTGATCACACCCCTGTGTGACGGAGCGAGACTCCATCTCTTTAAAAAAAAAAAAAAAAAAAAAAAAAAGAGTTTAACAAAAAGTGCTGCTAGTAATTGTAAAAAACAATAGAAAGGGCCAAGAATGAAAGACTGGTTAAACTGTGGGTACATTTATACAAAACAAAAACAAAGCATCTGGCTGGGCACAGTAGCTCACACCTGTAATCCCAGCACTTTGGGAGGCCAAGGTGGGTGGATCACTTGATGTCAGGAGTTCGAGACCAGCCTGGTCAACATAGCAAAAACCCTGTCTCTACTAAAAATACAAAAATTAGCTGAGCATGGTGGTGCACATCTGTAATCCCAACTATTCGGGAGGCTAAGATGGGAGAATCGCTTGAGCCTGGGAGGTTGAAGCTGCAGTGAGCCAACATCGCACCACTGCACTCCAGCTTGGGTGACAGCATGAGACTGTCTCAAAAAACAAAACAAAACAAAGCACACCCATTACTGTAGCCATTAAAACTGACCTAGTTTCACTGATGCGGAAAAAACTGGGTGAAAAAATCAAGTTACAAAGAAATATGTATAATGAGTTCCCATTTGGGGGGAAAAAGGCATACATACAAATATGATTATATGCCCCCCAAAACAGTGGCTATATTACAAAGTATTAACTGGATTAGGTCTGAATAACAGAATTCCAAATGATTTTAACCTTCTTCCTTGGAAGGCAGAATGTATAGAGGTTATGGGCAGAGACTCTAGGAACAAAAGAACTGGGTTAAATCCTAACTCTGAGAACTCCTTATAGGACAACTTTGGACAAGTTACATAGCATCTCTCCACCTCAATTTCTTCATCAAAGGGGATGGCACCACAATCTACCTTGAATGTACGGAGGAAGAATAAATGAGTTTACACATATATGTGTGTGCATGTGTGTATATATGTGTGTGTGTATATGTGTATGTGTGTATGTGTATATGTATACGTGTGTATATGTATACGTGTGCATGTGTGTATGTACATGTGTACATGTATACGTGTGTATATGTATATACATATGAGGGAATTCAGAAAAATGACTGATACATACGAAGCACTCAGAATATTGTCCTTTTTAGTAATAGGCATGAAATAATAATAATCAGAAAAATACTAATAATGTTTTTAATTTTATGAGCCTGTATTGCTTTTTTTACTTTTTATTTTATTAGCTTGCTCAAGAATGATTTAGTGTATATATGTTTATATATTACATATATAAAGTATATATATTTATATATATTATATAGATATAGTTATAGATATAGATTTTTTTTTAATAGAGCGGTGGGTCTCGTTATGTTGCCCACGCTGGTCTTGCACTCCTGGCTTCAAGTCATCCTCTCACCTCAGTCTCCAAAGTGCTGAAATTACAAGCGTGAGCCACTGCACTGGGCTAAGTAATTATTTTTAATTGTGGTAAAATATACATGATATGAAATTTTACACACCTTTTACAGTCATACAAAATATTAATAATAATGTTCAATTTAGGGAGCAAGAGAAAAACTCTCAGAATCTAGTATTATTGTAATCATTCCACAAGATTGAAATAGTGGTTTACCAGGTTGAAAAAACTAACTGGGTATGCAGGACTGGGTTAGCAGTTTCTACCATGAAGCCTGTTGAAGGCACCAGGGTCTGTAGCTGTCTTTTACTTTTGTCCCTTGCTGCCTCCTCAGCTGAAGAATGGTGAGTAATTTATCCAATTTAAGTTTAAAATTGCCAGCCTGGGCAACATAGTAAGACCCTGACTCTACAAGAAATTTAAAAATTAGCCTGGTATGGTGGCACACGCCTGTAGTCTTAGCTACTCAGAAAGAAAATAAAGCAGAGAAAGGAAATTGGGAACATGTGTTGAGGCCATAATATACAGTATGTATGATTCCATTGCCTTTTTTTTTTTTTTTTCGAGACGGAGTCTTGTTCTGTCGCCCAGGCTGGAGTGCAATGGGGCGATCTCGGCTCACTGCAACCTCCGCCTCTCAGGTTCAAGCAATTCTCCTGCCTCAGCCTCCCAAGCAGCTGGGACTACAGGGACCCGCCACCACACCCGGCTAATTTGTGTATTTTTAGTAGAGACGGGGGTTTCACCACATTGGCCACGCTGGTCTCAAACTCCTGACCTTGTGATCCACCCACCTCAGCCTCCCAAAGTGCTGAGATTACAGGCACCGTGCCCAGCCCCTGCCCCTCTCCTTTTTTTTTTTTTTTAAAGAGACAGGGTCTCACTCTGTCACCCAGGCTAGAATACAGTGCCATGATCATAGCTCAGTGAATGATCTATGGCCTAGGGCCAGGAGTTCAAGGTTACAGTGAGCTATGCTCGAGCCACTGTACCCTAGCCTGAGTGACAGAGTAGGTCCTTGCCTCTAAAAAACTAACAATAAAAATTAGGCCGGGTGAGGTGGCTCACGCCCGTAATCCCAGCACTTTGGGAGGCCAAGATGGCCTGATCACCTGAGATCAGGAGTTTGAGACTAGCCTGGCCAACATGGTGAAACCCTGTCTCTACTAAAAATACAAAAATTAGCCAGGCATGGTGGCTCATGCCTGTAATCTCAGCTACTCAGGAGTCTGAGGCAGGAGAATCGCTTGAACCCAGGAAGCGAAGGTTGCAGTGAGCCAAGATCGTCCCACTACACCCCAGCCTGAATGACAGAGGAGTGAGACTCCATCTCAAAAAAATAAAAATAAATAAATAAATATTTTTAAAAAACTAATAATAAAAATAAATTTAAAGTTGTTTTTAACTGAAGAGCAACTTTTTAAAAATTTCTTCTCTTCTCCCACTGACTCAAGTTCCAAGGTTCAGTAGTTTTATTTATCTTCCAGCTGAAAAACTGGAAAAACAGTGCTGTGTTTACTTTAAAATAAATGGGTACACTGTCTGTCAGGTACAGCTGCTCAAGACCCACGGCCCATCCACCAGAACACTCCATCCTCACGGAGCAATAAGGGAGGAGGCCCACCGCTCATGACTGGCCTGTCTGTTCTTGGAATGTAAAGTGCTGTAATAACCCTCTGCTTAAAAGATTTTTAAATAAATAGGAGGTTGTTTTCTTTTTCTTTCTCTTTTTGAATCTGGTAGACACACGAGGAAAGAGAAGAAACACACACAGAACATGGACAGCATAAAGTACGGAGCTTTTCAAAATCAACTTCACCTTTCATGGTGGTGTGGGTACAGGAATTCTCAAATCGCCTTCTGTGCATTACAGATGTGAAGGAATTTGTAAATATTTATAAATAGTGTTGAGTGCCAGGGTTCTCATGAGAGTGGAGGAAGGTTAGGAAGAGCCCTGTGGAGCTGAGTTGGAATTGGATTGGTGGCTTCAGTACAAATTCATAGTGTTTAATATACAGGTTCAGTAGCCAGGCACAGGACCGCATGCCTGTAGTTCCAGCAACTCTGGAGGCTGAGGCAAGAGGATCGCTTGAGCCCAGGAGTTCGAGGCTACAGTTACCTATGATCACACCACTGCACTGCAGCCTAGACGACAGAGCAAGACCTTGTCAAAAACAAACAAACAAACAAACGACCCCACATTTGGTATGCAAGGTACCTGACTTTATTTTCCCTCAAGTGGTTTAGCTTACTGGTTCTCAAACAAGTGTGTCCCCGAATCCCAAGGGCTTGTTGGCCTGAGAATTTAGGTGTCTGACATATTTCCTGGAGATGCTTGTGCCACTGGCCTCAGGATCACACTTCAAAAACCACTGGGTTAGCTGATGATCTTAATGCCACTTGTTTGCCTTTCTCTTCTGATTTTAAATGCCATCTTTATCACATAGTAAATTTTACCTATATTGGATTATGTTGGGACAAAAATATATGATGGGGACATGTGAAAAGATACAGCAGCAAGCTTGAAGAGGCAGCCACTGGCCAAGCCAGAGATCATTTTAGCATGAAATCAACACCAGAGGCCAGGCACAGTGGCTCACAGCTGTAATCCCACAGCACTTTGGGACGCCAACGTGGGAGGATCACTAGAGCCCAAAAGTTTAAGACCAGCCTTGGGCAACATGGTGAAACCCTGTCTCTACAAAAATACAAAAAATAAAAATAAAAAATTTAGCCAGCACACACCTGTAGTCCCAGCTACTCTGGAGGCTGAGGTGGGGGGATCGCTTGAACCCAGGAAGCTGAGATTGCGCTACTGCACTCCAGCCTGGGTGACAGAGCAAGACTCTATCTAAAATAAACAAACAATTTAAAAAACAACAAAAAAAAGGCTGGGCGCAGTGGCTCACGCCTGTAATCCCAGCACTTTGGGAGGCCGAGGCAGGTGGAACACCTGAGGTTGGGAGTTTGAGACCAGCCTGACCAACATGGAGAAACCCCATCTCCACTAAAAATATAAAATTAGCTGGGTGTGGTGGCACATGCCTGTAATCCCAGCTACTCAGGAAGATAAGGCAGGAGAATCGCTTGAACCCAGGAGGCGGAGGTTGCGGTGAGCGAAGATCGCGCCATTGCACTCCAGCCTAGGCAACAAGAGCAAAACTCCATCTCAAAAAAAAAAAAAAAAAATTACACCAGAAATAAGTTATAACCCATGGAATAAAATCTGAATCCATGAGTAGAAGCTGATAATACATACCTACACACACGCATACATGAAAACGGAAAGCCCTTCTTTGCAGTACTATGCCAATTAATAAATGCAGAAGGAAGGATGGAATTCAAAAATAAAAATCTATAGGCATCAGAGTAAAATCACCGGATGCAGAAACTAGCAGGTGAAGGTGTGATGAGGAATAGACATTTACACAGTCTCAAAGTACCTCCCCGTAAATTATAATACCTTTTCATTGACAAGGGGAAACAGTAATTTTGCAGTGGAAAAACCTGACACACAGCACCCTAAGTGATGAAAGTTAATGTCATCAATAATAAACAAGCTGAGTCATGAGCTCCCAGATATGCTGCACTGAGAAGGACACAAAGTCACTCCTGGGTGTTCCTGCCAAGAATGCACACTCTGAATCTAACCATGAGGAAAAGCAGACAGCCCCAAGTTGAGGGGAATCTGCCAAATAATTTTTAAAAATTAGCTGGGCAGGGTGGCACATATCTGTGGTCTCAACTAAGAGGCTGAAGTGGGAGGATTCCTCGAGCCCAGGAGATAGAGGCTGCAGTGAGCCGTGTTCACACCACTGCACTCCAGCCTGGGCCACAGAGCCAGACTCTGTCTCAATTAAAAAAAAAAAAAAAGGGGGGGGGTTGGGGGCAGGCGCGGTGTCTCATGCCTGTGATCTTAGCACTTTGGGAGGCCGAGGCGGGCAGGTTACCTGAGGTCAAGAGGTCAAGACCAGCCTGGCCAACATGATGAAACCCCATCTCTACAAAGACACAAAAATTAGCTGGGCATGATGGTGGGTGCCTGTAATCCCAGCTACTCAGGAGGCTAAGGTGGAAGAATTGCTTGAACCAGGAGGCAGAGGTTGCAGTTAGCCAAGATCATGTCATTGCACTCCAGCCTGGGTGCCAGAACGAGACTCCATCTCAAAAAAAAAAAAAAAAAAAAAAAGGTCTGTACTCTTCAACAACGCCGATGCCAATGTCATGAAAGACATAAATACCCTAAGGAACTGATGCAGATCCAGATTTAAAGACACAGGACAACTAAACACTGCATCTTGCATGAGGTCCTGGACTGTGACAGCTGGGAAATCTGAATTAGATTAACAACACTGCAAAAACGGGAAATTTCTTAGTTTTGTTAATTGTACTGTAGTATCCTTCTCCTTTAGGAACCAGACACATCAGTATTTAGGGATGAAAGAAACACGAGGTTTGTAATTTACTCTAAAATGGCTCAGAAGAACACAGTGAAAGCAAATGTAGCAAATTTTAACAGTTGGGTGAAGGACGACATTGAGGAGTTCTTTGTTCTATTCTTGTAACACTTCTCTGAATTTGAATCTTTTATTTTTTTGAGACTGGGTCTGGCTCTGTCATCCAGACTGGATTGCAGTGACACAATCAAAGCTCACTGCAGCCTCTAAGTCCTGTGCCCAAGTGATCCTCCCACCTCAGCCTCCCAAGTGGCTGGGACTACCGTTGCATGCCCACCATGCCCAGCTATTTCCTTTATTTTTATTTTTGTAGAGACTGTGTCTCACTACAATACTGAGTCTGGTCTCAAACTCCTAGGCTCAAGAGGGCCTCCCACCTCAGCCTCCCAAAGTGTGGGGAGGTATAAGCCACCAGACCCTGCTATTTTTTTATTTTTTGTAGGGATGGAGGGGTGGCATGGGTCTCACTATGTTGCCCAAGCTGGTCTTGAACTCCCACGCTCAAGCAAACCTCCTGCCTTAGCCTCCCAAAATGCTGGGATTACAGGTGTGAGCCACCACACCTAGCCTGAAATTATTTAAAAATACAAAAATTGGGGAGGGAAAAAACCTACTTCAAGCTACATTCACCTCCTTGAAAGTAGGAGATTCTGGGAAAGCCAAAGTCTGCAGTGCTCCTGGGAGAGCTGCAGGAGTGGGGAGCTACAAGAGGAAATGGAGTATTAGACCCTACCTGCTAACAATGTAGAAAGAAATTAAGAGCAGCCAGTGGGTGGGAACAGATGAAACATGCTGATAAGTCTTGAAGCTGCATCATGAAAATTATGTTTGAAAATTCCAGCCGGGCATGGTGGCTCATACCTATAATCCCAGCACTTTGGGAGGCCAAGGCGGGCAGATCACTTGAGGTCAGGAGTTCAAGACCAGCCTGGCCAACATGGTGAAACCCCATCTCTACTAAAAATAGAAAAATTAGCTGGGCGTGGTGGTGTGAACCTGTAATCCCACCTGCTCAGGAGACTGAGGCAGGAGAATTGCCTGAACCTGGGAGGCGGAGGTTGCAGTGAGCGGAGATTGTGCCACTGCACTCCAGTCTGGGCAACAGAGCGAGACTCCGTCTCAAAAAAAAAAAAAAAGAAAATTCCTCTAGTAAAAAGATGTTAAGGCTGGGCGCAGTGGCTCATGCCTGTAATCCTAGAACTTTGGGAGGCCAAGGCAGGCGGATCACAAGGTCAGGAGATTGAGACTATCTGGCTAACACAGTGAAACCCCATCTCTACTAAAAAAAAATACAAAAAATTAGCCAGGCGTGGTGGTGGGTGCCTATAGTCCCAGCTACTCGGGAGGCTGAGGCAGGAGAATGGCGTGAACCCAGGAGGCGGAGCTTGCAGTGAGCCGAGATTGTGCCACTGCCCTCATGTCCCTGGGGGACAGAGCGAAACTCCGTCTCAAAAAAAAAAAAAAAAGATGTTAAAAAACTGAACTGGCAACATCAAAAGCTGGGTTCTACCCAGAGATGACTAGAACTACCTTTAAGAGGCAAACCAGCACTTTTGGGCAAGTCTTTTTGCAGCCATGGCCAGGGCGAATGTCCCCTCAGAGAGAAGTCAGCCCAGGTTGACCATCCGCCACTGCGGGACGTGAGTGAAACCCTGCATTACAGCATCCCTCTGCCAAAGGCAGGCAGAAAACAGCCAGCTGAGTTTCCCAGCCAATGTCCAAGTCCACCCAGGGAAAACAAGGGAGCAAATGAAAGAACGAATTCTGTCCGTGGAAGAGGAGAATGTCAGTTAGGGCAACCATCGCCCATCAGGTCCTTCCCCAGGAAAAGATGCTGCGGGAAGACTAGGCCACGGTGAGAGGAGTTACCTAACCGCACTGTGACCCACTTACCCTACACAACTGTATGCACGATTTGACACCACTCTGCAAACATTGTTCCACACCAAGAGCAAGGGGCAAGCCCATGGGGCTGAAATGTCCCATGTTAACGACAGCTTCCCCACTCCACACCCTCAAAGCTTTTTCCTTTTCTTTCCTTCTTTCTTTTTTCTTTTTCTCTCTCTCCCCTTCCTTCCTTCCTATCTCTCTCTCTCTCTCTCTGTCTCTCTCTCTCTTTCTCTTTCTGACGGAGTTTCACTCTTGTCACCCAGGCTGGCATCCAATGGCGCAATCTCGGCTCACTGCAACCTCTGCCTCCTGGGTTCAAGTGATTCTCCTGCCTCAGCCTCCCGAGTAGCTGAGATTACAAATACACACCACCACGTCCAGCTAATTTTTTGTATTTTTAGTAGAGACAGGGTTCCACCATGTTGGTCAGGCTGGTCTCGAACTCCTGACCTCAGGTGATACACCCACCTTGGCCTCCCAAAGTGCTGGGATTACAGGCGTGAGCCACCGTACCTGGCCACCCTCAAAGCTTCTGCATTTGTCTCATCCTAGAATTCCCTCCTGAAACAACCTCAGGACTGCCTTCCCTTTAGGCAAGACAGTCTCGCATCCGGAAACAGGGTCTCTGTGGTCCATCTCTGAGATTCAAACCTCCCCATCTTTGGGAAGATTTGCAATTACCAGAAATAACCTGGCTCTAAATAGAAGACTTTATGAAACATGGCTGGAATGTTAGGTACATAGGCTACGTACGCCATTGTCATCCTAGAAGATTTGTTTTTCTAAGAAAAAGCCCACTGCCCTGTTGCAATCCACATTTTCCAACAGACTCTGATCTGATTTGCCTGCTACCCAACCCAGCCACATGCACAACGTGCTACGGCTGGTGCCAGCAACAGCAGCAATAGCTACAACCAATACCACAAACAATATAACCACTGGAAAACATCCACTTAAATAACTCTGGGTTTGAAGATAAAATCACAACAGTAATTACAAACGATCAGAGCACAGTAAAATTTATGGGATGGCAAATTGGTACAACACTAGAAAACTGATGGTGTCTACTAAAGGTAAGCATACATCCACCCTATGAACCAAAGCTCCTAGATCTGTACATACGCAATAGAAATGTATGTGTGTGTCCTTCAAAATACATGTCCTGAGAGTGTTTATGTCAGCGTTGTTCATGATGGCCAAAAACTGGAAACAACTCAAATGTCTACCAATAGGAGAATGGAGAAATAAATTATGGTGTATTCATAAAACAGAACACTACACCCAAATACAAAGACAGGCCATGGCCGGGCGCAGTGGCTCACGCCTGTAATCCCAACACTTTGGGAGGCCGAGGCAGGCAGACCACCTGAGGTCAGGAGTTCAAGACCAGCCTGGCCAACATGGCGAAACCCTGTCTCTGCTGAAAATACAAAAATTAGCCACGCATGGTGGCAGGTGCCTGTAATGTCAACTATTCAGGAGGCTGAAGCAGGAGAACTGCTTGAACCTGGGAGGTGGAGGTTGCAGTGAGCCAAGATTGCACCATTGCACCCCAGCCTGGGCGACAAGAGTGAAACTCCATCTCAAAAAAAATAAAAATAAAAATAAAAGACAGGCCAGGCATGGTGGCTCATGCCTGTAATCCCAGCATTTTTGGAGACCAAAGTGGGAGGATCACTTGAGACCAGCCTGGGCAATATAGCGAGATCCCATCTCTATTAAAAAAAAAAAAGACTATTGACACATGCAAAAAAAGGTCATATATCTTTAATCTCAAAGATATAAAATGAAAAGCCAGGCACAAGAAAACATACTGCATGTTCTCACTAATATGAAATTCAATACTAGGCAAAGCTGAACAATAGTGATAGAAGTCAGAATAGTGGTTATTTCAGGGAGGAGAAATTAACTAGAAGGGACAATGGGAAACTTCTGGGGATGCTAGAAATATGCTATGTCTTGATGTGGGTGATGATTACGCAGCTGTGGACACATGTACATATTCAAGTTGTAACACTAAGAATGTTTTTTGTTTTGTTTGTTTGTTTGAGATAGGGTTTTGCTCTGTCACCCAGGCTGGAGTGCAGCATGATTACAGCTTACTGCAGCCTCTATCTCCCAGACTGAAGCAATCCTCCCACCACTGCCTCTCAAGTAGCTGGGACTACAGGTGTGCAACACCACACCTGGCTAATTTTTTTAAATTTCTTTTTTGTAGAAACAGGGTCTCACTATGTTGCCCAGACTGGTCTCAAATTCCTGAGCTCAAGCAATCCTACCACCTCAGCCTCCCAAAGTGCTAGGATTACAGACATAAGCTACTGCACCTGGCTGCCCTTTCATTTTCCTTTTTCTTTTCTTTTTTTTTTTTTTTTTTTTTTTTTGGAGAAAGGGTCTTGCTCTGTCACCCAGGCAGGAGTGGAGTATCACAATAACAACTCGCTGCAGCCTCAGCCTCCTGGGCTCAAGCAATCCTCCCGACTCAGCCTCCCGAGTAGCTGGGACCAGAGGCACACACCACCACACCTAGCTAATTTTTTTAAATCTTTGTAGAGATGAGTTTTCAATGCTACATTGAAAGAAAAAAAATTCAATATCCAGGGGTGAAAATTCAAAGACAAGTACAAAGCAAACATGTTTTCATTATTAAACAAAAATAGACAAGGATAGGCCAGGCACGGTGGCTCACGCCTGTAATCCCGGCAGTATGGGAGACTGAGGCAGGTGGATCACCTGAGGTCAGGAGTTCAAGATTAGCCCAGCCAACATGGTGAAACCCCATCTCTACTAAAAATACAAAATTAGCCGGGCATGGTGACGTGTGCCTGTAACCCCAGCTACCAGCTATTTGGGAGGCTAAGGCAGGAGAATCACTTGAAACCAGGAGGCAGAGGTTGCAGTGAGCCAAGATCATGCCATTGCACTCCATCCTGGGCAAAAAGAGATAAACTCCATCTCAAAAAAAAAAAGACAAAGATAAATGCAGTAAGCTTTCAACCTGAAAAGCTATAAATGAATGAATGAATGAATGAATGAATGAATGAATGAATAAATAAATAAATAAATAAAACAGATCTAGGGCAAATAGTAGAAAAGTTAATAAAGCTAAAGACAGAAATTAATATTACAAAATATGGTATCTGACAAATCCAAGAAGTTGTTCTATGAAAAGTAAATTTAAAAGCAAAAATGAAAAACAAAAATGTTTAAGTTAGTCAAGAAAAAAACTGGGGAAACACACAAATAGCAAAAATTTAAAGTAAAAAATATTACAGACGTTTTTAAACTGAGAATGATATTTAAAACCCTTATTCTAATAAATTTGAAAATCTCATGAACCGATTTTCTCAGAAAAAAATGAGTTAACAAAATTGAGTCAAGACGAAACAAAGAAGCTGAACAAACCAGTAATTATGGGGGGGAAAACTGAAAAAAAAAGTCATCAAAGAATTATTTCAAAGCAAGATGCCAGACCCAGTTGGTTTTATGGGTGAGCTCTTTGCTGCACTCATGGAACAGATAATTCCCATGTTATAGAGACTGTTCCCAAAGTTGGAAAGCACATCAATTTACTTTATAAAATTAGCTTGGCCTTGATTCCAAAGCTGACAAAAATAGACCAAAGCTACAGACAAATTACCACTAACGAATATAGATGGAAAACCCCAATATAAAATATTAACAAACAATTCTAACAAAATTTTCAAGGAATAGTCTATCTTGAGCAACTAGGTATATTCTAGAAATTCTAAGATAATTACTATTAGGAAATTCATATAATAGATTTTTAAAAATCTTTTCTAGAGACAGGGTCTCACTCTGCTGTCCAGCCTAGAGTGCACTGGCACAATCATAGCTCACTGCAGCCTCAGAATCCTGGACTCAAGTGATCCTCCTGCCTCAGTCACCCAAGTAGGTGGGACTACAGGCGTACACCATCACACCTGGCTAATTTTTTTTTTAATTTTTAGTAGAGACAGGGTCTTGCTATGTTTCCCTGTCTGGTCTCAAACTACTGGCCTCAAGTGATCCTTCTGCTTCAGCCTCTCAAAGTGCTGAGATTACAGGTATGAGCCACTGTGCCCAGTTGTAGAAATTAATATAGTAATTTAAAGAAGAAAAATCATATAATCATTCCAATGGCTGCTTAATAGATATTTGATACAAAGTCAACACCCAACCTGGGCAACATAGTGAGATACCATCTCTAAAAAAAAAAAAAAAGAAAAAAAATTAAATTAGTAACACACCTATAGTCCCAGCTACTCCAGAGACTGAGATGGGAGGATTGCTTGAGCCTGGGAGGTAGAGGCCACAGTGAGTGGTAATCATGCCACTGCACTCCAGCCTGGGCAACAAAGCAAGATCCTGTCTCAAAAAAAAACTCAACATCCTTCCTGACTTTTTTTTTAACCTGCAATGATTAATAAATCAAAAAGATTCCCAGTCAGAAAGGTGCCAAAAAATAAAATAAAAAAAGAAGAAGAAAGCAAAAAGGTTACTAATACCCAGCCTTACACCTAGAAGTTATTTACTAGAGGGCATTTCTCTATCACCACTAAAACAGAAAGTTTTATGCAAAGCAACTAACACAAAATAGAAATATAATTATCTCTTAGGATTAACAAAATTATCAGTGTCACAACCCACATAAAAGTCTACCAAGCAGGCTGGGCGCAGTGACTCACGTCTGTAATCCCAGCACTTTGGGAGGCCGAGGCAGGCAAATCGCCTGAGGTCAGGAGTTTGAGACCAGCCTGGCCTTAATGATGAAACCCCGTCTCTACCAAAAATACAAAAATTAGGCATGGTGTTGGGCGCCTGTAATCCCAGCTACTCAGTAGTCTGAGGCACGAGAATCGCTTGAACCCAGGAGGTGGAGATTGCAGTGAGCCAAGATCATGCCACTGTACTCCAGCCTGGGTGACAGAGTGAGACTCCATCTCAAAAAAAAAAAAAGTCTACCAAGCAAACTCAAAAGAAACTACTGCAAACCTATACTAAAGGACTCAGTAAACTGACAGATTACAAAAGAAAATGCAGAAACAGCCATTTACCAACAATACTGAGTTAGAAGACAGAATAAGAAAAGATCCCACTGAAAATAATACCAAAGGTTTTTAAAATTTAAAGTGGAATCTATTTAAAGATAACTTCAAAATTATTTGAATTAATTTAGAAACATTCCATGTTCCTATGTGGGGAGTTCAGTATGAAAATTCCCCATTACGTTAACTTTACATATGACAGGACTCCATAAAATCTCAAGAGATTTTTTAGGGGGCATGGGGAGTAGGAAGAGGAGAGAATCTGATGAAACTGTTAAGGTTCATCTAGTGATGTGATATATGCAAAGAAAAGAAGCATGAAGACTTTGAAAAAAAAGAGAAACTTAACTGCCAGATATTAAAACATAATTTTACAATAGCATAGACAGAGTGATTTGGAAAGGCTAATAAAACGATGGATTCAATGGAAAGTCCCTAAGCAGGCCCAAATACACATATGTTTTTAATATAAGCTGAAGCAACTCAAGTCATTGGGGAAACAGATGGATTATTCAATAAGTAGTGCTAAACCAATCAGCTACATATTAGGGAAAAAAATGAATTAGATCCCTATTTGTACTGGGCACAAAAATAAACTCATGTGGATGCAGAATTAAATGTGAAAAAATAAAATCATAAACACCCAGGAAAAAATAAAATCATAAACACCTAGGAAAAAATAGAGGTGACCATTTACCTCATCTCAGAAGGGGGAATGCCTTCCAAAGCATGAAAGAAAATGCTGAAAACATAAAGGGTGACAGATTGGACTACAGAAAGTTAAAAACATACAAAGTTAGAATGCAAATGAAAAACTAGAAAAACATTTACAAATGGTAAGACGAAGAATAATAACCTTAACAAATAAAGAGTTCTTTCAATACCAAAAGAGAAAAATGCACACTTCAATATAAAAATGAGCAAAGGACATTAATAGGGCAATAAACACTTTTTTTTAATCCTTCAGTAGCCTTCAACAAATCACAGCTTTAAAAAGTAGGGTGGAGGCTGCTCTGCCATTCTTTATTCCTTTACTTTATTTTTTTTTGAGACGGAGTCTTGCTCTGTCATCCAGGCTGGACTGCAGTGGCACAATCTCAGCTCACTGCAACCTTCGCCTCCCAGGTTCAAGTGACTCCCCGGCCTCAGACTCCTGAGTAGCTGGGATTACAGGCGTGCGCCACTGTGCCCAGCTAATTTTTGCATTTTTAGTAGAGACAGGGTCTCACCATATTGGCTAGGCTGGTCTCGAACTCCTGGCCTCAGGTGATCAACCTGCCTCCGCCTCCCAGGTCTGGGATTACATGTGTAAGTCACTGCGCCCTGCCTTCCTTTACTTTCTTAACAAATTTGCTTTCACACACACACACAAAAAAGCAGGGTGGAAGTGGGGGGCCTCAGAGATAGAACAACCAATGAATGGACCTTCCCAAACCCAGGTTCAAGCAAACCAAATGTAAAACTGCAAAACGACATGTTGAGAAAAATGGTGAAACTATGAACAGGTTATTAGACATAAATAGGAATTCATGTCACTATTGCTAAATGTGATAACGATACAGTAATTGTGTAAGATAATGTTTTTTTTATGTAAATGTTCCAAAGTAAAAAAAAAATAGAAAAAAGTAGAAGAATTAAAATAAAGAAAATGTCCTGTTTTAACAAGATGCATGCTGAAGAATCTAGGATAAAATGTCAGGACGTCTAGAATATACTTTAAAATACTTCTTATTGAGAGGCCAGGAGATCAGAGCAAAAAAGTAAAAAATAAGAAAATAAAAATAATTCAGCCAAAAAGAAACAGGAAAAGCAAATCCATCATAATGTTAATAGTTATCAAATAGGAAAAAAAAAGGCTTTTTTTTTTTACAAGTAATATCCAATATATGCCAAGGTACAATACAAACCAGAAATTTCAGCCACTGCTGATGGGAAGGTAAATTGTACAGGTCTCATAAGTATTTATTTGAAATGCTTGGGACTGGAAGTGTTTTGGATTTCAGATTTTTTCAGATTTTGGTATATTTGCACATACATAATAAGATATCTTGGGCCAGATGCGGTGGTTTATGCCTGTAATCCCAGCACTTTGGAAGGCCAAGGTGGGCAGATCACTTGAGGTCAGGAGTTCGAGACCAGCCTGGCCAACATGGTGAAACTCCCGTCTCTACTAAAAATAAAAAAATTAGCTGGGCATGGTGGCAGGTACCTGTCATAATCCTAGCTACTTGGAAGCTTGAGGCAGGAGAATCACTTGAACCCAGGAGACAGGGGTTGCAGTGAGCCGAGATCGCGCCACTGCACTCCAGCCTGAGCGACAGTGCGAGACCCTGTCTCAAAAAAAAAAAAAACAAAAGGAAAGAAAAATCTTCTGACGCATGTTACAACATGAATAAGCCTTGAGGACATTATGCTGACTGAAATAAGCCAGTCATAAAAGGACAAATACTGTATGGTTCCACTAACATAAGCTACCTGGAAAAGCCAAATTCACAGAAGCAGAAAGTAGAGCGGTAGCTGCCAGGTGCTGGTGCGAGGGGAGGATGGGGGAGTCATGGTTTAATGGGACAGAATTTCAGTTTTGCAAGGTGAAAAGAGTTCTGGGGATAGATGGTGGTGATGGTTGTACAAGGTGAATGTACTTAACACCACTAACCTATACACCTAAAAATTATTAACGTGATTAATTTTACATCATGTGTATTTTATCACAACTAAAAATAAATATAGGCCAGGCACGGTGGCTCATGCCTGTAATCCAGCACTTTGGGAGGCCGAGGCGGGCAGATCACGAGGTCAGGAGATCGAGACCAGCCTGGCCAACATAGTGAAACCCTGTCTCTGTTAAAAATACAAAAATTAGCCGGGCATGGTGGTGGGTGCCTGTAGTCCCAGCTACTCGGGAGGCTGAGGCAGGAGAATCGCTTGAACCCAGAAGGCAAAGGTTGTGGTGAGCCAAGATCGCGCCACTGCACTCCAGCCTGGGCAACAGGGCAAGACTCCGTCTCAGAAAAAAAAATAAATAAATAAAAATAAATATATATTGATACATTTTTAAAGAGAAAAAGGCATATTGCAAAATAATATGTTCATGTATAATCTCAATTTAGTTTCATTGATGTCATAAACATCAATATACGTCTACAAATATAAAAAAAGATCAGAACAAGGATCTGAGGGGAAAAAATTATTTAAAAGATAAAATTTAAAAGCTCAAAAATGTATACATCAAAATGTTAACAGTAGTCAGGTATAGTGGTGCACGCCTGTGGTTCCAGCTATTCCGGAGGCTGAGGCAGGAGATGGCTTGAGGCTGGGAGTTTGAGGCTACAGTGAGCTGTGATCGTGCCTATAAATAGCCACTACACTCCAGCCTGAGCAATATAGGGAGATCCCATCTCAATCTAAAAATTAATTAATTGGCCAGACGCAGTGGCTCGCATCTGTAATCCCAGCACTTTGGAAGGCCAAGGCAGGCGGATCACTTGAGCTCAGGAGTTCCAGACCATCCTGGCAACATAGTGAGACCTACTCTCTACTAAAAATATGAAATACAGCCAGGCCATGGTGGCGTGTGCCTGTAGTCCCAGCTACTAGGGGTGGGGGCTGAGGTGGGAGGATCACTTGAGCCCAGGAGCAGAGGCTACGGTGAGCCGAGATTGCACCACTGCACTCCAGCCTGAGTGACAAAGTGAGAAACCTGTCTCAAAAAATATATATATATAAAAATAAAAATTAATTAATTAAAGTAAAATTGCTTTTTTTTTTTTTTTAAGACTTGCTCTGTCACCCAGGCTGGAGTGCAGTGGCGCAATCTCGGCTCACTGGAACCTCCACCTCCCGGGTTCAAGCGATTCTTCTGTCTCAGCGTCCTGAGTAGCCGGGATTACAGGCGCCCACCACCATCCCTGGGTAATTGTTGTATTTTTCTTAGTAGAAACAGGGTTTCGCCATATTGGCCAGGCTGGTCACGAACTCCTGACCTCAGGTGATCCACCCGCCTCAGCCTCCCAAAGTACTGGGATTACAGGCGTGAGCTACCACCCCCGGCCATAAAATTGCTTTTAAAAAAACATTAAGAATAACTATCAGGCTGGGTGCAGTGGCTCACGCCTGTAATCCCAACACTTTGGGAGGATGAGGCGGGCAGATCACCTGAGGTCAGGAGTTCAAGACCAGCCTGACCAACACAGTGAAACCTCATGTCTACTAAAAATACAAAAATTAGCTGGGAATGGTGGCACATGCCTGTAATCCCAGCTACTTGGGAGGCTGAGGTGGTAGGATCGCTTGAACCTGGGAGGCGGAGGTTGCAGTGAGCCGAGATTGCACCACTACACTCCAGCCTGGGCAACAGAGTAAGACTCCATCTCAAAAAAAAAAAAAAGAAAAAACAATAACTATTACTAGGTGCTGTGCTTAGGGGCAAATTTTGTTTTCTTTCTGTAATTTACAATTTCTACAAGGACTTTTGCTAACCAAAAGCAAAAGTATATTGGCTGGGCAAATGAAGAGGAAAAAAGGACCCTCATGCTGGTTGCTGCATCCTAATGTGAGGCTATCCACAAGTATATTTCCAAATATTGCAATAAATAGAATTCTCCCTGATGATCAAATTACAAAAGGCTGGCTAGGGTTTGGGAAAATAAACACCAATTCAGAAGACAAAGCAATCAGGGAGTTCTCTGCAGGATTAAAGTGGAGGCACATCTCTGGTTTTAAACAATTCCTCGGGCCAGTGTGGGTTCAGCACATCTCTATGTGCCCAGCCGAAAAGAAAAGACCAGAGGAGGCTCAAAGACCTTTCAAGTGGCCCATCGCTTAAAAGGACAGGCTTGGAGAGAAAAGAAAGACTCTTAAATCATGTAACACGCTCGCTGGGACGCAACTCTCCCCGCCCCCACCTCTCTCTTAAGCTACATCCACTTTCAGAAAATACTTTCCAGATATCAAGAGAAAAAGGAGCCTTTCTTTCCATGCCATTCATTCGCCACATATGGTACTGCTCTGAATAGAGGCCTTATGAAGGAGGGTCCAATACCACCGCCATGGGCCATGCCACTGACCACAAACAGCAATAAATAGATGAGGATTTATATGTCCGTGACGTAGAGGCACGTTGGCTAATTCAGATGGCGCGTCCATCACGTTCCAACATCCAGTAAATGTTTACTGAGTGCCGAGTAAGCACAGGGCACTATTTGTAATACTATCCCAGACACACACGTGCACACATGCACACAGGCATGCACACACACACATATACGTATACACACAGCTCCTTTGTTCTGTTTTAGGGCTGAGGCTAGAAAAGCAATGATTTAGGCTAGAGGTATTTGACAGTTTCATTCAACATATCACACATCTCCTGCAACGGGAAGAGGAGCAGAGGCAGACAGAAAGTTTCCAGTCCCTAAGGAAGGATAAAGGGCAACACACCACTGCATCACATTACTAGAGGCCCTGGACAAAGAGGGCTAAACTCTGTAGTGGAGGCAGAGAGGAGCCCTCAGCCTTCCCAAAACTCCAAAGACAGCATCCAAGGAGAACAGAGGTACTGCAGCCCCTAGTCCTGGGGGAAATTGCAATACCAGGTTGATCTGCCAGGTCCTCCCATCCCCACCCAAGAATCACGTCGGCACCCCCTTCATCATACGTACTTTTGCCCCCATTGTTCTTCAAGACGTTGGAGAGGTTGACAGATGCGGTGCCTAGCAGTTCATTTCTCAAGGTATGGCAGCTCCAGACCTTTAAATCTAAATGACTCTGTGCCGTGACATTCCTGAAAAACAAATACCTGATTCATTACATCCAAGCAGATCATTCCTATAACTTAGAAGAAAACATTTAAACTAAACTGCTGACATCTTGGGGAGGGGGAACCAAAACAGGCAGACACCCACATATATCCTTTCCCCTCTCAAAGCTGACCCTGTAACCCTCTAGATAATAATGAACGCTCTATGAGCTCAATGGTGTAGGAACACCTAAAAAGAGTCACCTTGGGTACCATAGGTAGAAAAAGTCGGAGGTGCCACAGGGAATCTGTACCTCCCACAACCCCCTCGGAGCACCCTCTCTCTTTCCCCATCTTGCTGCGTTCAAAAAGAAGGGGCTTTCTCTTACAAAATGATGATCTCATTCCAGAGAAGCTCAGAGCTCCCAATGCGCTTCCCAGTCTTCTTGGTCTCACTGGGGAGTCCATCCACCGCCACCTCCACGTAGGAGTTAATTCGAGGTTGACGATTATGCACCTTGGGCTTTGCGGACACCACTGGGAGAGAAAGAAAGAAAAAGTCAAAGATGAGTCCCAGGGCTCCCAGATGCCCCCCTGTGGCAGATGTTCCGGCTCTTTTTAGTTATTGCTTTAAAAAATAAATCAATACATTTTGTTTTG
Organism: Homo sapiens; assembly: GCF_000001405.40. Lineage (NCBI taxonomy): Eukaryota > Metazoa > Chordata > Mammalia > Primates > Hominidae > Homo > Homo sapiens. Next base: position 69,798,558 of record NC_000016.10, on the reverse strand, counting down.
TCTTGATTCTAAAAACTTTTTAAAGAAATGTGAGTACACACACCAAAAAAAATATGAAGTGTAAAAAAAAAAAAAAAATCCCTAACCTGAAACCACTGGGATAACTGCCAGTGATCATCATCACCAATTTATCGTTGGTAAATTGCCTTCCAGATTTTCATCTTTTATTTATTCAATTCTTTAAAAATTCTTCACCCCCATAAGTCACTCTTAAATGACTGCAATACAAGCCCATAATAGGTATATGTTAACTATTCTTTCATTGTCGAATAGACTGCTTGCAATTGTTCGCTCTGGGGAAATTACCGTGAACATATACATCTGCATGCCTTTCTTGAGTATTCCTCCAAAGGATACGAACACTTTTTAAAGTTCTTAAAACTGCCCATTCCTTTCCAAGAAAGGTAAACCCATGTAGCCTCCCATCAGTGCTACAGGAGAATATTCATTTTACCAGACATCACAGAGTGCTAAGGGATATGCTTGTTCACTTTTTGCAAATCCATGGGTTAAAAACGCATGGTGTAAAGACAACAGCTAAGGCCGGGCGTGGCGGCTCATGCCTGGAATCCCAGCACTTTGGGAGGCCAAGGTGGGAGGGCTGCTTCAGCCCAGGAGTTCAAGACCAGCCTGGGAACATAACAAAATTTATAATTTTTTTTTTTTTTCTGAGATAGAGTTTGGCTCTTGTTGCCCAGGCTGGAGTGTAATGCCACAATCTCGGCTCACTGCAACCTCTGCCTCCCAGGTTAAGCAATTCTCCTGCCTTAGCCTCCTGAGTAGCTGGGATTACAGGCGCCCGCCACCGTGCCTGGCTAATTTTTGTATTTTTAGTAGAGACAGGGTTTCACCATGTTGGCCAGGCTGGTCTCAAACTCCTGACCTCAGATGATCTGCCTACCTTGGCCTCCCAAAGTGCTGGGATTACAGGCGTGAGCCACCGCACCTGGCCAATTTATAAATTTTAACTGAAATAAATAAAGATAATATTTAAGATTTTATGAGTACTTATTAAAGACCCTCTGCCATGTGCATACATTTTCTAACTGAATCCTCACAACAAACCCATGAGGCAGGGAATATATCATCACCCCATTTTACCCAGGAGAAAACAGGCTTGAGAGGCAAGGTCACTCTCCCACTCTACATAGCCAGGGAGCTACAAGCCAGACTGTGCACCCGGCCGGTCTGATTCCACATCATGCTGCATATTATTATTGAACTTTACTTATTTGTTCTATTGCTGTTCTTCGATTACCAGCAAGGTTGAATATTTTTGCCATGTGTCGTTAGTCATCTACATTTCTTCTTCCGCTCATAGCCTTCATGTGGCAACAATTCTGATGTTCGTTTGGGACCAGCAAGCCAAAGACTCATGGAGTACAAAGCTACACAAGCATCACACCGAGGAGCTAGACAGACATCCTAGTGTATATTACCCCTGGTGGAAACGCCAGGTCGCTAGGGTAAAACACATCTAGACGTCTCCCATCCTGCCCCAAATCAGAGATACAACTGATGCTCCCTTGCCTGTAATGGCAAGTCTATCCTAGCCTGAGCTTCCCTGTTTGAGTATAAGCAAATCCCTCCCTCCCAGACTCTTCTGAAAGGTGACAGTCCTACAATGGTGTCTACAACTTGGCAAAGGCCAAATTCACCTTCAGATTTTTTATAGCAGTAACTATCTTCCTCTGGCCCCAAAGGAACAGAAGGGAGGAAGACAACAGATAAAAAATCAGCTGTGGCTAAGATTCAGAAGCGACAAGGGAACAGTACTAGGGACAAAGGTTTGTGGTACTGAGGCATGGCCCAGGGTAGAAAAATGAGGTGCAGTGATTTACACACGGACCAAGGTTAACTGAGGCCACCTGGTGGTAAGAGCATGAATCTACATGCCTTTAAAAAATAGGGACTACAAATGGTGCATTACTTAGGACGTTTGACTTTACAGGGGTGCGAAAGCGATATGCATTCAGTAAAAACTGTATTTTAAATTTTGAATTTTGGTCTTTTCGCAGAATAGTCATATGCGGTACTACTGGGCAGCGGCAGTGAGCCGCAACACCAGTCAGCCACGTGATCACAGGGGCAAACAATTGATACTCTGCCGTGTACCCCTTCACCAGATGATCTTGCCTAGCTGCGGGATATCGAAGTGTCCTGAGCACATTTAAGGTAGGCTAGGCTAAGCTATGATGCTCGGCAGATTAGGAGTATCAGATGCATTTTCAACTTGCGATATGTTCAACTTATGATGGGTTTTTCAGGACGTAACCCCACTGTAAGTTGAGAAGTATCTGCGCTCATACACATACACACTTTTTCCTGAAACTCTGAGAGTAAGCTCTAGACATTGTGCCCCTTTACTCCTAAATATTTCTGGGTGTATTTCCCAACAAACACATTTTTTAACATAACCAATAGCACAATTATCAAAATCAGGACATTTAACTTTTTATAATACTAATATTTAATTTACAGACTTTATTCGTATTTTGCCAATTGTCCTATCGATGCCCATCATCGCAAAAAAAAAAAGAAAGAAAAAAAAATTTGTTCTGGTCCAGGCCCCAATCTAGGATCATACTGGCATTTAGTACTCTTATTTTGAAGCAGGGCATGGTGGCTCACGCCTGTAATCCCAGCTCTTTGGGAGGCCGAGGCAGGCAGATCACTTGAGGCCAGGAGTTTGAGACCAGCCTGGGCAACATGGCTAAACCCTGTCTCTACCAAAAATACAAAAACTAGCTGGGCGTGGTGGGGCACAACAGTAGTCCCAGCTACTCAGGAGGCTGAGGCATGAGAACTGTTTGAACCCAGGAGGCGGAGGCTACAGTGAGCTGAGACCACACTCCAGCCTGGGTGATGGAGAGAGACTCTCACAAAAAAAAAAAAAAAAAAAAAAAAAACCTCCTATTTTTAAGTTTCCAATCTATAGAAAAATTGAAATAGAACAATAAATACTGTATACTCTTCACCAATTGTTATCATTTTGCCACATTTGCTTTCTGTTCTATGTGTCTATAGCATCACTACCCAAGAGAACTTCCATGATGACGAAAATGTTCCACATCTGTGCTGCCCAATACATTGCCATGAGACACATGTGGCTATTGACACTTGAAATATGGCTAGTGCAAATAAGGATATGATTTTTAAATGTTATATAATTGTAATTTAAGTGTAAACAGTTCTATGTGGCTACAGTGACTATTCTATTGGACACCAAAGGTTATAGATAAATGCCATCTATGTCTCTGTGTATGTGTGTGTGTGTGTGTGTGTGTGTGTGTGTGTGTATCCGCATTTTTTTTCCTAGGTAAAACCATTAAAAAGTAAGTTGTAGACCGGCTGGAGTGCAGTGGCACGATCACGGCTCACTGCAGCCTCGACCTACCTGGCTGAAGCGATCCTCCCACCTCAGCTTCCTGAGTAGCTGGGACTACCAGTGCGCAACACCACGCCTGGCTAACTTTTTAATTTTTTTTGTAGAGACGGGATTTCACCCCATTGGCCAGGCTGATCTCGAACTCCTGGGCTCAAGGAATCCACCTGGACTCAAGCGATCTACCCGCCAGAGCTTTCCAAAATGCTGGGATTACAAACATGAGCTACTGCCCAGTCCCCAGACATATTTTTAAAGCCATTTTTCCCCCAATTCAGTACCTAATCAATATATACAAATTGCCTGTGGCTACTATCTCCTTAATCTTTTAAAATCTAGAACATCCTCCCTTCTTTTCCATGGCAATGATTTTTGTTTGTTTAACTTTTTGGTTTTTTTCTTTTATAATCCCAGCAGCTTTGCCAAGGCAACAATGATTTTTAAAGACTTCCACCAGCTGTTTTAAAGAATGCAGCAAATTCTACATTTTTCTAATTGTGAAACTGCCTTTGCAAAATTATGACAGAGAAATCGGACATAGTTGATTCCATCTTACTTCTGATTTCTAGGCTGTCCTTGGTCATTCCTGGGCATGGGCCAAGCTAATTTTGGGAGAAATTTAGTTTATAGTTTCTTTTTTTTTTTGAGACCGGGTCTCCCTCTGCTGCCCAGGCTGGAGTGCAGTGGTGCAATCTCATCTCGCTGCAGCCTCCACCTCTGGGGCTCAAGCGATCTTCCCACCTCAGCCTCTCAAGTAGCTGGGACTACAGGTGTGAGCCACCATGCCTGGCTCATATTTGTATTTTTTGTAGAGACAGGGTTTCCATGTTGCCCAGGCTGGTCTCAAACTTTAAGCCTGAGCTCAAAGTCATCCACCCGCCTCAGCCTCCTAAAGTACTGGGATTACAGGCATGAGCCACCACACCCAGCCTATAGTTTAATCTTAAAGCAAGGATAGCTGGGCATGGTGGCTTATGCCTGTAATCCCAGCACTTTGGGAGGCTAAGGGAGGTAGATCACTTGAGACCAGGAGTTTGAAACCAGCCTGGCCAACTTGGTGAAACCCCGTCTCTACTACAAGTACAAAACTTAGCCGGGCGTGGTGGCGCACGCCTGTAGTTCCAGCTATTCAGGAGGCTAAGACACGAGAATCGCTTGAACCCAGGAGGCAGAAAGTGCAGTAAGCTGAGATTGTCCAACGCACTCCAGCCTGGGTAACAGAGCAAGACCCTGTCTCAAAAAAAAAAAAAAAAAAAAAAAAAGCAAGGATAATAACAGCCCTTCCCAAAACGAAACCACCTTTGTAAAACTAATCAACAGCCACAAGGTTAGGATTATGGGAGGGGCTTGAATTCTAATAAGAGGTAGGTATAGTTTCTATAATCCCTTACTGCTCAGGAGTCATGAAGCCAGAGGTCACAAGATTTGTGACTTCCCCAATTGCTCCCATAGATAACATCGCTATTGCAGAACCTAAGGTTGGTCTTTTGAGATTTTTTCTTTCTGGCAATCTACTGACTTTGCCTGGGCCCGTGACTTGACTCGTGAAACAAATTATCCTGTGGCCCCACCCAGAAGTGGACTCAGCACAGGACCATTTTCCACACCTCTATAATCTCATCCCCAACCAATAAGCAGCACCCATTCCCTAGTCCCCTACCTGTCAAATTGTCTATAAAAACCCTAATCTCTGAGCCTCCAGGAAGACTGATCTGAGTGATAACTCTGTCTCCCATATGGCCTGTTTTGTGTCAATTAAACTCTTTCTCTAATGCAATGCTACAGTCCCAGTGAATTTATTTATTTATTATTATTATTTTTTTAGATGGAGTCTTGCTCTGTCACCCAGGCTGGAGTGCAGTGGTGCAATCTTGACTCACTGCAACCTCTGCCTCCCAGGTTCAAGCAATTCTCTGCCTCAGCCTCCCAAGTATCTGGGATTACAGGCGCCTGCCATCACACCCAGCTAATTTTTTTGTATTTTTAGTAGAGACAGGATTTCACCATCTTGGCGAGGCTGGTCTTGAACTCCTGACCTCATGATCCCACCTAGGCCTCCCAAAGTGCTCGGATTACAGGCATGAGCCACCGCGCCCAGCAGTGAATTTATTTTATCTGTGCAGTGGGCAAGAAGAACCCACTGGGTGATTACAATTGTTTCCTCATGATTAGATTCGGTTTAAAGGCCAGGCACAGTGGCTCACCCTGTAATTGCAACACTTTAGGAGGCCGAGGCAGAAGGGCCACCTGAGCCCAGGAGTTCGAGACAAGCCTGGGCACCACAGCAAGACCCCAAATCTACAAAAAATAAAATATTAGCCAGGTGTAGTGGCTCACACCTGTAGTTCCAGTTACTCGAGAGGCTGAGATAGGAGGATCCCTGGAGCCCAGGAGGTCGAGGCTGTAGTGAGCTGTAATTGTGCCACTGCACTCTAGCCTAGGTGACAGAGTGAGACCCTGACTCAAAAGAAAGAAGAATACTACATAAGTTATGTCGTGTACCTCTTACCACATACATTAGGTTGTCCTGCCATTGGGGATACTAAGTTTGAACATCTGCTTAATGTGGAGTTGGCCAGGTCTCTCCACTGACACATTTGTAACCTACAGTTAATCAGCAGGGTGATATTTTGAATATTTCTTGTTCTTAAAAGACAGGCTAAAATAAAGATATGAGCAAGTTTATCTAGAAAGTCTCTTTCATGAAATATATCTTTATACACAGAGTCACGACTTTATGTGAGATTTAGCTTTTAAAGTCAACAAATCAGGCAAAAATCATATAAAGACAAAATTATACACTGAAAAAGCTCTTAAGAAGGGACCACAATAGAGTCTGGCATCTGCTCTCTCAATAAGTTCCAAACAGCTTGTTTCTTGTTTTATTATACTATGCTTTTCAGAGATCAGTTTTTCAGTGTTTCTCTAGTAAAATATCAAATAAAATAGCTGTCCTACGTTTAAGGGCCTCGATGCATTTAAAAATATACCTTAAAACACCAGGATCACACTGTGGGCAGGCACAAGGGAACTGGAAACCGCGCAGTCACACCCCACAGGTTACACTATCAGCTTTCTTCATGAAATGCACGGGAAAAAGAACCACCTACGCTATTTAAATGGTTATTTCTCTCTTTCTCTTTCCCCCCACCATTTTCCTGAATGGTATTACCAAATCTGTGTAGGTTAAATATGTGTATAATGAGATACACCAGTATTATCAAGCTGGCTCTTTCCACCCTGGTAAGAAAATTCACCTTCAAGAAAGGCAACAAAAAAGCCTTTAGAAGTATGTGCTGGACAGGTGCAGAGGCTCACATCTATAATCCCAGCACCTTAAGAGGCCGAGGTGGGGGCCAGGCACGGTGGCTCACACCTGTAATCCCAGCACTTTAAGAGGCCAAGGTGGGAGAACTGCTTGAGTCCAGGAGTTTGAAACCAGCCTGGACAGCACAGCAAGACCTATCTCTATAAAAAAAATTTAAGAATTAGCTAAGTATGGTAGTGTATGCCTAAAGTCCTAGCTACTCAGGAGGCTGAGGCAGGAGGATTGCTTGAGCCTATTTTGAGGCTGCAGTGAGCTGTAATCATGCCACTACATTCCAGCCTGAGCAACAGAGAAAGACTGTCTCAAAAAAAGAAAAGAGGCCAGGTGCAGTGGCTTACGCCTGTAATCCCAGCACTTTGGCAGGCCGAGGTGGGTGGATCACCTGAGGTCAGGAGTTTGAGACCAGCCTGACCAATACGGTGAAACCCTGTCTCTACTAAAAATACGAAAATTAGCCGGGTGTGGTGGCAGGTGCCTGTAATCCCAGCTTCTTTGGAGGCTGAGGCAGGAGAATTGCTTGAACTTGGGAGGCAGAGGTTGCAGTGAACCAAGATCACGCCACTGCACTCCAGCCTCGGCGATAGAGCGAGACTCCGTCTCAAAAAAAAAAAAAGAAAGAAAAAAAGAAAAGAAGTAAGTGTGCGTGGCTGAATAACATGGCCCCAAAACAGAGACCTCAGGATGTTACCAGGTCCAATAGGCCAACTTCTGCTTTGACCTAGACTTGCTAATTATTAGCTAAGGTAATAAAGTCTGTAGCCCCCAGTTTAAAACCATATTAGTTCACTCTAACTCATCTCCCTACTCAAAAGGGCAGAAGCAAGGCAAAAGACTCCAAGAAATATAATTAAAATATTTCAAGACTACAAAAACAATCAATAATGTAATAAGAAACAGGCAAAGAACATGAACAGGCAATCCATAGGAAAGGAAATACAACCGCCCTTAAATATATAAGATGCTAAACACTGGCCGGGTGCAGTAGTTCACACCTGTAATCCCAGCACTTTGGGGGGCTGAGGCAGGCGGATCACTTGAGGTCAGAAGTTCGAGACCAGCCTGGCCAACATAGCAAAACCCCATCTCTACTAAAAATACAAAAATTAGCCAGGTGTGGTGGCACATGCCTGTAAACCCAGCTCCTTGGGAGGCTGAGGCATGAGAATCGCTTGAACCCAGGAGACAGAGGTCGCAGTGAGCCAAGATCACACCACTGCACCCCCGCCTGGGTGACAGAGTGAGACTCTGTCTCAAAAACAAACAAAAAAAAAGATGCTAAACATCATACAGTTGACCTTTAAACAAGAGAGGTTTGAACTACAAGGGTCCACTTTTACATGGATTTTCTCCTGCCTTTGCCACCCAAGAGATAGCAAAACCAATCCTTCCTCTTCCTCCTCCTCCTCAGCTACTCAACATGAAAATGATGAGGATGAAGACCTTTATGATGACCCACTTCCACTGAATAAATAGTAAAATTTTTTTCCTCCTTATGATTTTTTCTCTAGCTTATTTTATTGTAAAAATACAGTATATAATACATGTAACATACAAAATACGTGTTAATCAACTGTTTCTCTTTTTTTGTTGTTTTCTTTGAGATAGAATTTCGTTCTTGTTGCCCAGGCTGGAGTGCAATGGTGTGGTCTCGGCTCACAGCAACCTCGGCCTCCCGGGTTGAGGCGGTTCCCCTGCCTCAGCCTCCCAAGTAGCTGGGATTACATGCGCCTGCCACCACGCCTGGCTAATTTTTTTGTGTATTTTTAGTAGAGGCAGGGTTTTACCACATTGGCCAGGCTGGTCTCGAACTCCTGACCTCAGGGAATCTGTCTGCCTCAGCCTCTCAAAGTGCTGGGATTACAGGCGTGAGCCACCGCACCCAGCCAATCAACTGTTTCTGTTATTGGCAAGGCTTTCAGTCAACAGCAGGCTATTAGTAAAGTTTTGGGGGAGTCAAAAGTTACATGTGGATTTTTTTACTGAGCAGGGAATCAGCACCCCTGACCCTCATGCTGTTCAAGGATCAAATGCGTAAGTAAAGAAGTGGGAAATAAAACTACACTGAGAACACAAGCTTGCACCAATGAAACAGGCAAAAGTTAAAAGTCTGACAACATTGTGCTGGTAAAGATGTAGGGAAACAGGCACTCTCGCACATTGCTAGAAGGGTATTCCTTCCAAGGAAGGCAATCTGGCTCTCAAAATTACAAAAATGCATCCCTTTTGGTGTATCTTGGAAGAGACACACAAGAAACAATACTGGTTTTTTCCAAGGAGGAGCACTGAAGGACTGCAGGAAAGAATTTTGAACTATAGGAGGCTGGGCACGGTGGCTCACGCCCGTAATCCCAGCACTTTGGGAGGCCGAGGCGGGGAGATCATGAGGTCATGAGTTTGAAGCCAGCCTGCCCAATATGGTGAAACCCCATCTCTACTAAATATACAAAAAGTAGCCAGGCGCGGTGGCACACGCCTGTAGTCCCAGCTACTGAGGAGGCTGAGGCAGAAGAATTGCTTGAACCCGGGAGGCGGAGGTTACAGTGAGTCGAGATCGCACCACTGCACTCCAGCCTGAGCAACAGAGCGAGACTCCATCTCAAAAAAACAAACAAACAAAAAAGTTAGCCAGGCCTGGTGGCACACACTGGTAATCCCAGCTACTTGGAAGGCTGAGACAGGAGAACTGTTTTAACCTGGGAGGAAGAAATTGCAGTGAGCCGAGACAGCGCCACTGCAGTCCAGCCTGGGCGACAGAGCGAGACTCTGTCGCAAAATATAATAATAATAAAATTAAAAACTAAGATTTTTAAACTCCATGAGTATATTATATAAATAACATTTGCATTTCAAAAATACTCAAGAAAAATATTCCCAAGAGACACAATTTTGCCTCTGGAGGACCAGGCTGAGGGGTCTGAGCTCAGATACTGAGAGCCACTCTCCCATCTGTGATGGCTGCAGAGCTATGGAACCCGAAGCAATATTCTTTCGTTCAGGCACTATTTACTGAGGGCCCACTATGTGTCAGGCACTGTTCTACTGGCTGGGGTAGTTAACAGTGACCAAAGCGACAAAAATCTCTTACTGTGGATCTTACACTCTATTGAAGGAGACAGTCAACAAATGAAATAAATTAATTAAACAGGGACAAGGGCTGATAAGAAAAATATAAAGAAGAGAGGGAAATAGATGTGATGAAGTCAATGAGAAAGGTGGCGTTGGATCAGGGGATCAGGAAGAGGGTGGCTTTTGAGAAAACGCCTAAGGAAATAATGAAGCGAAAAGCATTTCACTCAGAGGGAACAGCAAGTGCAAAGGCCCAGAGGCAGACGCCTGCCCAGTGTATTCACTGAAGAGCAAGGAGGCTGGGGCACAGAGAATGTAGACCAGGAACAGGAGATGAGAAATGTGGGGTGGGGAAGGGTCACATCACATGGGAGCTTCGGCTTCTACTGTGAAATGGAGCACCCTTGAATGGTTTGAGCAGAGGAGTGACAAGACCCAGCTTACATTTTTTTTTCTGAGACATGGTCTCGCTCTGCTCTGTTGCCTGGGCTGGAGTGCAGTGGCACAATCACAGCTTACTGCAGCCTCGAACTCCTAGGCTCAAGTGATCCTCCTGTCTCAGCCTCTGATTTTTTTTTTTTAGAGACGGGGGTCTTGCTCTGTTGCTCAGGCTGGTCTCAAACTCCTGGGCTCAGGTGATCCTCCTGCCTTGGCCTCCCAAAGTGCTGATATTACAGGCATGAGTCACCACACCTGGCCCCAGTTTACCTTTTAACAAGATCACTGGCTGCTGTGTGACCAACAGACTGAAGGAGGGCAAAGTGCAGAAGCCGAGAGACAGGACAGGAGGCTACTGCCTTAACTCAGGGTGGAGACAATGGTGGCCTGGACTAGGCTGGGACCTAGGGGTGGTGAGAAGTGGCTGAATGTTGAGTGACACATTTTGAAGATCGAGTCAACCAGATACGCTGATGGGTTGATACAGACAATGAGGAAGAAAAACCAGGACCTCAGCTATAGACAGGCTAAATTTTAGATGTTTACTAAATATTCAAGTGAAGGTAACAAACTGGCTACTGGTTATAAATCAGGAGTTCAGAGGTAAAGCCCAGAGGAGTGATCTTCTATTGGTGGCATTTAAAGCCAGAGGTTGGAAGAAGCACCTAGGGAGCGAGTGCAGGTAGCAACGAGCCCTAGGGCATGAACAGGTCACCATTTTATTTTATTCAGTTTTTATTTTAATTTGTTTTTGGGACAGGGTCTCACCCTGTTGCCCAGGCTGAGTGCAGTGGTGTGATCACAGCTCACTGCAGCCTTGAACTCCCAGGCTCAAGCGATCCTCCCACTTCAGTGTCCTTAGTAGCTGGGACCAGCTAGCATGCACCACTATGCCTGGCTAATTATTTTATGTTCTGTAGAGACAGGGCTTCCCTATGTTTCCCAGGCTGGTCTTGAAACTCTGGGCTTAAGGGATCCTCCTGCCTCAGCCTCCCAAAGTGCTGAATTACAGGCGTGAGCCACTGCACCTGGCCTGAAATCACCATTTTAGACAATTTTAGCTAAAAGTTCCCTATTTTCCTGCTCCTTTATTTTCTTTCTTCTTCAAGAATTACAGCTACAAGATGACAATCCCATGAGAATAAATAATTAACACATGTAAACTATTTCACAAAATTTGGCTCCCCAGACCAAGGTGTGGTTAGATTCTCCCTCTTCCCTGGGCGTAGACAAGATGAAGACATTATACAGTGCCACTCACCTTTCAAAGTGAGCTGAGACTTCTCAAAAGGCAGGGCCACTCCTGCCCGGCTAGAGCTGGCAGATGCCATATCATCACCGTGAAGCTGTAAGACAAACAGAAAAAAGAATTCAGAGAATATCTGATAAGAAGACAGAGGAGTTTAACTCAATTTCAATATTTAAGCTTAAAGAAACAGGCAAGAAAATAGAAACGTCCAAGCAACTGCAACCAGGGTATAGTTTGTCTTATAATGACTTAATGAACCTGGACAGGTCTTAGGATAGACTAGAAAGGACACAGGACTGTTATAGCAAAGTCTAGAGGAGGCAGAGTCTACTAAGACACCTCTGCCAGGCATGGTCGCTCACGTCTGTAATTCCAGCACTTTGGGAGGCCGAGATGGCCAGATCACCTGAGGTCAGGAGTTTGAGACCAGCCTGACCAACATGGCAAAACCCCGTCTCTACTAAAAAATACAAAATTATCCAGGCATGGTGCTGCATGCCTGTAATCCCAGCAACTCTGGAGGCTGAGGCAGGAGAATCACTTGAGCCCAGGAGGCGGAGGTTGCAGTGAGCCAAGATCGGCCATTGCACTGCAGCCTGGGTGACAAGAGCGAAACTCCATCTCAAAAAAAAAAAAAAAAAAAAAAAAAAGATTGGCTGGGCGCAGTGGCTCATGCCTGTAATCCCCAGCACTTTGGGAGGCGGGTGGATTACAGGGTTGGGAGTTCAACACCAGTCTGGCCAAGATGATGAAATCCCATCTCTACTAAAAATACAAAAAAATTAGCCAAGCATAGTGGTGGGTGCCTGTAATCCCAGCTACTCAGGAGGGTGAGGCAGAGAATTGCTTGAACCCGGGAGGTGGAGGGTGCAGTGAGCCGAGATCGTGCCACTGCACTCCAGCCTGGGCAACAGAGCAAGATTCTGTCTCAAAAAAAGAAGAAAAAAAAAAAAAAGACATCTCCAAAAAGAACATCACAGATTCACAGCAGAAAGACAGCTAATCTAGTGTGCTAGCTGTAGAGCAAGTTTGCTGCAAACACCTCAAGGAGGGTCTCTGGCCAAATGAGTAGAATCTGACAGTAATCCTTGCTAAAAGTATAATGCAAGAAAAAAAAAAAGGAAAGAGAAAAAGAAGACAACTAATACAATTATTTAAATGGGTAGGCTGGGTGCAGTGGCTCATGGTCTGTAATCCCAGCACTTTGGGAGGCCAAGACAGGTAGATCATCTGAGGTCAGGAGTTCAAGACCAGCCTGGCCATAATGATGAAACCCCATCTATACTAAAAAACAACAAATTTGTCGGGCGTGGTAGTGGGTGCCTGTAATCCCAGCTACTCGGGAGGCTGAGGCAGGAGAATCGCTTGAACTCGGGAAGTGGAGGTTGCAGTGGGCCGAGACTGTGCCATGGCACTCCAGCCTGGGTGACAGAGCAAGACTCTGTCTCGAAAAAAAAAAAAAAAAGATGTGCAGCATCATTCGCCATGAGGTGTCCCTGTCATTCCGTCTTGGCTAGAAGCAAGTCTATCTTGTACTTTGAATGGATCTTTTACTTGTATGTGATTTTGGAATATCATCATTTGACATTTGAAAAATATTGGTTCATTGAGTTCTGCAGATTTTCCAAATGTTGACACATTTCATTATGCAATATCCAAAAATCACATTTGTGAATGTCACCACTGATCTCATCAGACAAGTCTTTAAGCATTGGGAAGCCATTGAGCTCTTGGTAGTAGATAAAAGCATTCCAAAAGTCTAACTTTCCCTTAAAACCTTTCACTTAAAAACTCATATCCGCTCCCCTTCCTCCCTCCTTCCATCATCTCTACTACCTTGTCTTTTGTCTTTTTTTTTTTTTTGAGACAGTCTCACACACCTAAGCTGGAGTGGTACAGTAGCACAATCTCGGCTCACTGCAGCCTCCACCTCCCAAGTTGAAGTGATTCTCGTGCCTCAGCCTCATGGGTAGCTGGAATTAGAGGCACCAGCACCACCTGGCTAATTTTTGTATTTTTAGTAGAGATGGGGTTTCGCCATGTTGGCCAAGCTGGTCTCGAACTCCTAACCTCAAGTGATCCGCCTGCCTCAACCTCCCAAAGTGCTGGGATTACAGGTGTGAACCACTGCACTCGACCACTCTTTCTTTTCTTTAAAAAAAAAAAAAACTCATATTTTATCATTGGTAACAAATACTGTGTTGTTTTCCTTGAAGTGTCGGGCTCACTTCATTCGTTTTCAAGAAAAGGCTTGCCAAATACCCAAATCTAGTAACACATTTGTCTGTTAGATGTTTAAGTAAAAATGGTACTTCACCCAAAAAGCAATTAATTCAGCTCTCAATTCAAACAACCGTGCTTTTTCCCAACACACCATTATACTTCAACAGGCGGCAGAAGAGCTTTTGGAGTACTGCCCATTTCAGCACACAGAATATTAAAAACACGTGCTCAGGAGTCAAGACTTCATAAAATTAATGAATTTTACCACTTCATCAAGGACATTCTCAGGCGAACCTGGCTTTTTCTTTTCTTTATACTGAGAGTATGTGTGGTGAAGGATACCATGACCACAGCAACAGCCCAATTGGTGCTAGCACCAACTGCTTTACTCACCTTTGCTTCTGGAACATTGGTGTGAATGGGATCACAGTGAAAAGGCAAAGTGTTAATGTCATTATGAAAATAATTTCGGCCAGGCACAGTGGCTCACGCCTGTATTCCCAGCGCTCTGGGAGGCCAAGGCGGGTGGATCACCTGAGGTCAGGAGTTCGAGACCAGCCTGACCAACATGGTGAAACCTCGTCTCTACTAAAAATACAAAAATTAACCGGGCATGGTGGTGGGCGCCTCTAATCTCAGCTACTTGGGAGGCTGAGGCAGGAGAATTGCTGGAACCTAGGAGTCAGAGGTTGCAGTGCGCCGAGATCATGCCACTGCACTCCAGCCCGGGCGATGACAGCAAGACTCCGTCTCAAAAAAAAAAAAAAAAAAAAAAAAAGAAAGAAAGAAAGAAAAAGAAAAGAGTTTTAACCTTGCAAAACCCTAAAAGAGTCTGGGAGACCTCCCAATGTCTGAGGACCACACTTGAGAACTGATGCTGTTAAATTCTTGTGCCTTTGTATCTTATGTTTTTTAGAGATGGTATCTCACTCTGTCGCCCATGCCGGGAGTGCAGTGGCATGAACATGCTCAGTGCAGCCTTGAACTCCTAGACTCGAGCAATCCTCTCACCTTGGCCTCCTGAGTAGCTGGGACTATAGATGTGCCACCACAACTCTAATATTTTGTTGTTGTTGTTGTTGTTGTTGTAGAAACAAGGTCTCACTACGTTGCCCAGACTAGTCTCAAACTCCTGGCTTCAAGCTATTCTTCTGCCGCAGCCTCCCAAAGTGCTGGGACTACAAGCATGAGCCACCAAGCCTGGCCAAAATTCCTGTTCTATTCAACATCATTAATACCTTCTGTCATTCTATTTGTATGTGACCTCTCTCCCTGCCTTCCCATTTTCTTTTTTTTCTTCAATATTATTATTATTACTATTTAGACACAGGGTCTGGCTGTATTGCCCAGGCTAGAGTACAGTGGCTACTCACAGGCATAATCATGGCTCACGGCAGCCTCGAACTTCTGCACTCAAAGTATCTCCCTGCCTCAGCCTCCTGAGTAGCTGGAAATACAGGATCGGACCACCAAGCCCGGTGCCTGACTTATCTTAAAGAGTTGTTCAGCTTTAAAACATGGTTATTAATTCACCATATTACTCTAAGAATGAAAGCCCTTGGCCAGGCGTAGTGGCTCACGCCTGTAATCCCAGCACTTTGGGAGGCCAACGCAGGCAGATCACTTGAGGTCAGGAGTTTGAGACCAACCCGGCCAATGTGATGAAACCCCATCTCTACTAAAAATACAAGAATTAGCCGGGCATGGTGGCACGCACCTGTAATCCCAGGTATCCGGAGGCTGAGGCAGAAGAATCGCTTGAACCTGGGAAGCAGAGGTTGGAGTGAGCTGAGATCACGCCGCTGCACCCCAGCCTGGGGGAGAGAGTGAGACTCCATCTCAAAAAAAAAAAAAAAAAAAGGACAAAAGCCCTTCATATGAGAATTAAATATAGTTACAGGAGAGGCACAGTGGCTCACATCTGTAATTCCAGCACACTGGGAGGCTGCGGCAAGAGGATCATGTGAGCGCAGGAATTCAAGACCAGCCTGGGCAACATAGTGAGACCTTGGCTCTATTTTATAATTTAAATTTCAATTTAAATAAATGTAGCTATGGCTAAGTGACAATGATGTTGACATTTTCCATAGCTAAAGTCAAACAATGTCACGCTCCAAGATTTTTAGCAAACTCGAACAGAATTTGTCTTATGTGATATATCTAGTTTCCAAAAAGATTTAAAGTGGCTAGTTTTTCTAGACTAGTCTGTAATAAGCATTTTACTTCCACTGGAAACCTCTGAAATGGTACTTAGCAAATGGAATACAACACCAAACTCTTCTTATCAAGAGCTCCAGAGAGACCTCCAGGTTACCAAATCCCATAGCAATTCTCCATCTCCTCTTACATGACTGACCTATTGGCAGCATCTGACACAACTGATCACCCTTTTGTTCTTTAACTGCTTTTTTCCCTCAGCTCTGGGGATACCAGTCCTGCCTCATCCTCCTCCTGCCCCACCTGAGCCTTCTTGGTTGGCTCCTGCCCCGTCCTCAACCTCAAGCAATCAATGTTCTACCTCTTCTCAGTTACCTCATTCTGTCTCAGGCTTTGAATGTCATCCCTCTGTTTGTCTGTTTGTTTGTTTGAGATGGAGTCTCGCTCTGTCACCCGGGCTGGAGTGCAGTGGCGCTATCTTGGCTCACTGCAACCTCTGCCTCCCGGGTTCAAGAGATTCTCCTGCCTCAGCCTCCCTGGTAGCTGGGATTACAGGCACCCGCTAACACGCCCAGCTAATTTCTGTATTTTTAGTAAAGACAGGGTTTCACCATGTTGGCCAAGCTGGTCTCGAACTCCTGACCTCAGGTGATCCGCCCGTCTCAGCCTCCCAAAGTGCTGGGATTACAGGCATGAGCCACCTCGCCCGGCTCCGAAAATTTAATCTTAACAGTATTGAGAGGTGGGGCCTTGAAGAGGTGATTGGATCATGAGGGCAGATTGATGTTACTTCAGGGCTGGGGCCACTATCTCAAGAGCAGGTTTGTTATAAAAGCAAGTTCAGCCCCTCACGTTTCTCTCTAGCTCTCCTGCCTTTCCTTCCACTTGGGATGTGGAGTACAAAGGCCCTTGCCAGGATGTGGGCCCTCCACCTTAGACTTCCCAGACTCAAATACAAAGAATAAATCTCTTTTCTTTATAAATTACCTAGTCTCTTTATAAATTATCCCGTTTCTATTATCCAGTTATAGAAACACAAAATGAACTAAGACACCGTCTAACTCAGAGTAAAAGCCAGCGGGCGCCTATAATCCCAGCACTTCGGGAGGCTGAGGCGGGCGGATCACCTTGTGCTCAGGAGTTCAAGACCAGCCTGGGCAACATGGTCAAACTCCATCTCTCCAAAAAAAATACAAAAATTAGCTGAGTGTGATGGCACATGCCTGTGGACCCAGCTAATCAGGACCACAGAGTTGGGAGGATCCCTTGAGCCCAGGAGGTCAAGGCTGCAGTGAGCCAAGATTGTGCCACCGCACTCCAGCCTGGGTGACACAGTGAGACCCTGTTTGAAAAACAAAAACAAAAAAAGAGTAAAAGCCAAAGACCTGCAAATGAACTTTGACGTCCTATGCAATACCTTCCCCCATTTCCACACCCCTCTCTGACCTCATGGCCCACTTCCTGCTCCCCAGTATCCCCCCACCCTCATCATGCTGTGATTACTGCCACACAGGCCTCCTCACTGTTCAACTATCCCTTGAACGTGCAGACAGACTCCCATCTCAGTTCTTTTTTTTTCCTTTTTTAAAGCCAAATTTAGCATTCAGGGGTTGTATACAAACTTTAGTGACACTAATGTTAATAAGTTCTGATAACCCACTACCACAGGACCAACCTGTTTTTTTGAGACAGGGTCTAGCCCTGTCACCCAGGATGGAGTGCAGTGACATGATCATAGCTCACTACAACCTTGACCTCCTGGGTTCCAGTGATCCTTCCGCCTCAGATTCCTGAGTAGCTGGGACTACAGGCATTTGCCACCACATCCAGCTGATTTTTTTCCTTTTTTATTAATTTATGTATTTATTTTTTGTAGAGATAGGATCTCACCATCTTGCCCAGGCCAGTCTTGAACTCCTGGCCTCAGGCAATCCTCCCAGCCCCACCTTCCAAAGTGCTGGGATTACAGGCATGAGCCATTTCACCAGGCCAAAAAGATGATGTTTTGACTCACTTAGACTAAATTTGTCTTGGCAAAGCAGTAAAAAGATCAACTCTCTTTGCTACTCATCAGATTAGAAAGAGATGAGAAGCCTGACAATTAGTGTTGGAGAGAAGTCTCACATGCCTGTGGAGGCAGCGCACATTAGATGGCAGCTGACAACCTCCGGCAGAGTTAAAGACGCGTAATTTTGGACCCACCAGGATTCTACTCCCAGGCATTTGCAGAGGGAGAAATTCTCCAACACACACAGAAGAGGCCATGTTCAAGGATGTTCATCATAGCAGTATTTGTAATAGTAAAAAATTATAAACAACTTAAATACCCATCAATGGGGGAATGGATAAATTGATATATTTCTAAAATGGAATGCTATATAGTACCTGAAATATATGAATTTAATCCACATGTACAAATCCCAAATGATAATGCCAAGAGGGGAAAAAAAAAAAAAAGGCAAGTGGCAGCCTTAGTACGATGTCTTTGGTGTACACTTGAACTTACACAAAACAACTGTATACGTTGTTGTTGTGGACACACAAACGTTTAAAAGTATAAAAGTACGACGGGAAGGAACCACACCAAGTTCAGAACAGAAGTTCCCTCTAGGGTAGGGGAGGAGGGAGCAGGGGAATTGGAGTGGGGAAGAGACCAAAGGAACCTCAACTGTATCTACAACATTTTATCTTTCAAAGAAAAAAGTTCTGGGGCAAATATGGCAAAATGTTCATATTCATTAAATCCAGATGGTGGTTTTTATGACTGTTTGTTATCTTCATCTCTAACCATTTTATATGTTTGATCTCTTTCATAATTGAACAATAATTTTAAGGGGAAGCAAAAGATCGTATCTTGAATAATGCAGGAAAGATTATAAATAATTATAAATTGAGCCTTGGGGCTTTTAGTTAACAGGGGTTAAAGCACTAAACGCTGGAAATCCATTATTTACAGACTTTAAAAATGAAAGAATATTTTAGAAATCTTTACTTCTATTGGGACTCTTTCTTTCCTAAGGCAACTCAACTAATGGTAGTTTTTAAACTATCTTGTTCTCCTGAACTGTAGCAGTTTTGAGCCTTTGGTCCTGACTCTTAGAGAATGGAACTTGAAGCCCATACATGGCCTGTTCAACAGAAGAAAGACCAAACTTTTTGATCTACACTTCAGGGCCGCAAAACTAAAACAATCAGATAAATTCTAAAGAAGGCTCAGAAGGAACAAAGGCAACTGGGAAGGCAGGAGAAACAGGGTAGATAAAACATCACCATGTTTTCTTTCTCCAGTGTCTTTTAAAATTGCAGTCCACTGCTTATATAACAGTAATCCATGTTATTCTATAGAGCTTTGTCTGGAGTTCCAGATCTAATGAGCAAGATACCACCCTGACATTATATAATGTAGGCATTTGGAATTGTAAAACCTTTCCAATTGATGCATAAAGAAAAATAACCGGCCGGGGCCACGCACAGTGGCTCACGCCTGTAATCCCAGCACTTCGGGAGGCCGAGGCAGGTGGATCACCTGAGGTCAGAAGTTTGAGACCAGCCTGGCCAACATGGTGAAACCCCATCTCTACTAAAAATATAACAAATTAGCCGGGTGTGGTGGCGGGCACCTGTAATCCCAGCTGCTTGGGAGGCTGAGGCAGGAGAATTTCTTGAACCTAGGAGGTGGAGGTTGCAGTGAGCCAAGATTGCACCATTGCACTCCAGCCTGGGCAACAGAGCGAGACTCCATCTCAAAAAATAAATAAATAAATAAATAACCGGCCAGGTGTGACAGCTCACACCTGTAATCCCAGCACTTTGGGAGGCTCAGGCATGCGGATCACTTGAGGGCAGGAGTTCAAGACCAGCCTGGCCAACATGGTGAGACCCCCGTCTCTATGAAAAATACAAAAATTAGCGAGGAGTGGTGGCGCAACTATAATCCCAGCTACTCGGGAGGCTGAGGCAGGAGAATTGCTTGAACCCGGGAGGTGGACGTTGCAGTGAGCCGAGATCGCACCACTGCACTCCAGCCTGGGCAACAGAGCGAGACTCTGTCTCAAGAGAAATAACCGTAACTATAGAAAGGAACAGATCCCATCCCCATCAAAGTACTTTCGACCTCTCAGCTTTTGCCTCCCATCTTAGACAAGGTTCCTAATGCGTATTAGGTCCAAATCCCCACTATCCACTACAAGAAGCTTAGGAAACCTGAGGCCCAGACTTCACACTCTGTCTCAGCAACACGAACAGATGACTCCGTACACGTACTCAAGTAATTTCTCCCCTGCTAATAGCCATGGAAAGTAATTGCATCCTAATCACTCCAAAACTCTGAGTGAGCATAAGCTTTGCTGGAAGAGGGAGAAGGGGGTCAATGTTTAAAATATAACTAAAGGTTACCAGATGAACAAAGTATTTCATTATTGAAGAAACTAATGGACTTATTGGGAGGGGGATGGGAAAGTCAAAATGTCCCCCTTTACTAAGTCTGGTAGATCTATTGAAATTTCTCAAAAAAAAAAAAATATATATATATATATATATTTATTTATAGTATGAGTGTGTATGTATATATGTGTGTGTGTGTGTATCTATGTGTATGTATATACATGTGTGTGTGTGTGTGTATATATATATATATATATTTGAGACAGGGTTTCACTCTGTCACCCCAAGCTGGAGTGCAGTGGCACAATCATGGCTCACTGCAGCCTCAACCTCCTGGGCTCAAGCAATCCTCTCACCTCAGCCTTCTAAAAGGCTGGGACTACAGGCACCAGCCACCAGACTCACCTAATTTTTTAAATTTTTTGTACAGATGAAGGGGGTCCCTATGTTGTTCAGGCTGATCTGGAACTCTTGAGCTCAGGCAATCCTCCCACCTCAGCCTCCCAAAGTGATGGGATTACAAGCATGAGCCACCACACTTGGTCTCAAAAATATAAATAACATATTTATATATAATATAAATACAAACAACATATTTCCTCTGAACTTATCCTCTACATAAATCTTGACAAGCATTTTAAAAATAAAATACAAACTAATAGGGTAGAAACTATAAAAGTTGTATACCAAACTATAATAAATAAAAAGATTTTTTTAAAAGAAAATATAGGCCGAGCACGGTGGCTCATGCCTGTAATCCCAACACTTTGGGAGGCTGAGGTGGGTGAATTGCTTGAGGTCAGGAGTTCGAGACCAGCCTCGCCAACAGGGTGAAACCCCATCTCTACTAAAAACACAAAAATTATCTGGTCGTGGTGGCAGGTGCCTGTAATCCCAGTTAATAAGGAGGCTGAGGCAGGAGAATTGCTTGAACCCAGGAGGCAGAGGTTGCAATAAGCCAAGACCGCACCACTGCACTCCAGCCTGGGTGACAGAATGAGACTCCGTTTCAAAAAAAAAGAAAATATAAAAGTATATCACACACAAAGGAAAGTATTATTTCACAAAAAGTTTTACCAAATAAATATACATGTATATATATTAATAGGTGCATATATGATATCTCCATATGTATATTGTATATACACATATGTGTATATCCATATGTGTATTGTATATACACATATGTGTATATATATCCATATGTGTATTGTATATACACATATGTGTATATATATATCCATATACTGTTTTAAAATAAATATACATACATATATATACACACACACACATATACTGTTTTAAGATATAAAATGTATGTCTTACTAAAGGTTGCAGTCAAAAAAGCTTGAGACTACTGGTCTACAACAATCCCATCTAAGGTAGGGTTTTAGATTAAACAAACACTACAGAACCTAATAAGCAAATACTACACTAGGGACTAATTTCATTCAGAGAAATGTCATCAGTTTATTATAATTTTTTTTATTTTTTTTTTTTCGAGATGGAATTTCGCTCTTGTTGCCCAGGCTGGAGTGCAATGGCACAATCTCGGCTCACCACAACCTCCGCCTCCCAGGTTCAAGCAATTCTCCTGCCTCAGCCTCCAGAGTAGCTGGGATTACAGGCATGCACCACCACGCCCAGCTAATGTTTTGTATTTTTAGTAGAGACGGGGTTTCTCCATGTTAAGGCTGGTCTCGAACACCTGACCTCAGGTGATCCGCCCACCTTGGCCTCCCAAAGTGCTGGGATTACAGGCGTAAGCCACTGCGCCCGGCCTATTATCATTATAAGTTAAGAAACTTCCCACATCTAGGTAACAATCTCTAGAGCTTAGATAAGAGGCATTCATTCATTTGACAAATATTTATTGAGCATCTATTATGTACTCTGCACTGGTTTTGGTGCTAGTGGTATACTGCTGAATAAAACAGAAGAAAAAATCCTTCTTTACAAGATTATCCTGGTAAAGAGTCAAGAAAGATTCCCTCCTAGCTCTAGTTGTGGGAAGTAACCATAGTGAAATAGGCCCAGAGCAATGGCCTACTCTCCAGGGAAGAAGACTTTACCAGAGCCTTATCCTACCTGGTGGAAGAGAAGTCCCCTGACTCCAGCCCTCTTTAGCCTTTCTGTTTCATCTAAGGGGAGAAAAACAGTTAAATATGAGTGACAGTCATAGCCTGGGACACAGGCCCACTAAAAGACTAGGATTTGACCATGAGGCTATAGAATGCTTCCCCTCCCCCATACTTTGCTGTCACACCAACAGGGCTCCAGTACAACAACAGGGAATTAGGGCTGAAAGGCATACACTCTATTTAAGAAGGAGTTTTTAGGGAAAACCAAAGATAACAGGGGAGACAGAAACAAGGACACTAGAGGAATTTGAAGCCTCAGATACCAACAGTTACAGCAATCATTAAACACAGACCAACTCTTAGCCAGATTAACATGAAACACCATACTAACAATACTAATGGACTATTTATCTCATTTCCTATTACCTAATACATCATGTCCAGCTTTCTTTTTTAAACAAGAACTAGGGAGGGGTAAGGAAGAGGAACTGATCAGCAGGAAGAAGGTCAATGTCTAGCTCTCAATGAAAAATTACAAAACACACTAAAAGGCAAGAAGAAACAGTGTGAAAAAGAAATAAAGCAAGCATCAGAACCTGACTCAGATAGGACAGATTTTAGAATAATCAAACAGGTAATGCAAAATAACTATGATTACTAGGTTCAGGGCTCTAATGGAAACAGCAGACAACACATGAGAATAGATGGGCAATGTAAGGAGAGATATAGCAACTATAAGAGTCAACAGAAAATGCTAGAAATCATAAACACTGTAATAGAAGTGAAGAATGCCTTGATGGGCTCATCAGTAGACAGGACATGGCTGATGGGGTTTAAGATACCTTACCCCAAAACATGACACCTTGGCATTTAAGAAAACAGGAAAAGCAGGAAGTCACTCTCAGCTTCCTCTCACCCTTCTCCCATAAAGCAGGTCATAAAGCCTATGAAAGATTTTCTGACCTTCCCCTGAAACGGGTCATATGACCCTCCTTTGAGAGATGCCCTCCTTATACCCCAAGGAAAGAAATATCCTTCTCTGAAAACAAAAGGACACAGAGAAGAATCTGAACAAATAGGACTTGTTAAATTTCCCCCAGTGTATTACCAGTCAATCATACCCCTTTTGTCCAATCGTATTTCTCCACGATTGTCCACTCTTCATCAAACCTAAACATAAATACACATTATCTGTTTCTCCAGGTCTTAGTCACGTAAATTTATATGATATAAATTTGCATGCTTTTCACTTTTTCTTTTCTTTTCTTTTTTTTTTTTTTTTGAGACAGTCTTGCTCTGTCACCCAGGCTGGAGTGCTGTGGCGTGATCTCAGCTCACTGCACCTCCACCTCCCAGATTCAAGTGATTCTCATGCCTCAGCCTCCTGAGTAGCTAGGGTTACAGGTACATGCCACCATGCCTGGCTAATTTTGGTATTTTTAGTAGAGATAGGATTTTACCAAGTTGTCCAGACTGGTCTTGAACTCCTAGGCTCAAGCCATCCTCCTGCCTTGGCCTCCCAAAGTGATGGGATTATAAACGTAAGCCACAGCACCTGGCCAAAATAGAAATTAAAAAGGCATGAACAGGAAGGTCTCACTGAGAAGGTGACATTTGAGCAAAGATCTGAAGAAGCTGAAGGAAGAAACTGAGAGTATCTGCAAAACATTCAGATAGATAAAAGGGTATGATGGCCAGCAGTGGTGGCTCATGCATGTAATCCCAGCACCTTAGGAGGCCAAGTCAGGTGGATCACTTGAATCCAGGAGTTCGAGACCAGCCTGAACAATAGGGCAAAACCTCGTCTCAACAAAAACCACAAAAATTAGCCATGGTGGCACATGCCTGTAGTCACAGTTACTCGGGAGGCTGAGGTGAGGTGGGAGGATCGCTTGAGCCTGGGAGGTCTAGGCTGCAGTGAGCTATGATCACGCCACTGCACTCCAGCTAGGTGACAGAGCAAGACCCTGTCTCAAAAAAAAAATGCTGTTGAGGTGACAGCATGTCTGGGGAATACAAGGAAGGAAAGAGGCCAATGTTGGGTGGAAATGTAAGATGGAAAGAATAACAATAAGATAACAGATGTAATTGAATGTGTAGAGTTAGGTTAAATTATCCTTAATGAAGGATCAAATGCCTTGGAGCAGTGGTTCTCCATCCTTTCTAGACATCTGAATTATCTGGGGAGCATTAAAAAAAAACAACACTGACCACCAAACCCTACCCTCAGAGATTCCCATTTAATTGGTCTGGGGTGGGCCAGGGACAGCTGTGTTATTTAAAAATTCCCCAAGTGATCCTAATATGAAGCTGGGTTGAGGACCACTGGTTTACTGTTAATGAATTTGTTGAAACCTCAACTAATGTGACTGCACTAAAAGGAGTGCTTTAGACCTCAGCTAATTTGGCTGAACTAAAAAAATGCAAAAAATTTGCATAGAAAATTATGCAAATGAAAAACTGGGGCAGCTGGGTGTAGTGGCTCATGCCTGTAATCCAAGCACTTTGGGAGGCTGATGTGGGCAGACTGCTTGAGCCCAGGAATTCGAGACCAGTCTAGGCAACATAGAGAAACCCCATTTCTACAAAAAATACAAAAAATTAGTCAGACATGGTGGTGCATGCCTGTAGTCCCAGCTACTCAGGAGGCTGAGGTGGGAAATCACCAGAACCCAGGAGGTCAAGGCTGCAGTGAGCTGTAATCACTCCACTGCACTCCAGCCTGAGCAACAGAGGAAGACCCTGTTTCAAAAGAAAAAAAAGAAAAGGTGGCTGGGCGTGGTGGCTCATGCCTGTAATTCTAGCACTTTGGGAGGCCGAGGTGGGTGGACCACATGAGGTCAAGAGTTCGAGATCAGCCCGGCCAACATAGTGAAACCCAATCTCTACTAAAAATAAAAAAATTATCTGGGTGTGGTAGTGAGTGCCTGTAATCTCAGCTACTTGGGAGGCTGAGGCAGGAGAATCACTTGAACCTGGGAGGCGAAGGTTGCAGTGAGCCAAGATTGTGCCATTGCACTCCAGCCTGAGCGACAGCATGAGAGTCATCTCAAAAAAAAAAAAGGAGCAACGTGTATCGGTAGGAACAGAATACAATGAAGGAGCTCCCCGTCAGGACTGTTGCTAAGGAAACAAAGTAGTAGCGACACTAGCGTCTTCCCAGAGGCCAGTTCTTCCCTTAGCCTTCCAGGAGCTCTCAATACACAGAGCAGACTACACATACATTTATCTCTGTTCCCTTCTCAAACTCCATCAAAATGACAGGAAGCAATACAAAAAGGTGAAAACCCACAGAAAGGGAAAAAAACACAACGGAAACAGCAGCAAAATTTTGGAAAATGGTTCCAGTGTGTCGAAACTGAAACTTAGCTGCCCACAAGAGAGGTCAACAGAAGGCAAGCAGACTGGCAATGAAGAATTCCAGAAAGGGTCAATCACTGGTGGTGAGGCAGGAGGGAGGACTCGACTCAGGACCAGACTGAAGACTGGCTGAAACAGGGAAGAGGCACCAAAAGCACCTCCCCACAAGACACACCCACCAGTGCCATGACAGTGTGCCAATGCCATGGTAATGCCCCAGAAGTTACCACTTTTCTAGAAATGTCTAATAGCCCACTCCTTAACTTGCATATAATTAAAACTGGGTATAAATATGACAGCAAAACTGCCCCTGAGCTGCTACTAGGGACACACTGCCTATAGCGTAGCCCTGCTCTGCAGGAGCAGTCACGGAGCTGTAACTCTGCTGCCTCAATAAAGCTGTTTTCTTCTACTACCAGCTTGCCCTTGAATTCTTTCCAGGGCAAAGCCAAGAACCTACCCAGACTAACCCCCAGTTTTGGGGCTCACGTGCCCTGCATCAGTAGTACAGGTACCTCCGAAAGTAAGGGCAGAAGTGGGGCTAAAAACAGGAGGACTGGCAAAAGCCTATCTTGGGAATGATTAGAGTCCCAGAGTCCCCTCCCCACCCAGTTCAACCAAGCAGTTGCCCCTTCCTAATCCCAAGCAGACTTTTAGTCCAGCACTTTGGGAGGCCGAGGCAGGCGGATCACCCAAGTTCGGGAGTTCGAGACCAGCCTGACCAACATGATGAAACCCTGTCTTTACTAAAAATACAAAATTAGCCAGGTGTAGTGGTGCGTGCCTGTAATCCCAGCTACTTGGGATAGGCCGAGGCAGGAGAATAGCTTGAACCTGGGAGACAGGTCATGGTGAGCTAAGATCACACCATTACACTCCAGCCTGGGCAACAAGAGCAAGACTCTGTCTCAAAAAAAAAAAAAAAAAAAAAAAAAAGACTAAAAAGACTTTTAGTTTCTCAACAGGTGAAACCAAACTCAAGACTTCAGGCATAGTTGACAATAGGGATAAGGCACCATATTGACCCAGCGAGACAGTGAAAGTCTACATTATAAACTGAAAAGGTCAATTTCCCCCACCCAACTCACCTTCCCGCACTTGGGTCCTAGCATACATGTGTACTTCACACCTAAATGTCAACAAACATTGCAGAAGTCCTTGGCCAAAAAGCCAGATATAAAAACAAACAGAGAGAAAAAGAGAATTGTTTTTCAGCAATTGACAAGCTGATCCTAAAGTAAGGAAATGCAAGGAACCCAGAATCGCCAAAACAATCTTGAAAAAGAACAAAGTTGGATGACTAACACTTTCCAATTTTAAAACTTACTACAAAGCTACAGTCCTTCAGGCTCTGTGCCTCATGCCTATAATCCCAGCACTTTAGGAGGCCCAGGCGGGTGGATCACTTGAGGTCAGGATTTCGAGACCAGCCTGGCCAACATGGGGAAACCCCGTCTCTACTAAAAATACAAAAATTAGCCGGGCATGGTGGCAGGCACCTGTAATCCCAGCTACTCAGGAGCTGAGGCAAGAGAATAGCTTGAACCCGGGAGGCGGAGGTTGCAGTGAGCCAAGATAGCACACTGCACTCCAGCCTGGGAGACACAGCAAGATTTCATCTCAAAAAGAAAAATAATAATTATTACAGAACTTTTGACAGGAGAAAACAACTACACATCAGATTAAGCTAGTGGCAGCTCCTGCAATACCTGAAGCACCTGATCACTTTTATCACCCTACCTCAGCAACAACCTTTCAGACCTGTCAATCTTCTGGAGGCTAATAAGCTGAACCACTCATTTGCCTTTGAGTGATCCAGAGCAAGTTACTTACTGAGAGGATGGAGAGGAAAAAGCAAACTCAGTTTCTTCCTGCTATACTCTCACAACACAGAATACTACCTTTTTTTTTTTTTTTTAATAGAGACAGGATTTCACTATGCTGCCCGGGTTGATCTCAAACTCCTGGGCTCAAGCGATCCTCCTACCTCTGCCTCCCAAAGTGCTGGGATTACAGGTGTGAGCCACCACGCCCAGCCCCACAGAATACTTCTGACACCAGATGTGTGGGAGCCCCACATACCAAGTAAGCAATCAATTCTGCAGCTGGCAGACACCAGCTGGGTGTCCTCTAATTCAGTTCCTACACTATCCACCTGGAAATAGCATCAGATCCCACAGGTTTAGTTCCCCAAGACTGCCCCTGACTTGCGACATCAATTGCAAGCTCCAGGTTGTTTTACCCGTGCTTCTGACCAACCGGCTATAAATCGAGGTTCTTAGGATTGATAAATTTGCTAGAGCAACTCACAGGACTCAAGGAAACACTTTATTTGCATTTACTGATTTATTATAAAGGATATTATGAAGGATACAAATGAAGAGACGTAGGGCGAGGCATGTGAGAAGGGGCACAGAGCCTCCAAGCCCTCTCTGAGGGTGCCATCCTCCAAGAACCTCCACGTGTGCAGCCATCCAGAAGCTCCCCAAACCCAGTCCTTCAGGGTTTTTATGGAAGCTTCATTACGCAGGCATGATCAATTAAGTCACTGCCACTGCAGATCAAGTCAACTTTCAGTCCCTCTCCCTGTCCCAGAGGCTGGGTGTGGGACTAAAAGTGCCAACCCTCTAACTACAAGGCTGGTTTCCCTGGCCACTGGCCCCCAAATCCTGAGACTATCCAGGAGTCCCCAACCAAAGGTCAATTATTAGCACACAAAAAGACACTGACCAGGTGTGGTGGCTCACACCTGTAATCTCAGCACTTTGGGAGGCCAAGGCAGACAGATCACCTGAGCTCAGGAGTTCGAGACCAGCCTGGCCAACACGGCGAAATCCCATCTCTACTAAAAATACAAAAATTAGCTGGGTATGACGGCATGTGCCTGTAGCCCCAGCTACTTGGGAGGCTGAGGCACGGGAATCGCTTAGAGGCTGCAGCGAGCCGAGATTATGCCATTGCACTCTAGCCTGGGCGACACAGCGAGATTCTATCTCAAAAAAAAAAAAAAAAAAGACACTGATCACTTGGGAGATTTCAATGATTTTAGGAGTTATAGGCCAGGAAATGGGAGGAAGACTAAATATATATTTCACAAAATCATACCTACCCTCTCTAAATCTCAGTTTTCTCATCTGTGAAATGAACCCAATAATAGTACTTACTTTATAAGATTACTGTACTGACTACATGAATTCAGGTAAAGCAGAGGACACACAGTAAGAGCTCTTCAAATATCAACTACAAACAAAACCACTTCTCGATACTGAAATTCTTGGCTCTGGCATTACAAGCACCTCAATTCCTAAAATTCTTGACCCAGCTCTGAGTCAAGAAACCAGTGAACACCGATCTTGAGATGAAAAGACCTGTGTAGAAGGAGCCAGGGAAAAGCAGAAATTACACACCAGTATCAATATTTTATTTCTTGTTTTAAAAAATTTTTTTCAATATAATCCATGGGTTCACAAAGATTTTATTTCTAATTAACCAGCTGTAGAAACAGGCAGAGCTTATTTCTAACTAGAGATAAACCTTGCACCCACTTCTATTTTTTTTTTTTTTTTTTTTTTGAGATGGAGTCTTGCTCTGTCACCCAGGCTGGAGTGAGTGGTGCAATCTCGGCTCACTGCAAACCTCCACCTCCCGGGTTCAAGCAATTCTCTTGCCTCAGCCTTCCGAGTAGCGGGGATTACAGGTGCCTGTCACCACGCCTGACTAGTTTTTTGTATTTTTAGTAGAGATGGGTTTCATCACGTTAGCCAGGATGGTCTCGATCTCCTGACCTCATGATCCACCCGCCTTGGCCTCCCAAAGTGCTGGGATTACAGGCGTGAGCCACTGCGCCCAGCCTGCACTCATTTCTTGAAAGATATGCAAGGAAAAGCTCTGTCCAAAAGATTCTCCTGTTCTTCACAGGCTCATGCTACTCCAACACTAATGCTTCTTTCTTGGCCTCCTTCCTCTGTCCAGCATTGAGTTACTACCTTCCATTCTCCAAAGGCCCATATTGAAAAACAATCAAACAGAATCAACTTTGCCAAATGACATCCTTACAAAGACTAAGCACGGAAAAAGAGAAAACGGGAGGGAGCAGGGAGGTACACTATTGGAAGCCCCGTGGAATTACAGGCTAAGAATAAAAGAGGCTGACTGGAAAGCAGATCTGAAGACAAAACAAGAAGCAAAAGGCATGGGTGACTTGAGGAAGAGGACGGGCCCTAGGTCAGGACTGCCATGTCTTGGTACTTGTTATTTTTTATTTATTTAATTATTTTTGAGAAGGAGTTTCGCTCTTGTTGCCCAGGCTAGAGGGCAGTGATGCAATCTCGGCTCACTGCAACCTCCGCCTCCTGGGTTCAAGCGATTCTCCTGCCTCAGGCTCCCAAGTAGCTGGGATTACAGGTGTCTGCCACCACGCCTAGCTAATTTTTTGTATTTTTAGTAGAGACGGGGTTTCTCCATGTTGGCCAGGCTGGTCTTAAACTCCTGACTTCAGGTGATCTACCCACCTCGGCCTCCTAAAGTGCTGGGATTATAGGTGTGAGCCACCATGCCTGGCTGGTATTTTCCTAATAGTTATTATTAGTAGTAATGATTTAAATCACTGAATATTTGCTATAAACTGCGGTGGGGTGAAAAACAGGGAACTGCAACCTTCTAAAAAGATTTTGGTTAGAATCTAACCTGTCCCATCATCCAGGGGAAACATCTTCCCTTTTGTTCCCATCTTTCAGAAATTCCAGAGCCCTAGCCAGTTGTGGTGGCTCACACCTGTAACCCCAAACACTTTGGGAGGCTGAGGCAGGAGGATCACTTGAGCCCGGAGTTCAAGACCAGTCTGAGTAACATAGTGGGACCCCATCTCTACAAAAAAGTTAAAAATTAGCTAGGCATGGTGGCACATGCCTATAGTCTCAGCTACTTGGAAGGCTAAGATGGGAGGATCACTTGAGCTCAAAAGGTTGAGGCTGCAGTGAGCCATGATCATGCCACTGTACTTCAGCCTGGGTGACAGAATGAGACCTTGTCTCAAAAGCAAAACAAATAAAGAAGAAAGAAAAGAAATTTCAGAGTCCATAATGTGGAGTCCTAATAAGATAAGTAAGCAACAACGAGGAAGGGGCCTCAGGTAGGGGAAAGCCATGGACAGTCGTTCTGAGAAATGATTAATCACAAACAGCCCTCAGATGCATCAATCCCCACATAGCCCCCTCCAGCACAACCCTGTAAAACTTCCCTCCATCTCCTGCCTCTTTGCAGACAGCCCCTTCTCTGCTGTGCTGCCCATTGCTTTCTTGCAACGTGTTTTCACTTTAATAAATCTGCCTTTCTTTACCTGGTAAATTCCCTTTCTGCCTGTGACACATAATAGTCCTAAGGGACTCAAAGTCGCTCAAAAGCAACTCACTGATTTGATTCCAAAGGGAGTTTATGTTTATATAGCCACTCCACCCATCTCACTAATGATAAGTGGTAGAAGGACCAGATGTGGACTCTGAAGACCAAGATTCAAATGGCCATCTCTTTCATTTCTTAGCTATCTGACCTCGTGAGGGTCACTTCACCTCAACAAGGTTAAATGTATAAAATGGTGGGATGCCTGACAAACAACATGCATTCAATACATGTTTGAAAAAACCAATACATATTTCAAACATAAAAAGCCCATTATCCATCCATCCTGGAGGCCTAAACTGGATGCCAACCCAGGAAGCCAGACTAATTCCAGAAATTGGCACTCAAATTGATTTCAGGGGTGCTATAAAGATGCACAGTTGGAAGAGTAGCCTCATTAAGAAAAAAGAAACCCATTAGCTTGTGGTTTTCAAAAAGATTAAAAAAAAAAAAAACAAAACCCCTATTCCAGTACTTTGGGAGGCCGAGGCAGGCAGATCACTTGAGGTCAGGATTTTGAGGCTAGCCTGACCAACCTGGTGAAACCCCATCTCTACTAAAAATACAAAAATTAGTTGGACATAGTGGCAGATGCCTGTAATCCCAGCTACTCAGGAGGCTGAGGCAGGAGAGTCACTTGAACCTGGGAGGTGAAGGTTGCAGTGAGCCAAGATCGTACCATTGCACTCCAGCCTGGGCAACAGAACAACACTCCAAAAATAATAAAGTAAAATATAGGATCCCTAGAAAAGCCTCTCTCTGAAGGTGATGGTTGAGTAAAGATCTGAGGAAGTGAGGGAAGGAAGGGGCCATGTGGCTGAATAGGGGCTTAAGGGTCCAGGCAGAGTTCAAAAGCCCCAAATAAGGAGTACCACTGGCAGGTTTTGGGACCAGTCAGGAGGCCAGTGTGGCTGGAGGGGATTGAGTAAGCAGGAGTGGAGAGAGGAGGTCAGGGTGGTGGTGGGTGTGGGAGGAGAGATCAGGTCATGGAAGGCTTGCAGGCCATTGTAGGGTATTGGTTTTCACTCCAGTTAAGCTGGGACAATTGGAGGGTTTGAGTTGGGCAGTGGAGTGGACAGGATCCACCCTGCCTTTTAACAGACTTGCCCTGGGTCCTGTGTGGAGAAAGTGAAGGCCAGCCAGGGTGGAAGAGGGAGACAAGTTAGGAGGCTGTTGCCATCATCCAGGGGAAAGATGCATCCAGGGTGTACTCTGAAGTACAGCCAGTAGGCTTTGTGGACGAGCTGAGTTGGATGTGGGGTGTGAGAGGAAGAGACGAGTCAAGGGTGACTCCAAGGTCTTTGGCTTGAACAACTGGAGGAATGGAGTTGTCATTAACTGAGATGGGGAAGGCTGTCTGAGGGGCAGGTGTAGGGCTCAATTTTGTTGATGTTGATTATAAAATGCCTGATAGGAATCCACGTGAAGATATTGTGGGCAATTAGATCTAGAAGTCTCGAGACAGGCCTAGGCTAGACACACATATGGAAGCTGTTAGCATGTGGATAGTATTTAGAGTTAAGAGACTGAGCCAGGTGCAATGGTTCATGCCTGTAATCTCAGCACTTTCGGAGGCTGAGGCAGGAGGATGTCTTGAGGCCAAGTGTTCAAGACCAGCCTGGGCAAAAGTGAGAACCCCCGCCCCCAACTCCCCATCTCTCCAAAAGCAAGACGGAGTCTCACTTCATCACCTAGGCTGGAGTGCAGTGGCGCGATCTTGGTTCACTGCAACCTCCATCTCCCGAGCTCAAGCAATTCTCGTGCCTCAGCCTCCCGAGTAGCTGGAATTAGACACATGTGCCAACAAGCCCAGCTAATTTTTGTATTTTGGGTAGAGATGGGGTTTCACCATGTTGGTCAGGCTGGTCTTGAAATCCTGACCTCAAGTGATCCGCCCGTCTCAGCCTCCAAAAGTTCTGGAATTACAGGCGTGAGCCACCGCACCTGGCCAGGATCCTATTTAAACTGCAACCTACATCCCTCTTCCCTGCTTTATTACAACATAATACATATTATACTTAGTTATCAATGTGCCCTTCTCTAATAAAATTGAAGATCCACAAGGGTGGGGATCCTTACCTTTCTTGTACTGCTATATTCCTGGCATTCAGAACAGGTTTGTCCAATAGAAATAAGATGGGAGCCACAAGTGCAAGCCACATTTATAATTTTTTATTTTTCTAGGAAATACATTTTAAAAAGAAAAAAGTGCTGGGTTTCAAGTCAAGGTTAAGTGGGAAAAAAAAAGACAAAAAGGTGAAACTTTTTTTCTTTTTCTTTTTCTTTTTTTTGAGACAGGGTCTCACTCTGTCACCTAGGCTAGAGTGCAATGAGTGGCACGATCACAACTCACTGCAGCCTCCACCTCCCCAGGCTTGGGTGATCCTCCCACCTCAGCCTCCTGAGTAGCCAGGCGGGCGCCACTGCACCTGGCTAATTTTTGTATTTTTTGTAGAGACAGGGTTTCACCATGTTGCCCAGGCTGGTCCCAAATTCCTGGGCTCAAGCAATCTATCCACCTTGACCTCCCAAAGTGCTGGAATTATAGGCATGAGCCACCATGTCTGACCAACTATTTATAATTACGTTGTATTTAACCCAATAAATCCAAAATGTTATCATACATGTTTATACATTATATGATCGTTTACTATAACATAAAAAGTATCAATGAGACATTTTACTTTTCTTCATGCTAAGTCTTCAAAATCCAGAATGTATTTTATGCTCACAGCATAGCTCCAGTGCTCAGCAGCCCCATGTGGCTAGTGTACACCATACTGGACTCTACAACAATGCCTGGCAAAGACAGAGTGGGTACTTATAAATATTCACTGAATGAAAGAATGTTTTCCCAGGAAGAGGAAGCTATGGTAGAGTACAGCGTTTTCTAAACTTCATTTACTCACATTCTACATTCACAACTTTTTCTGTGTGATCTTTTTCCTTAAAATGTTACACTTTTTATTCCTGAAAAATTATGTAAAAATAAAACTTTCAGTTGGGCATGGTGACTTACACCTGTAATTGCAACACTTTGAGAGGCCGAGGTGGGAGGATCGCTTGAGCCCCGGAGTTTGAAAACAGCCCGGGCAACATAGCAAAACCCCTGTCTCTACAAAAATTAGCCAGGCGAGGTGGCACCCACCTGTAGTCCCAGCTGTTTGGGAGGCAGACATGGGAGGATCACCCGAGCCCAGGCAGGTCAAGGTTACAGTGAGCCGTGATTGTGCCACTGCACTCCAGCCTGGGCAACAGAGTAAGATCCTGTCTCAAAATAAAATAAAAATAAAATTTTCTATTGTGTCAATAAATGAAAAAGAATGGATCTAAGGATTAAGGGTCTGGGCTTGAGTCCCTACTCATTTACTAGCTCTGAAATCTAAAGTAAGGACTTCATTAAGCCTCAGTCTCTTCATGTGATATAGGGACAATACTGACCATCCCAATTTCAAAGGGAAGGTTAAGTGAGATGTTGGTATACGCTCTTTGTAAATGGGAAAGTAATCATGAAGTGAAAGAGACTGAGAAGCCAATCCAAGCCTTTCTCTCGAGCCTGTTTTCATATGGACCAATGACACAGATAATCACAAGCTTCTCTGACAAGAAAAAGAGTAGAAGACTTGGGTTCAAATCCTTTGTCACCACTTACGCCGGTGTGACTTTTAGAAATGCATTTATTCACCAAATATTTATCAAGTGCTCACAACATGCCAGGCACTAGGCTAGCAGCCAAATAAAATATGAAACCTGCCCTTGAAGGATTTGCAATCTAGCAGGAAGAGGCCAGCAAACAAGAAAGAGCAATAAATTGTTTTAAAAAATCAAGTCGTCTCTCGTAAGTCTGTTTGTTCCCTGTGAAATGAGAATACATCTTCCCAACCTCACTCATAGGCGCTGCTGCAAAAACTAATTTTTAAATGTTTGTCAAATAACTCCAAAAACTTGAACTCATAATACATTAGGAAAGTACTTTTTCCTACTTGTAACCCAAAACGATGCTGGCTGCTGTGAATGTCCAGTTTGAACATTCGTTCCAGTTACACTGCACTCATGAAACTCCTTTTGCTTCTGCAAATTTTAGTAAACATGAGAAACAGGAAGATGAACAGGCTTTAACACAAGTATTCAATCTCAAAATCATGATCCAGGTCACAGTTCTAAGGAACATAACACAGACCTCTCAGGCACCCTACCTAGTTACAGTTCGTCAAGATAAGCAGTCACAAGATAAGCTAAGGGAAACTGAATAATTTAAACGGAAGAAAGAGAAAAGTCATAAAGCAGTCTAGGTAGACACTTCTCTGTCCAAGATTTCAGCAGTCACTATGTTGCTGAGGTAACGCTGGGCTAGGTCAACAGTGTAAGCTAAAAGCCATTTTACAGGCAAAGTGCCCACACTTATTTTTTTAATTTATTTTCTTTTTTTGTTTTTTAAAGCCTCGATGATGGCCCGTTCAGGGAAAATCTCAAAGAAAAATGAGCTGAAGGGCTAGGCTCCCAAGAAGTGGAAACCCTACCCACGCAGGACTAAGTGGGCGCGAGGGAAGCAAGACGATCAAGATTCTGTGATCCCTCCTGAAGTTTAAAAACTGAATGGGACCGTCATCAAAGTCTCGGGTAACAATCATTTCCAAACAGGAAGGAAGGGAGAGACTCTCAGAGGGGGTCCAGGCAGCATCTTTTTCCCTCTGGCTCCACGCCATAAACCCATTTTCAGGCACCCCCTTCCAGCTCAGTTCCAAGTCGCCCCTTCCCCTGGTCCCGATCCCTCCACAAAGATCGCTCCTCTCCATGCCTGGGAACCTAAGCTCCTCTCCCCTTCCGGGAGGACTCGCTCCAGCTGCACCCTTGGCGGCCGGGGCACCCATTTCGGAGCAACCCCCGCGCGGGCCGCGGCGCGCCCACCCCACTCGGGCGGGAGCCGGGACACCCCTCCTCGGAGGCCGGAACCGCCGCGCCAGGCCCCTCCCACAGGAAGCCGCCGCCCCCCGACGCCCGGGCCGCGCCGCCCCCGGCCCACCCCGCGCCGCCCGCCGCCCCCGGCCCGCCCCGTGCAGGCAGCCAGCCCACCGCGCCCCCCGCGCCAGCGCTCGCTACCTGCCGTGGCCACAGAAGCGGCGCCGAACTCCTCTCCTACTTCCGCCTTCCACCGCCCGCACTCGGGCCGGGTCACGTGACCGCGCGCGGTCACCTGACCCGGAAGAGGCTGGCCAGGCTCGCAGGTGCGGGCCACCTAGGCCTGGCCTGGGCACCTCTGGCCTCGAGGAGGCCTTTTTATCGTCTCTGTAGTTGAAAGTGGAAGGGTTTCTGCTCACCGGATGGTCCCAGGCAATCAAATAAATTGAGGGCTCACTGAATGCCACCTACTCTGCCCATCAACCTTATAGAGGCAGGGACAGGTACTAGCCCCATTTTACAGGTGAAACGAGACCTTCAGACTGTTAAGTCAGCAAATACTTAATTGAGCTCCTTTAGTAGGGTTGCCAGATAAAGTACAGGACACCCACTTAAATTTGAATTTCAGATAAACAACAGTGTAATATGTATGTCCCAAATACAGAATGGGACATATTTATACTAAAAAAAGTATTTTTTGATTATCTGAAGATCAAATTGAATTGAGTATCTGTATTTCTATTTCCTGGCAACCTTATGCCTATTATGTGCCAGGCACTGTTCTAAGATCCAGGACCACAAACATCTCAGCCTTTGTGGGGCATCTGTCCTTGTGACATGAAGCAAAAGTACAAAAGCTTAAAAACTCCTGCTTGGCTCCATAAAAAGCCCCTCCACACTAATCCAATCGCATTCCCTTAATCTACAACTACAGGGCACAGAGAACTTAATGAATTATAATCCAGGTAGGTAGGTAGGTAGGTAGGTGGATAGATAGATGATATTTTTTTTTTTTTTTTTGAGATGGAGCCTCGCTCTGTCGCCCAGGCTGGAGTGCAGTGGTGCAGTCTCAGCTGACTGCAACCTCCGTCTCGCCGGTTCATGCAATTCTCCTGCCTCAGCCTCCCGAGTAGCTGGGATTACAGGCGTGCACCACCACGCCTGGCTAATTTTTGCATTTTTAGTAGAGACAGGGTTCCTCCATGTTGACCAGTCTGGTCTCGAACACCTGACTTCAAATGATCCGCCCACCTTGGCCTCCCAAAGTGCTGGGATTACAGGCATGAACCACCGCACCTGGCAGAGAAATATTTTTTTTAAGAGATGGGTCTGGATAGGTTGCTTTGGCTGGGCTCGAACTCCCAGCTTCAAGCAGTCCTCTTGCTTCAGCCTCCCAAGTAGCTGAGACTACAGGCGAATGCCACTGTGCCTGCCCAATAACTTTATTTATTTATTTATTTATTTATTTATTTGCTTGCTTGAGACAGAGTTTCACTCTTGTAGCCCAGGCAGGAGTGCAGTGGCTCAATCTTGGCTCACTGCAACCTCTGCCTCCCAGGTTCAAGCAATTCTCCTTCCTCAGCCTCCTGAGTAGCTGGGACTACAGGCACCCACCACCATGCCTGGCTAATTTTTGTATTTTTAATAGAGATGGGGTTTCACCATGTTGGCCAGGCTGGTCTCAAACTCCTAACCTCAGATGATCCACCTGCCTTGGCCTCCCAAAGTGCTCAGATTATAGGCGTGAGCCAATGCGCCCGGCCTCCAAGAACATTTTAAATAGACATTCTTGACTGATGTTCTGGACAAGTTGAATGAAGGCTCAGTTTAATCACCATTGATTAAAATTAATACTAATGACGTAATTAGCCTCAAAGACTTGTACTAATCTGTTATTTTTGGGTCTTCGAATTGGGATGGATTCTATCATGCATACAAATTAAATTGGCTGGTGGGGCGTGGAGGCTCACGCCTGTAATCCCAGCACTTTGGGAGGCAGAGGCAGGTGGATTACCTGAGGTCGGGAGTTCGAAACCCACTTGGCCAACCTGGTGAAACCCCATCTCTACTAAAACTACAAAAAAAAAAAAAAAAAAGATTCGCCGGGCATGGTCCGGGTGCGGGTAATCCCAGGTACTCCAGAACCTGAGGCAGGAGAATTGCTTGAACCCGGGAGGCGGAGGTGGCAGTGAGCCATGATAACGCCTCTGCACTCCAGCCTGGGCGACAGAGTGAGACTCTGTATCTAAATAAATAAATAGGTTGAACACTTAGTCTCTACTTTTTGTAGTACCACTCCAAATCCAAGAGATTAACTTTCAAGGAGATACAGTCCTGTCTTTGTACATTAAACCCTATATTAGTCTCATTTATAAAACTACTATAACTAAAACTTCTCCAGTTCCATTGATGGCAGTTTTACTAATTCTGTTCTAGATAAATTAGAGACTATTTCCTTGACTTACTAGCATTTGTTGGTTTCGGTTTGTTTTCTTCTTTCATATTTCATTTTTTATCTTTTGTTGCTTTTTTTTAACAACCCTGCAGAAAAGATTTAGTGGCATCTGAGTAAGTGTTCACCAAAGGGGAGAAGGGACAAGCAAAGAGCACACACTGCACATTAAAAGAATAAAATCTGACAGGGTGCGGTGGCTGGCACCTGTAATCCCAGTACTTTGGGAGGCCAAGGCGGGCAGATCAGACTGTCAGGGGCTCGAGATCAGACTGGGCAACATGGTGAAAACCCATCTCTACAAAAAATACAAATATTAGCTGGGCATGGTGGCACACACCCGTAGTCCCAGCTAATCAGGAGCCTGAGGCTTGAGAATCGCTTGAACCTGGGAGGCGGAGGTTGCAGTGAGCCAAGATTGCACACTGGACTCCAGCCTGGATGACAGGGTGAGACTCTGTCTCAAAAAAAAAAAATTGATATGATAAACTAGAAAATGAGAAATAGCCTCCAGCCATACTCTGTTACGGCAGGTAGCACAGGCACGTTCTAGATAATGAAGAGACTGAGTGGTGAGAAAGGTTGAGCCAGGTGCAATGGCTCACGCCTGTAATTCTAGCACTTTGGGAGGCCAAGGCAGGTGGATCACCGTACATCAGGAGTTCGAGACCATCTGGCCAATATGGTGAAACCCCATCTGTACTAAAAATACAAAAATTAGCCAGGCGTGGTGGCGGGCACCCATAATCTCAGCTACACAGGAGGCTGAGGCAGGAGAATTGTTGAACCTGGGAGGCAGAGGTGGCAGTGAGCTGAGATCGCACCACTGTGCTCCAGCCTGGGCGACGAGAGCAAAACTCAGTCCCCTTCCCGCCACCCCAAAAAAAGAGAAAGACTGAATTTGGGTAATTGCTGAAAGGCAATATTCAGTAGCACTGAAGGATTTTTGGGGTAGGACAGATAAATGACAATTGAGGAATCCAGCTGGCGTGAAGACTTCATGAAGAAAGTTTGCATGAAGACCCAAGTCGACATTCAGCAAAATTCACCGGATCTTATAATCATAAAATTTCAGATTTGCAAGGAAACGTAGAAGTCACTAAATACACCTTCTGTTCAATTCAGCAAGGAATTATTTGCTACCAAATTATGTGTGTTGCTTAGGGAGGTGGGGTGAGACTATTAAGACAAATTAGACAGACTCTGGCCCCACGTTGCTCAAAATGAAGTGAAGGCACATAAGCAGCAGTCAGTATAACAGAATGGATAATTAGGTGGCTCAGGGACAGCACCGTGTCTCACACCTGTAATCCCAGCACTTTGGGAGGCCAAGGCTAAAGGACTGCTTGAACCTGGGAGTTTCAGACCAGCCTGGGCAACATGATGAGACTCTCATCTCTACAAAAGTAAAAATGAAAAAACTAGCTGGGCATGGTGGTGTGGGCCTGTGGTGCCAGCTACTCGAGAGGCTGAGGTAGGAGGCTCACTTGAGCCTGGGAGTTCAAGGTTGCAGTGAACTATGATCATGCCACTGCACACCAGCCTGGGCAACAGAGAGAGACCGTGTCTCAAAAAAAAAAAAAAGAAAGAAAGAAAGAAAGAGAGAGAGAGAAAAGGAAAGGAAAGAAAAAAGAAGAGAAGAGAGAAAAAAGTGGCTCTGAATCAGTTTGTCTGGGTGTTACGTTATTTTCACCACTTACTGACCATGTCAGCTACACCTAGTGGCTTTAGTTAGCTATCCCTTGTCTGTAAAACAGTACCTATCTTGGCCGGGCGCGGTGGCTCACGCCTGTAATCCCAGCACTTTGGGAGGCCGAGGCGGGTGGACCACGAGGTCAGGAGATCGAGACCATCCTGGCTAATACGGTGAAATCCTGTCTCTACTAAAAATACAAAAAAAGTCGGGCATGGTGGCGGGCGCCTGTAGTCCCAGCTACTTGGGTGGCCGAGGCAGGGGAATGGCGTGAACCCGGGAGGGGGAGCTTGCAGTGAGTTGAGATCGCGCCACTGCACTCCAGACTGGGCGACAGAGCAAGACTCCGTCTCAAAACAAAACAAAACAAAAAAAAGCTTTTCTCGGGACGGGAGAGGCCGTGTAGCGTCGCCGTTACTCCGAGGAGAGACCAGTCGGTAGAGGAGAAGTCCAGGTTAGAGGGAAGTGGGAGGCACTTTGCTGTCTTCAATCGAAGTTGAGGGTGCAAAAATGCAGAGTAATAAAACTTTTAACTTGGAGAAGCAAAACCATACTCCAAGAAAGCATCATCAACATCACCACCAGCAGCAACAGCTGCAGCCGCCACCACCGCCAATACCTGCAAATGGGCAACAGGCCAGCAGCCAAAATGAAGGCTTTGACTATTTGGCCTGAAGAATTTTAGAAAACCAGGAGAGAAGACCTTCACCCAACGAAGCCGTCTTTTTGTGGGAAATCTTCCTCCCGACATCACTGAGGAAGAAATGAGGAAACTATTTGAGAAATATGGAAAGGCAGGCGAAGTCTTCATTCATAAGGATTAAGGATTTGGCTTTATCCGCTTGGAAACACGAACCCTAGCGGAGATTGCGAAAGTGGAGCTGGACAATATGCCACTCTGTGGAAAGCAGCTGCGTGTGCGCTTTTCCTGCCATAGTGCATCCCTTACAGTTCGAAACCTTCCTCAGTATGTGTCCAACGAAGTGCTGGAAGAAGCCTTTTCTGTGTTTGGCCAGGTAGAGAGGGCTGTAGTCATTGTGGATGATCGAGGAAGGCCCTCAGGAAAAGGCATTGTTGAGTTCTCAGGGAAGCCAGCTGCTGGGAAAGCTCTGGACAGACGCAGTGAAGGCTCCTTCCTGCTAACCACATTTCCTCGTCCTGTGACTATGGAGCCCATGGACCAGTTAGATGATGAAGGGGGACTTCCAGAGAAGCTGGTTATAAAAAACCAGCAATTTCACAAGGAACGAGAGCAACCACCCAGATTTGCACAGCCTGGCTCCTTTGAGTATGAATATGCCATGCGCTGGAAGGCACTCATTGAGATGGAGAAGCAGCAGCAGGACCAAGTGGACCGCAACATCAAAGAGGCTCGTGAGAAGCCAGAGATGGAGATGGAGGCTGCACGCCATAAGCACCAGGTCATGCTAATGAGACAGAATTTGATGAGGCGCCAAGAAGAACTTCGGAGGATGGAAGAGCTGCACAACCAAGAGGTGCAAAAACGAAAGCAACTGGAGCTCAGGCAGGAGGAAGAGCGCAGGCGCCCTGAAGAAGAGATGCGGCGGCAGCAAGAAGAAATGATGCAGCCACAGCAGGAAGGATTCAAGGGAACCTTCCCTGATGTGAGAGAGCAGGAGATTTGGATGGGTCAGATGGCTATGGGAGGTGCTATGGGCATAAACAGCAGAGGTGCCTTGACCCCTGCTCCTGTGCCAGCTGGTACCCCAGCTCCTCCAGGACCTGCCACTATGATGCCGGATGGAACTTTGGGATTGACCCCACCAACAACTGAACGCTTTGGTCAGGCTGCTACAATGGAAGGAATTGGGGCAATTGGTGAAACTCCTCCTGCATTCAACCATGCAGCTCCTGGAGCTGAATTTGCTCCAAACAAACGTCGCCGATACTAATAAGTTGCAGTGTCTAGTTTCTCAAAACCCTTAAAAGAAGGACCCTTTTTGGACCAGCCAGAATTCTACCCTGGAAAAGTGTTAGGGATTCCTTCCAATAGTTAGATCTACCCTGCCTGTACTACTCTAGGGAGTATGCTGGAGGCAGAGGACAAGGGAGGGGTGGTATTAAACAAGTCAATTCTATGTAGTATATTATTTAATCAGTTCTGTGTGGTGCATTCCTGAAGTCTCAAATGTGATTGTTGAGGGCCTGGGGAAACCATGGCAAAGTAGATCCAGTTAGAGCCCATTAATCTTGATCATTCTGTTTTTTTGGTTTGTTTGTTGTTTTTTTTTTTTTTTTTTTTTGTCCATCTTGTTTCATTTGCTTGCCCTGCCCCCGAGATGGAGTCTTACTCTGTCGCCCAGGCTGGAGTGTAGTGGCACGATCTCGGCTCACTGCAATCTCTGCCTCTCGGGTTCAAGCTTGTCCAGGCTGATCTTGAACTCCTGACCTCGTGATCCCCTGCCTCAGCCTCCCAAAATGCTGGGATTACAGGGGTGAGCCACCGTGCCCAACCTCACTTGCTTTCTTATCCTTACACTCCCCCAGTCCCAGAGAAACTGCCACATACACCACAAAAACCAAACATCCCCCAATGACCTTAGCCGCATTGCTCCATTCACTC
The DNA here is from genome assembly GCF_000001405.40 of Homo sapiens. Classification (NCBI taxonomy): domain Eukaryota; kingdom Metazoa; phylum Chordata; class Mammalia; order Primates; family Hominidae; genus Homo; species Homo sapiens. Next base: position 69,755,863 of record NC_000016.10, on the reverse strand, counting down.
CCAGGTGAGAATTCAGGTAAACGTCCACAAAGGTCACAGGCAACGTACATACGGTTCTATTATATCCCATATATTACCCCTTCATGTCCTAAAGAAGACATTTTCTCTTAGAGATTTTCATTTTAGTATATCTTTAAAAAAAAATCTTGTGTTAACTTGCCTCCATCTTTTTCTTGGGTGAGGACACCCAGGAATGACCCTTTTGTGTCTATGATACTGCTGTTCACAGCTTTTCTTGATAGGCCTAGTACAATCTTGGGAACAGGGTTACTGTATACTGAAGGTCTGACAGTAGCTCTTAGACTCGCCTATCTTAGGTAGTCATGCTGTGCCTTTTTTTTCCATTGGTGTATTGTATTTGATTTGTCTCTGATATATTTGGAGTTTTTCTGAGAACTGGAGCAGTAATGCAGCATCGACCTATTAAAATACATTTTAAGCCTTTAAAAAAAAACAGTACCTATCTCATAGGGGTGCTGTGATAACGAAATTAGGTAATCTGTATTGATTGACTTTTAACCATAAGAATATATACAGGTTTTAAATTTATTTATTTATTGAAGAGATGGGGGTCTCTCTATGTTGCCCAGGCTGGTTTCACATTCCAGGGCTCAGGCAATCCTTTCGCCTCAGCCTCCTTAATAGCTGGGACTCTAGGCGCGCACCACTACACCTGGCAGGTTTTATCTTCAAAGGTGAAGAAGGCACTAAGGTCTAGATGCTGAAGCCGATTTCCCAGGTGTCCCCCAAGGTTTGACCCCGCCCACACTTCTCTGGCTATGCGGGCGGCGTCGCTGCGCATGCGCGCGAGTAGAGCAGGGAGGTGCTGGCGCGGCCGCCAGGAGGCGCAGCTAAGTCGCGGCTGCTCTTCCTGGTTCCCAGAGGCCCAGACTTGGACATAGGAGCCGGCGCAAGCTCCGTGCGCATGCGCGCTCCCCTCTCACGCAGCCAACATGGCTCCAGTGGAGCACGTTGTGGCGGATGCTGGGGCTTTCCTGCGGCATGCGGCTCTGCAGGTACGGGGAGCTCCCTCCGGGACGAGAGAGATCTGGGCTGGCCGCCCCTCCCGGAGTGCGTGGAGTCGCGCGGAGCGTTGCTTGGTGCGGGTGGGTCTGAGCTGGGGCGTTCTGTCCGCAGGACATCGGGAAGAACATTTACACCATCCGGGAGGTGGTCACTGAGATTCGGGACAAGGCCACACGCAGGCGGCTCGCTGTCCTGCCCTACGAGCTGCGGTTCAAGGAGCCCTTACCGGAATACGTGCGGCTGGGTGAGTGCCTCTGCCCTAGCGTTGACGGGAAGCTGGGGTCCAGGGCGCAGATGGCACCCAGTTGGGTGCGAGTTGGGGTCTAGCTGCCTTATCAGAGCAGTAGATTTAGAGCCAGCACTTTCTAGGAGATTGTGGTAGGAGAGAGGCTTCCTGGGTCTGGAGTCCTCCAGTAACTAGCTGTATGCTCTCGGGCATAGCATTCAAATTTGGGCCTCGTTTACCTCATCCGCAAAATGGGAATAATAATTGTATCTGTCTCCAAGGTTGCTGTGAGCATGAACTGAGGAATATGGCAGTCAGCTCAGTGTCAAGCACTTTGCAGACAAGCAATAAATTTATTTGGATTTAAAATAAGAGTTTGGATCTCTTGCTATTACTCTCGTCCATTTCTTTTCAGTAGATTGGGCTGATGACTGGATACAAAGATCTGCACCTGGCAGAGCTTTAAAAAGGGAATGCTTTGCATTGTATTAAATGTGAAAGAAAATTAAGCTGGGCGCGGTGGCTTACGGCCTGTAATCCCAGCACTGGGAGACCGAGGCGGGCGCATCACCTGAGGTCAGGAGTTTGAGACCAGCCTGACCAACATGGTGAAACCCTGCCTCTACTAAAAATACAAAATTAGCTGGGCGTGGTGGTGTGCTCCTGTAATCCCAGCTACTTGGGAGGCTGAGGCAGGAGAATTGCTTGAACCTGGAGGTGGAGGTTGCAGTGAGCCGAGATCGTACCACTGCACTCCAGCCTGGGCGACAGAGCGAGACTCTGTCTCAAAAAAAATAAGAAATAAAGAAAATTAAAGAATTGTCTCTTGGCTTAGGAGTCAGCGTTGTTCTCTTGTTGGGAATCAAGGTGATACCCAGGAAAGGCCCCTCAGTGGTTGGAAGTGTTTTAGAGGTTAGAGGCTGATAGTGGAGATGATGTTACCTCCTCTGTTTGTGATTTCTACGATTTTCTCCACCAACTTAGTAGCTCTGTGATCTTTGCCAACTTACTAAATCTTTCCGAGGAAATACTAATAGTACTTTTGAAGAATGGCAAAGGATGAAATGCATTAACACATAAAGCTTTTAATGCAGTGCCTAGTACACAGTAAGTGCACAGTAAATTTTCGTTGCTGCTAATGTCTGTTTTTTAGGAAATAAGAGCAATATACCTAGTGTTCCTTGTACCAGGGTAGCAGGAGACATCTTTCTGTTAATTTCAGGAAATTTTAAGTGTTTATTATGGATGACTCTGGAGAATAACAGCAGTCTGACATGTATTATGCATTAAGCACATGCTTTTTGTTTCCTCATAGACTACTACAATTACAAGTTGAGCATACTGAATCTGAAATCCAGAATGCTCCTAAATCTGAAACTTTTTTTTTTTTGAGATGGAGTCTGGCTGTGTTGCCTAGCCTGGAGTGCAGTGGCACGATCTTGGCTCACTGCAGCCTCCACCTCCTGGGTTCCAGCAATTCTTCTGCCTCAGCCTCCCCAGTAGCTGGGACTACAGGCACACGCCACCACACCTGGCTAACTTTTGTATTTTTAGGAGACAAGGGGTTTCACCATGTTGGCCAGGCTGGTCTGGAACTCCTGACCTCAAGTGATCTACCCACCTCAGCCTCCTGTAGTGAGGTGTGAGCCACCACGCCCCAACTTTCTTCTTTTTTTTGAGAAGGAGTCTCACTCTGTCGCCCAGGCTGGAGTGCAGTGGCGCAATCTTGACTCACTGCAACCTCCGCCTCCCAGGTTCAAACAATTCTCCTGCCTCCGCCTCCTGAGTAGCTGGGATTACAGGCCCCCCCGCTACCACACCGGGATAATTTTTGTATATTTATTAGAGACAGGTTTCACCACGTTGGCCAGGCTGGTCTCCTGACCTCAAGTGATCCGCCCACCTCTGCCTCCCAAAGTGTTGGGATTACAGGCGTGAGCCACCACGCCTGGCCCCAGCCAACTTTCTGCTCCTTCCTCTGTATTTGATAAGGGTGTTACAGTAAATCTAACTGGCATGAATCTTGGTGGTGGAGAATACAAATTTCTCAACTGCGAGTAGGAAAAGGTCAGAAAATGGATGAAAGTGTTAAGGTTTTTCATGACATAGTGATCCTTTCTAAATTGTTTTGATACTTCCATTATTTTGATCTGTTCTAAATTGTTTTGATACTTCCATTGGTTATCCAAGGTCATATGGCTTTTTACCTCTAACTGAAGATGTAAATCTGTTGTTTACAGTGACTGAGTTTTCAAAGAAAACAGGAGACTACCCCAGCCTCTCTGCCACGGACATCCAAGTGCTTGCACTCACATACCAGTTGGAAGCAGAGTTTGTTGGGGTGTCTCACCTAAAACAAGAACCACAGAAGGTAAATCAAGAGGATGGGTTTTTAAAAGCTTTGTATTATGGGAACTGTCAGGTATACAAAAGTAGAAGGACTAGTGTAATGGACCCAGGGTTCCCATCATCCCCCCCTCCAATTATCTCTTAGCTAGTCTGTATTCATCTACACTGATCCACAGCCCTGAGTACTTTTTTTTTTTTGAGATAGAGTCTTGCTCTGTCGCCCAGGCTGGAGTGCAACGGCGTGATCTCGGCTCACTGCAGCCTCCGCCTCCTGGGTTCAAGCGATTCTCTTGCCTCAGTCTCGAGAGTAGTTGGTAGGATTACAGGCGCCCACGACCACACCCGGCTAATTTTTGTATTTTTAGTAGAGACGGGGTTTCGCCATGTTGGTCAGGCTGGTCTCGAACTCCTGACTTCAGGTGATGCGCCCGCCTCGGCCTCCCAAAGTGCTGGGATTATAGGCGTGAGCCAGTGCGCCCGGCCTCAGCCCTGAGTATTTTAAACTCAGACATCGTATACTATTTCACTGATAGATATTTCTTGGTATGTCTCTAAAGATCAAGACTCTTAAAAACTTTAAAGCCATCATTACACCTACACAAAATTAATAGTAATGCCTGTTATCAAATATCCAGTCAACATTCACATTCCCCAGTTATTTTGTAAATGTTAAAGCGTTTGTTTGTTTGGATCAGGATCCCAATGAGGTTCATACATTGCAATTGGCAAGTGTGTCTCAGTCCCTTTTTTTTTTCCCTCTTTCATCCAGGGTCTAGCTGTGTTGCCCAGGCTGGTCTTAGAACTCCTGGGCTCAAGTGATCCTCCCACCTCAGCCTCCTGATTAGTCTCTTTTGATCTGTAGGTTTTTGGGAAAGGTTTAAATTTGGAAAATGCAAAAGAATAAAAATCTATATATCTGTATATAATAATTTTTTTAAAAAAAAGAACTATTTCTGGCCAGGTGCCGTGGCTTATGCCTATAATCCCAGGGCTTTGGGAGGCCAAGGCAGGAGCATTACTTGAACCTAGGCATTTGAGACCAGCCTGGGCAACCCCGTCTGAGGCAGGAGGATCACTTGGGCCCAGGAGATTGAGGTTGCAGTGAGTTGTGATCATACCACTGCACTTCAGCCTGAGTGACAGTGAGACCCTGTCTGAAAAAAAGAGAGCTTTCTGGAGGTAAAAAAGAATGAACACTAAGTACTTGCAAGTGTTTTTTCGAACCTTGCTTCCTTCAAAACTTTGACTTCCTATTGTGTTTTTAGGGTCTTACCCACTGTGGCTAGGTTGAAGAGACTGATACATTTGTGCCTGCACCCATTGTCTATTTCTAAGCCAGAGGATTTTAGAAGTCAAAAATTTTAACCTAATAATAATTCATTTTCAATAGTGTTGACAAATAATTGCTTAATCTTCTCTGCCTAAAGTCATCAAAACTATGGTGGACTCATATTTTTGCACTAGTTGAAACTACCCTCAAATTTTTTTAAGAAAGATGGGGTCTCTCTGTGTTGCCCAGGCTGGTCTCAAACTCCTGGGCTCAAGCCATCCTCCCACCTTGGCCTCCCAGAATGCTGAGATTACAGGCATGAACTACCACACTTGTTTTTTGTTTGTTTGTTTGTTTGTATTTTAATAAGACAGGATCCTGTCATCACCTGGGCTGGAGTACAGTGGCGCTGATCACAGCTCACTGCAGCATCAAACTCCTGAGCACAAGCAGTCCTCCTACCTCAGCCTCCCGAGTAGCTGGGACTGTAGGTGTACACCACCATGCCTGGCTAATTTTAAAATTTTTTTATAGAGACAGGGTGTCACTTTTGTCCAGGCTGGTCTCAAAATCCTGGCCCAAAACAATCCTCCTACCTCAGCCTTCCTAAGGGCTGGGAGTTAGTGAGCCACTGCACCCAGCTATTTTTTTATTTTTATTCTCTGATTTTTTTAAAACACTGGATGTCAGCCAGGCTCGGTGGCTCCTGTGTGTAATCCCAGCGCTTTGGGAGGCTGAGATGGGCAGATCACTTGAGGCTGGGAGTTTGAGACCAGCCTGGCCAACATGGCGAAACCCCATCTCTACTAAAAAATACAAAAATCAGTGGGGCATGGTGGCGCACACCTGTAATCCCAGCTACTTGGGAGGCTGAAGCATGAGAATCGCTTGAACCTGGGAGTCGGAGGTTAGGTTGCAGTGAGCCAAGGTTGTGCCACTCCCCTCCGGCCTGGGTGACAGAGCAAGACCCTATCTCAAAAAAAAAAAAAAAATTGGGTATCCTTTTTTTTTTTTGAGACAGAGTCTCATTTTTGTTCCCCAGGCTGGAGTGCAGTGGCGTGATCTCAGCCCACTGCAACCTCCGCCTCCCGGTTTCAAGGAATTCTCCTGCTTCAGCCTCCTGAGTAGCTGGGATTACAGGTGCCTGCCACCACGCCAGGCTAATTTTTGTATTTTTAGTAGAGACAGGGTTTCGCCACGTTGGCCAGGCTGGTCTCCAATTCCTGACCTTGGGTGATCCGCCCACCTCGGCCTCCTAAAGTGCTGGGATTACAGGCATGAGCCATCGTGCCCGGCCAAAAAAAAAAACTGGATATCTTTAATTTTGATAACAAGAGGTATATGTTTTTTGTTTTTTTAAAGGTTAAGGTGAGCTCATCGATTCAGCACCCAGAAACACCTCTGCACATTTCTGGTTTCCATCTGCCCTACAAGGTAATTTCTTAGACAAGCCAGGCCGTTCATGCTCTTTTCTGAAACATGTCACATCTCTCTAAGTCATCTCTTCACAGTGAACTAAATTTACGCGGACCAATAACATAGTTTGTCCAGCCCTGTCTGATCTGACTTGTATATCATATGTGATTTCATCTGTGACCTGAGAGGTGGCTACAGATGAATTTTCAGGTTTTAAAATTGTTTCTTTTAATTTCAGCCTAAACCCCCACAAGAAACAGAAAAAGGACACTCAGCTTGTGAGCCTGAGAACCTGGAATTTAGTTCCTTCATGTTCTGGAGAAACCCTTTGCCCAACATCGATCATGAACTGCAGGAGCTGCTGGTGAGGCCTTGACTTTTGGTCTTCTGACGACAGCTCAACTTCTCCTCCACTGCTCCTGTGGGTTGGGAGTTTGAAAGGTCTGTTGATGTTTCAGATTGACAGAGGTGAGGACGTTCCAAGTGAGGAGGAGGAGGAGGAAGAAAACGGGTTTGAAGACAGAAAAGATGACAGCGATGACGACGGGGGTGGCTGGATAACCCCCAGTAACATCAAGCAGATCCAGCAGGAGCTGGAGCAGTGTGACGTCCCCGAGGACGTGCGGGTTGGCTGCCTGACCACAGACTTCGCCATGCAGGTGGGTAGGGTGGGCCTGGGCCGTGTGTCACACACGTCATCGGCAGTGGTCCTACCGAGGTGTACAGATGTACACGGAACTGGTGCTGTGCAGCGCTTCTTTTCCTGGTTCTGGAAACCACCTGTGCCATTTGGTGATTTTTAATTTTGCTTAGAGGCTAGACAATCGTCATATAATGACAACATTTGTATAGTACATTAAATGTTTAACGTTTACTATTTATGATTTTTTTATGATTTTTTTTTCAGTATATATAATGCCATGTGGTCAGTCAGGTTCTTAACACAGGGAGAGAGGGTTTTCAGCCCAGCAATGAGTATATTTGGCCCAGACAAAATAAAATGTCTGTTGAGAGAGCTTGCTAATGACAGGTCATGGAAAATGACGAACACAGGCTCCAGGACGGTGTTAGAAAGACACCTGGGCCTTCGTCCTCGTTTACACATCTTGAGAGGCCTCCCCAGGCTGAGTTTCCTTCGCAAAAGCCAAGGAATATGGGCAAGGCAGGGTTTGTGAAGTTCCCTTAACTGTAATTACAAAATGAAATGTGAAAAGAAAATTGATTTCTTCTTTAACTTGTGGTTGTAGAATGTTCTGCTGCAGATGGGGCTGCACGTGCTGGCGGTGAACGGCATGCTGATTCGTGAGGCCCGGAGCTACATCTTGCGCTGCCATGGCTGTTTCAAGTATGTAGCTGGTGCCCTGGCCCTGGTGCCCTCTGTGGAACACTCTTCCTGTTTCTTTTTTTGTTTTGAGAAACAGTCTCGCTCTGTCACCTAGGCTGGAGTGCAGTGGTACAATCTCAGCTCACTGCAACCTCTGCCTCCTGGGTTCAAGCAATTCTCCTGCCTCAACCTCCCAAGTAGCTGGAACTAGAGGCACATACCACTGCACCCGACTAATTTAATTTCTGTATGTTTTTAGTAGAGGCGGGGTTTCACCATGTTGGTCAGGCTGGTCTCGAACTCCTGACTCCAAGTGATCCATCCACCTCAGCCTCCCAAAGAGCTGGGGTTACAGGTGTGAGCCACCACGCCTGGCCACTATTCCTGTTTCTTCTACAGACTTGTTTAAAGAGAACCCTACATTATGTGTGTTTCTTCCACCTCATCATTCCTCTGGGGCCTGGGTTCCGTCTCCACCTGGGCACTGAGAACTTGGGGACAGAGGTTGCCAGTGACCTCCCACCGTATCTCAGTGGCATGGGGTTAGGGACATGGGTTCTGGAACAGTGAGCCTCATTCTTTAGCGGTACATACCGAAATGTTTGTCCTTGGAATGTCTGGGATTTGCTTTGACAAAATCCACAAGTAGAAGGAGTGGGTGGGGGTGAAGATAAAATAAGACTGGCCATGAATTGATAGTTTTTGAAGCTGGGGGGTGATGGATACATGGAGGTTTGTTGTGTTTTGTCTGCTTTATACTTGAGAGATTTTCTGTTTACAAAAAGAAGAGTACATGGGTTCAAATCCAGATTCTGTGTCCTGCTGCTGCTGTGATTTTGCAAAAGCTGATTCACTTCTTTGTGCTTCAGATTCTTTTCTTTGAGACGAGGTCTCACGATGTTGCCCAGGCTGGTCTTTAACTCCTGGCCTCAAGCAATCCTCTTATCTTGTCCTCCTAAAGTGGTGCGATTACAGGCCTGAGCCATCTGCCTATCAGATTCTTTTTATCTTTTTTTTTTTTTTTTTTTTTGGAGACAGGGTTTCTCTCTTGTTGCCCAGGCTGGAGTGCAGTGGCACGATCACGACTCACTGCAACCTTCGCCTCCCGGGTTCAAGCGATTCTCCTGCCTCAGCCTCCGAGTAGCTGGGACTACAGGCACCCACCACCACACCTGGCTAATTTTTTGTATTTTTAGTAGAGACGGGGTTTCACCGTGTTAGCCAGGATAGTGTTGATCTCCTGACCTCTGATCCGCCGAACTCAGCCTCCCAAAGTGCTGAGATTACAGGCATGAGCCACCGCGCCTGGCCCAGATTCTTGTTTTTGGTTTTTGGGGTTTTTTGTTTTTTTCTGAGACAGAGTCTCTCTGTTGCCTGGAGAGCAGTGGCACAGTCTAGGCTCACTGCAATCTCTGCCTCCCGGGTTCAAGCAATTCTCCTGTCCCAGCCTCCTGAGTAGCTGGGACTACAGGCACCCGCCACCACATCTGGCTAACTTTTTGTATTTTTAGTAGTGACAGGGTTTCACTGTGTTGGCTAGGCTGATCTCAAATGCCTGAGCTCAAGTGATCTGCCTGCCTCGGCCTCCCAAAGAGCTGCGATTGCAGGCATGAGCCACCACACCCGGCCCTATGAGATGCTTAATAAGATTGAGAAGGTGGTTGTGAGGAACTAGGAAGACAGTTGTGTCAAGGACTCTGTGGTATCCAATACATAAGCAGCGTGCCTATCGGGTGAACTGTTAGTTTCTTGACCACTGACCTCTCATTGCTTTTCTGACTCTTGAGTTGGTTCCTGTGGTGGGTCAGGCTGGTGTTCTGTAGGGAGGCCTCTGGGACCTTGGAAACCGCCTGGTAGGCGTGGAAGAGCCTCTGCCGCAGCCTTGCTGGTGGAGTGTGGCCTGAGGACCTACTCTAGGGTGGCATCTGCCATTCTGCAGGCTCAGGCTGGGTCTGGGGGCATCACGTAGATCATCTGGTGGTGCCCCTTGTTGTAGAGGCCGATGAGGAACTTTCTGAATCATCAAAGGTGCCTCTCTGGGTCCCCAGCTCTTCCAGTGGGCGGGGCGTTGCCTGTGTGAAGCCTCATTCCCTGAAGTCCTGAGCATAACCCAGCACTCAGGCTTGGGGCCCCGCCCCGCCAGCCACTGTGGCTCTGCTGGTGGCCAGCCACTCCTCAGAGCGGCCCATACCTTCCTCTGAAGCTTTACGTCCCTTTGCTGCGTCAGGCTCATGATAGTAAAGCTCCTGGCTTCATAAAATTCCATTTTCTCCAACGTCCTTTGTTACAGAAGCACTAAATTCACCAGATTAACACTCAATTCTTAGAAACACTTGGAATGTTCTTCATGCTTGTCAGATTAGCCCCGTGACTGCACAGTTTGATGTACAAAATAATTAGGTCCCAACACTTGTTATGAGGTGCTTAGTTCACTCACAAGAGACTTCAGGTAAGGCATTTGGCTTCTCCAGCCATTCCACGCAGCTCTTTTGTCTTGACCATTGGGAATTGATGGAGAACTCCACAAGGACAGGGACCAGGGCCACTGCTTTGCCGCTGATAGCAGCAGCTTTCTCCTGTCGAGAGTCCACTGTCGGGGCTTGAGTGCATAGGTGGGGGAAGCCTTGGTTCTGCACTCAGTGCCCGGGCTTAGTTCAGCCACAGCAGCATGTTTCCTGTCTCTCTCATTAATATGCTCTGCCGCCTCCAGAGCTGCTCCCGAGTTAACACCCAGGCTGACATTTGGAGAAAAGGTAGCTCGTGGTGTGACGAGGTGCCCCTCGAGAAAGTGCCGTGATGTGAAGGGCATTGATTCTGGAGCCAGACTGCCTGGGTTTATCTGCCATGGACCAGCTGGGTGACCTTGAGCAAGCTGCCTTAACTTGCCTCAGTTTCCCCATCTGTAAAATGGAGACGGTGCCATCCTCCCAGGACTAGTGATGTGAACCCTACAGAACAGGGCCTGGCGGTGTGTAGGAAGGGTTCGGGATTCACCTAACTGCATCCTGCTCGCTTGCACACTTCCTTACCTGCCCCTCCTGTGGTTTATCTGTCCCTCAGAGGGATGCGGCAGCCCTTTGCTGACAGCTTCAGTGGCCTCCGTCTTTGTGACATGTGTGGTGCGGTTCAGCCCTTCCCTGTTTCTTCTCCTGAGGCCCGAGACCCACCTTGTGCTCTGGGGAGGCGTTTGCTGCCTGTGGCTTTGGTACAGATCATCTCCTTTTGTGTCTCCCAGGACAACGTCTGACATGAGCCGAGTGTTCTGCTCACACTGTGGGAACAAGACCCTGAAGAAAGTGTCCGTGACCGTCAGCGACGACGGCACCCTGCACATGCACTTCTCCCGCAACCCCAAGGTGCTGAACCCCCGCGGCCTCCGGGTGAGTGGCGCCTCTCCCAGTCCCCTCCCAACACCAGAGTGAAAAAGAACAGAAAGGACAAAAGAAAACCTAGTCTAGTCGTTTCTGCAAGATGGGCGATTGAAAGCCTGTGACCTAGGTACCAAGACGGAGTGGGGAGAGTGTGTGACAGATGCCATCTCATGAGAAGCGACCGGTTATTCAGGCAGTAGTTGTGAAAGGCTACAGTAGCGGCTCACGAAGTGGGAACTCATTTGGAGTAAGGCGGAGGTTAGATTTGTGCAGGAGTTGAAGGATGGGCAGGGTCTCGGGAAGCCCATGACGCAGAGAGGAACGGGTGTGGAAAGCACAGCACGGAAGAGAGGGCCGGACGGGCTAGATGAGCAGCAGCTGCCGACGCAGAGAATCGGGAGGGAAGGATTGGAGGACGAATGAGTGGCACTGGCTTCTCCCAGCAGTAAAATAGCCACATGTGCATGAGAAGAACCTTCACTTTCAATTTTGAAATAATTTTCAACTTATAGAAAAGTTGTAAAAACAGTACAAACAATTCCTGGGGTTTTTCTTGTTGTTTGAGACAGGGTCTCACTCTGTCACCCAGGCTGGAATGCAGTGGCGTGATCTTGGCTCACTGAAACTCCACCTCTGGGGTTCAAGCGATTCTCCTGCCTCAGCCTCCCAAGTAGCTGGGACTACAGGCACACGCCACCATGCTTGGCTAATTTATCTTTAGTAGAGATGGGGTTTTGCCATGTTGGCCAGGATGTTCTCAAACTCCTGACCTCAGGTGATTCGCCCACCTCAGCCTCCCAAAGTGCTGGGATTACAGGCGTGAGCCACTGCACCCGGCTAATAATTCCTGTTTACCCGTCACCTGGATTTCCCAGGGTTAATCATGTACCACGTCTGCTTTCTCTTTATACATGTACATATTTTTTTCCTGAACCATCTGAGTAGATTGTACACATAATGCCCTTTTGCCTTGAAACAAGGACTTTATCTTATGTAACCACAGTGTAATTATCAAAATCAAGAAATCAGCATCGCTGCGATACCAGTGTGTAATCTGCAGACCCAACTCCAGATTTTGCCAGTTGTTCCACAAATTTCCTTTCTGACAAAAGAAGGGGATTTTTTGGGTCCAGAATCCAGTCTAGGATGAAACGTTGCATTTTGTCATCTTGTCTTTTTTCGACTGGGGTCCTTTCAGTCTTTTGTCGTAGATGACCTTGACACTTTTGAAGAGTATGAGTCCGTTCCTTTGTAGAATGTCCTTTCCCTTGCGTGTGTCTGGTATTTCCTCGGGATTGGATTAGATTGGGGCTATGCAGTTTTGGCAGGAACACGCCAGAGGTGATCCTGATGTGTCCTTCTCAGGACTTCGTTTCAGTGGGTAAATGCTAATTGTCTAATTTACTGGTGATACTAACTTCAATCACTTGGTTCAGTGGCTTCTGCCACCTTAATCCCCTGTAAAGTTATTTATAATACTTAATTTGTAGAAAGAGACTGAGACTTTGTATATATTATTTCTCGTTGAACTTACCTAAAGTTGCCTGAAACAGTTATTATAGTGATTATTGCCAAATGGTGATTTTCTGTCATTCCTTCCATGTTTATGACCTGGTATTATACTGTAAAGAAGAACTTTCCTTTTAGTCTCATTTATTGATTTCTATGAGTGTGGTCTTGTGGATTTCTGTCATAGTCTACAGGTTGTGATCTATCACTGTCATTTTGAGCCTCGCGTTGTGCCATGTGTGGCCAGTGGGAGCCTGTGTTCTTTTGACAGATCCTGGTCTGTCAAACTTTATGGCACAACAAGAAGTTCCCAGAGACTCAGCCATCTCCTGCCTGTGCCCCAGAATCCGCCATTTCTCTCAGGAGCTCTGGTTTTTTATGCAGGATGGTTTTTAGAAGTAAAGATCTGGGGACTGGGTGTGTCTGTTGTCCTGCAGTGTCATTGCGTCTTGGCTACAATGGACAGAGCTAGGAAATACATACATGTGTGTGTAAATACACACTGGAATGTTTTGTATTTCTATTTCTGTATTGTCTTTAGCTGAAGGTATGTAGTCAAAATACCGTGTTCGGTTTTTCGTGTGTGAATTGAGGTGGGAATCAGGTGGGAGGCGGCGGCATGTCACACGTAGCACATGGTAGGCAGTCAATTACCACCCGCTGTCATCTGCCTGCACCAGGATCTGCAAGGTCGGCTGCACCTTACCAGCCATGGCCTTGTGTGACTGTGGCTCCCCTTCTTCTAATGGCCCTTCCTTGTCTTATTTCCAGTACTCGCTTCCCACTCCCAAAGGGGGCAAATACGCCATCAACCCCCATCTCACCGAGGATCAGCGCTTCCCTCAGCTGCGACTCTCCCAAAAGGCCAGGCAGAAAACCAACGTGTTCGCCCCTGACTACATCGCCGGGGTGTCACCCTTTGTCGAGAATGACATCTCCAGCCGCTCAGCTACCCTGCAGGTCCGGGACAGCACCTTGGGAGCTGGGCGGAGACGCTTAAATCCCAACGCTTCCAGAAAGAAGTTTGTGAAGAAAAGGTGAAGAGCGAGTTCCCGCAGGCAAATTGGATGGGCGTCTGGCCGCCGTGGAGTTCCGGTGACCCATTTCCCCAGCCGTGTCGTCTCCAGGACCACCCGATGGAAATAACAGGCGGGCTTCACGGTGCGGCTCTGTCCGCCCATGCCCCGCTGGGTCTGCAGGGAACTGGACTGTCCCATGGCCTGTGAGCACCGGAGCGCCTGGCTGCCTGCCAAGGAAGTGCAATTGCATAAAAACAGAAAGAACAACGCCCTGGAGCCAATCTTCAAGAAAGGAATTTCCAAAGGATAATATTTTTCTAATAAATGCGGCTGCAACCTCCTGTGCATTTAATTAAATAGGCCAAATTTTTGCTGCTTAGGTCATCTCAAGGCTGATACTTGAGCTGTGTGCCCAGAGATCATGCATTTAGATTTATATTTTTGCCAGAAAATACAAGGTTATAATAAAACTAAGAACTACCATTTCTTTCTTTTCTTTTAACCTGTTCTTTTTTTGAGAATAGTTTCTATTCGTCTGGAAAGTGCAACGTGGTGAGCTCCCTGATGGCCTTTCACCTGGATTCCCCACGGTTCCGCCTCATGTTTCTCTGCACACACAGTCACAAAGTATGAGTCGTCTAGGAAAAGGATATTCTTTTGCATAACCACGGTAGAGTTAGCAAATTCAAGAAATATCACATTGGTACATTACTATTATGTAACATGACAGCACTGGAAGTCACCCTGTATCAGTTCGTTCTTCAGCTGCCTAATGTTCCATTGCGAAGAGCTATGAAACAAACTCTGTTAAGTACTTACTCTACATTAGCCCATTTAATCCATAGAACGTTAATACAGGGTACGGCTGCTGTTATTTCGAGCAGTCCTGAGCTACAAGAGGTAAGTGACACAGCATGTGAGTGGCTGGGCCAAGATTTCAGCTTAGTCCATCTGTACTTTTTTTTTTTTGAGGCAGTCTCGCTCTGTCGCCAGGCTGGAGTACTATGGCTCAGTCTCGGCTCACTGCAACCTCTGCCTCCCAGGCTCAAGAGATTCTTCTGCCTCAGCCTCCCGAGTAGCTGGGATTACAGGCAAGTGCTGCTGTGCCCAACTAATTTCTGTATTATTATTATTTTTTTAAATAGAGACTGGTTTTCACCATGCTGCCCAGGCTGGTCTTGAACTCCTGACCTCAGGTGATCCACCCACCTTGGCCTCCCAAAGTGCGGGGATTACAGGTGTGAGCCACCACGCCCAGCCCCATCTGTGCTTTTTTTTTTTTTTTTTTTTTTTTTTTTTTTGAGACGGAGTCTTGCTCTGTCGCCCAGGCTGGAGTGCAGTGGCGTGATCTCGGCTCACTGCAAGCTCCGCTTCCTGGGTTCATGCCATTCTCCTGCCTCAGCCTCCCAAGTAGCTGGGACTACAGGCACCCGCCACCACGCCTGGCTAATTTTTTGTATTTTTAGCAGAGACGGGGTTTCACCATGTTAGCCAGGATGGTCTCCATCTCCCAACCTCGTGATCCGCCCACCTCGGCCTCCCAAAGTGCTGGGATTACAGGCGTGAGCTACCACGCCCGGCCTCCATCTGTGCTTTTAAGCCACAAATGTACCAGTGGAGATGGTAGGAAGGAGGGTGAACACTGCCCGCTTTCTGTCCCCATCTTTGTGAAACTCCTGCTCTTGGGAGGATTGATGGATTGACAACCACCTGGAGCACAGGGTACCAGAGGAGAGGTGAGTAGTGGTTACAGCCTGGGTGACTCCAACGTGCCCTTTCCATTTCTCCCCATACTCTGTTCTGTCAGACATAGAGAAAGTAGGCCGAGCACGGTGACTCATGCCTATAACTCCAACATTTTGAGAAGCCGAGGCAGGATCGCTTGAGCCCAGGACATGGAGAACAGCCTAGGTCAAAAGAATGTCTACAGAGAACACAAGAGGGTAAGGCTTTTAGCTTAATTGCACCCCTGTTTCTCACCGTCATCTTGGAATTCCTTCCCTTTCTCCTCAGTCCCACCCATTTCATTCTGTATTTAGTAGCCATAAGACTACTAAATAAGACTGGTCAGGATTTGGCCAACAGTCTATATGTAATTTTTTTTTTCTTTTTGAGACTGTCACCCAGGCTGGAGTGCAGTGGTGCAATCTTGGCTCACTGCAGCCTCCGCCTCCCAGGTTCAAGTAATTCTCCTGCCTCAGCCTCTGGAGTGGCTGGGACTATAGGTGTGCGCCACCATGCCCATCAAATTTTATTTGGTAGAGATGGGGTTTTGCCGTGTTGGCCAGGCTGTTCTCAAATACCTGACCTTAGGTGATCTGCCTGCCTTGGCCTCACAAAGTGATGGGATTACAGGCATGAGCTACCATGCCGGGCCTCACATGTAATTTTAAAAAGTCTTGGACCAGAGCCAGGCATGGTGGCTCACTCCTGTAATCCCAGCACTTTGGGAGGCCAAGGCAGGCGGATCACCTGAGGTCGGGAGTTCGAGATTAACCTGAGCAACATGGAGAAACCCTGTATCTGCTAAAAATACAAAATTAGCCTGGCATGGTGGCAGGCACCTGTAATCCTAGCTACTTGGGAGGCTGAGGCAGGAGCATGGCTTGAACCCGGGAGGCGGAGATTGTGGTGAGCTGAGATCGTGCCATTGCACTTCAGCCTGGGCAACAAGAGCAAGACTCCCGTCTCAAAAAAAAAAAAAAAAAGTGATGGGCCAGTTGCTGTGGTTCACGCCTATGATCCCAACACTTTGGGAGGCCAAAGTGGGAGGATTGCTCAAGTTCAGGAACTTGAGACCAGCTTGGGCAACATAGTGAGACCCCATCTCTAAAAAATATACAAAAATTAACATGTATGGTGATACACACCTACAGTCCCAGCTACTTGGGAGGCTGAGGTGGGAGGATTGCTTAAGCCCGAGAGGGTGAGGTTGCAATGAGTTGAGATCATGCCACTGCACTCCAGCCTGGGTGACGGAGAGAGACCGTGTCTCAAAAGAAGAAAAACTTACTGCCTGGACGCAGTGATCCAGACCAGTAATCCCAACGTTTTGAGAGGCTGAAGCCCGCAGATCACTTTAGCTCAGGAGTCCAATACCAGCCTGGCCAACATAGTGAAACCCTGCAAACAAATAAAAATCAGTGAAACAAATTAGTTGCACATGGTGCTGCCTGTAGTCCCAGCTACCTGGGAGGCTGAGGTAGGAGGATCACTTGGGCTCGGGAGGAGGAGAGGGTTGCAGCTGAGATCCTGCCACCAAACTCCAGCCTAGGTGACAGAGCAAGACCCTGCCTGTCACAAAAAAAAAAAAAAAAAAGGCATGGCACAGTGGCTTACACCTGTAATCCTAGCACTTTGGGAGGCCAAGGTGGGCGGATCACTTGAGGTCAGGAGTTTGAGACCAGCCTGGCCAACATGGCGAAACCCCATCTCTACTAAAAATACAAAAAAAAAGCCAGGCATGGTGGCGCACACCTGTAGTCCTAGCTACATGGTTGGCCAACATGGCGAAACCCTGTCTCTACTAAAAATACAAAAATTGGCTGGGTGTGGTGGTGGGCACCTGTAATCCCAGCTACTCGTGAGGCTGAGGCAGGAGAATTGCTTGAACCTGGGAGGCGGAGGTTGCAGTGAGCCGAGATGGTGCCAATGCACTCTAGCCTGGGCAACACAGCGAGACTCTTACATACATACATACATACATACATACATACATACATAACATAACATACATACATAGACATAAAAATAAGAATAACCAAATAACCAGGCCGGGCATGGTGGCTCACACCTGTAATCTCAGCACTTTAGGAGGCCAAGGCCAGTGGATAACTTGAGGTCAGGAGTTCGAAAGCAGCCTGGCCAACATACTGAAATCCCGTCTGTACTAAAAATACAAAAATTAGCTGGGCCTGGTGGTATGTGCCTGTAATCCCAGCTAGCCTCCGTCAAAAAAAAACACGACTCAATTTGCTACCTTGAATCAAGTCTCTTCAGAACAAATGAATGTCCTTTTTGAGAGAAATGAGCATTTTGTTGTTGTTTTTGTTTTGTTTTTTTGAGATGGAGTCTTGCTCTGTCACCCAGGCTGGAGTGCAGTGGCACAATCTCGGCTCACTGCAACCTCCATCTCCCAGGTTCAAGTGATTCTCCTGCCTCAGCCTCCCGAGTAGCTGGGATTACAGGCGCATACCGCCACATGTGGCTAATATTTGTATTTTTAGTAAAGATGGGGTTTTACCATGTTGGCCAGGCTGGTCTTAAACTCCTCACCTCAGGTGATCCACCTGCCTCGGCCTCCCAAAGTGCTGGGATTACAGGAGTGAGTCACTGTGCCTGGCAGAAATTTCAGTTTAATCAGAGTGTTCTAAGCCCAGTAAAGGATGGCCTAATTCCGGCAATACATAACTTAAATTAGAGCAGGACACACCAAAACACAGGAAGCCCAACACAATGGTGTGAGTGCTGTGTAATAGCCATAGTGGTGGCGGGTAGGAGGACAGGAAGGGATGGATGGGGTTTCTAGTAGAAGAATCTCTTCTACCCTAATACCAAGAACATTTTCTCCCCCAGAAATACTTGGCTGGAATCCACAGGAACCACTGAGGATAACCCAGGTCCCCAGACAGGCTCAACAATGGCTCTGAGCTAATATACAAAGTCCATCATCCGCAGCACAGAGAAAAGGAAGGGGTCTTTGGGGACTTCTCCTTGTGCAGAAAAGCAGCCACCCAGGTGGACACCATGCATTAGCAGGTGGCTCATGAGGATGCTTGTGTTCTTTCATCAGAAGGAGAGGGCTCCTGAGAATTCTCCAACTCCCGGCTTTTAATTTCTAGATAATGAAGACAACAAAGCTTCCTATAGCTCTGAGGTCCTCGCCTGCTCCAACGTGGGCGACAGAGTGAGACTCTGTCTTAAAAAAAAAAAAAAAAAAAAAAAAAACAGGGCAGGGAGCAGGTGCGGTGGCTCATGCTTGTCATCCCAGCAGTTTCGGAGGCTGAGGCGGACGGATCACTTGAGGTCAGGAATTCCAGACCAGCCTGGCCAACAGGATAAAACCCCATCTGAACTAAAAATACAAAAAATTAGCTGGGCGTGGTAGCACATGCCTGTAATCCCAGCTACTTGGGAGGCTGAGGCAGGAGAATCACTTCAACCCAGGAGGCAGAGGCTGCAGTGAGCTGAGATTGCACCACTGTACTCCAGCCTTAACAACAGAAAGAGACTCCATCTCAAAAAAAAAAGGAGAAGATTGATAAGCTAGAACAGACGGAATACAAAGACCTCAGGTGCTTACGGAGAGAAAAAGCAGATCACATCCAAATGGTCAGGAAGCAAGTGATAAATTCTCCCTGAAAACTGGAGAACATAGATCAATGCCTTCAAAATTCCAAGAGGCAACAATTTTCAACCTAGAATTCTACACACAGCCAAACAGGCACAGAATGTATCTGAAAACTTATTTCCATTTATCCTTTTTTTCTTTTCTCTTTTGAGACAGTCTCGCTCTGTCACCCAGGCTGGAGTACAGTGGCGCGATCTCGGCTCACTGCAACCTCCTCCTCCCGGGTTCAAGCGATTCTCCTGCCTCAGCCTTCCGAGTAGCTGGGATTACAGGCATGTACCACTACACCCAGATAATTTCTGTAGTTTTAGTAGAGACAGGTTTCACCATGTTGGCCAGGCTGGTTTCAAACTCCTGACCTCAAGTGATCCAACTGCCTTAGCCTCCCAATGTGCTGGGATTACAGGCATGAGCCACTGTACCTGGCCTCACTTATCCTTTCTTAGGAACTACTGGAGAATATAATCCAGAAAAAAAAAAAGAGAGAGAAAAGAAAAAGTGGGGGAGGAGTAAACCAAAGAGGAAATATGAGATCCAATATAAAAGAAAGGCAAAAAGAACCCCAGAAAGACAGCAGTGCGGCAAACCTAGAGAATGACGAGCCTGCATTGGGAGAGAAGGCTTCCAGGAAGACTTTTTCTAGAAGAATAAAACTGATAAGAAACCTGATGAGTTTGGCCAAATGAAAAGTAGGCCAGGCACAGTGGTGCATACCTGTAATCCCAGCACGTGGGGAGGCTGAAGTGGGCAGATTGTTTGAGCTCGGTAGCTCGAGACCAGCCTGAGCAACATAGGGAGATAACTTCTCTACAAAAAAAAATTTTTTAAATCAGGCTGGGGCTGGGCGTGGTGGCTCACACTTGTAATCCCAGCACTTTGGGAGGCCAAGGTGGGCGGATCACCTGAGGTCGGGAGTTTGAGACCAGCCTGACCAACATGGAGAAACCCCACCTCTACTACAAATACAAAATTAGCTGGTTGTGGTGGCACCTGTAATCCCAGCTACTCGGGAGGCTGAGGCAGGAGAATCGCTTAAACCCGGGAGGCGAAAGTTGCAGTGAGCCGAGATCGTGCCACTGCACTCTAGCCTAGACAACAAGAACAAAACTCTGTCTCAAAAAAAAAAAAAAAAAAATCAGGCTGGGTGCGGTGGCTTACATCTTTAATCCCAGCACTTTGGGAGGCCAAGGCAGGCTGATCACCTGAGGTCAGGAGTTCCAGACCAGCCTGGCCAACATGGCGAAACCCTGTCTCTACTAAAAATACAAAAAAGTTAGCCAGGCATGGTGGTATGTGCCTGTAATCACAGCTACTCAGGAGGCTGAGGCAGGAGAATCACTTGAACCCGGGAGTCATAGGTTGCAGTGAGCCAAGATAGTACCACTGCACTCCAGCCTGGGTGACAGGGTGGGATTCCGTCCCCTCCCCACCAAAAAAAAAAAAAAAAAAAATTTAAAAATCAGCCAGGCATGGTGGTGAGTGCCTGTAGTCCCAGCTACTCAGGAGGCTAACGCGACAGTATTACTTGAGTGTGGGAGTTCCAGGCTGCAGTGAGCTAGGATCACATCACTGCACTCCAGCTTGGGGTACACGGTGTGCTTATTTGTTTTTTATAATTTAGATGGTTTGGGAACAATTAGTGCTGGTGGCATAGAAAACTAATGGGAAGGCCAGGCGCAATGGCTCATGCCTGTAATCCCAGCACTTTGGGAGGCTAAGGTGGGCAGATCACTTGCGGTCAGGAGTTCAAGACCAGCCCGGACAACATGGTGAAACCCTGTCTCTACTAAAAATACAAAAATTAGCTCGGCGTGGTGGCATGCGCCTGTAATCCCAGCTACTCTGGAGACTGAGGTAGGAGAAATGCTTGAGCCCAGGAGGCAGAGGTTGCAATGAGCTGAGAGAGCATAACTGCACTCCGGCCTGGTGACACAGCGAGACTCCATCTCAAAAGAAAAAGAAAAAAAAGTGGCAATTATTAACCCTAGGAAAACAAAAGGTTGTAGAAGGAAATGTAATTATAATTCACTGCATGGCTCATTGTTACAATAGCATAAATAAAACCTAAATATTGATTTAGCCAAAAATTTGGATATTGCCATATTGGGAAGAAAAGGAGAAAAGGTGAAGGTGAGGGGGAGTGTTAAAGTGCTTATTCTCATCTTTCATAGTAGATATGAATCAATAATGTCTAAAAATGATAAATAAAAACCAGCATATTACTTAGAAACGTGGAGGTAAATACCCCAAGGCACCACTAAAAAGAGTGTTGGGGCTGGGTGTGGTGGCTCACCCCTGTAATCCCAGCACTTTGGGAGGCCAAGGTGGGCAGATCACTTGAGGTCAGGAGTTTGAGACCATCCTGGTCAACATGATGAAACTCCATCTCTACTAAAACTACAAAAATTAGCTGGGCATGATGATGGGCACCTGTAATCCCAGCTTCTTGGGAGGCTGAGGCAGGAGAATCACTTGAACCCAAGATCGCACCACTGCACTCCAGCCTGGGTGACTGAGTGAGACTCTGTCTCAAAAAAAAAAAAAAAGTGTTGGGAAGGAGACAATTCAGGAAGGTTGGAGTGGGGGATGCTGTTTATCATAAGCTCAGGAAATTATGGACTCTTTTTTTTTTTTTTGAGGGGGACTCTTGCTCTGTCGCCCAGGCTGGAGTGCAGTGTCGCAGTCTCGGCTCACTGCAAGCTCCGCCTCCCAGGTTCACGCCATTCTCCTGCCTCAGCCTCCCAAGTAGCTGGGACTACAGGCACCCGCCACCACGCCCGGCTAATTTTTTTGTATTTTTAGTAGAGATGGGGTTTCACCACGTTAGCCAGGATGGTCTTGATCTCATGACCTCGTGATCTGCCCACCTCAGGCTCCCAAAGTGCTGGGATTACAGGGGTGAGCCACCGCACCCAGCCTGGAAATTATGTGACTCTTAAAATTTTGTACAAACTTTATATTAAATTAATATATATATTACAACAAAAATTTTTTTTTTTAGACGGAGTTTCGCTCTTGTTGCCCAGGCTGGAGTGCAATGGCACGATCTCAGCTCATTGCAACCTCCGCCTCCCAGGTTCAAGCAATTCTCCTGCCTCAGCCTCCCCAAGTAGCTGGGACTAACAGGCATGCGCCACCACGCCCAGCTAATTTTTGTATTTTTAGTAGAGACGGGGTTTCACCATCTGGGCCAGGCCGGTCTCGAACTCCTGACTTCATGATCCACCCATCTCGGCCTCCCAAAGTGCTGGGATTACAGGTGTGAGCCACTGCACCTGGCCAAAAATATTTTTTAAAAGATAGTTTATCTGCGTATTACTTCAATAACTAAAATTTAAAAGTAAAAACAAAACTAATAGTCTCAATTCTCCTTCTACAGATGTGAGAATCAGGACTCAGTGAGCCTAAAATATTTAGTTTATTTCATAATTTTGATAAACGTACCACATTTCACATTTATGTAAATATTATATAAAATGTAAGCCTTGCAATTTTCCTCTAAATTTTGAAGTACTCAAAAATAAAATGTTTATTTAAAAACTTCAAACACATAGCCTAGTTTCTTTTTCTTTGTGTAAAATGTTTTGTTGTTGTTGTTTTTAAGAGACAGTGTCTCACTATGTTGCCCAGGCTGGCCTCGAACTCTTGGGCTAAAGAGATCTCTCACTTCACCCTCCCAGGTAGTTGGGAATACAAGAGCACACCACCACTGTAAAACTTTTTATACTGGAAAAATTTAAATATTCATGGAATTAAGAATAAAATAATGAATGCCCATGTACCATACATTTTGTTTCAATACTCAGAAACATTTTGCCAATCGGTTGTTTTTGAAATAGTTTAAGGCAAAGGCATGACATAATTTCATTTTACCTCTAGACACTTCAATATGCATGTTTAATTGATACCTGACTTCAAAAAAAAAAAAAAACTATCATACCTAACTAAATATCATCTAATATCTGTTCTCTGATTTTCTCAAAGATTTTTTTTTTTTTTTTTTTTTTGAGACAGAATCTTGTTCTGTCACCCAGGCTGGAGCGCAGCGGCACAATCTCGGCTCACTGCAACCTCCACCTCCCAGGTTCAAGGGATTCTTGTGTCTCTGCCTCCTCAGTAGCTGGGATTACAGGTGTGCACCACCACACCTGGCTAATTTTTGTACTTTTAGTAGAGACGGGGTTTCATCATGTTGTCTAGGCTGGTGTCAAACTCCTCACCTCAGGTGATCCGCCCATCTCTGCCTCGCAAAGTGCTGGGATGACAGGTGTGAGCCACTGCACCCGTCCAAAGATGTCTTTTTATAGATGTTTGTTTGAATCAAGATCCAAACAATGTCTGCATATGACATTTGCTTGTTTTATCTTGTTAAATCTCTTACATTCTTTAACACAATTAACTGATGGTTAATTTTACATGTCAGCTTGACTGGGCAAGGAATGCTCAGATAGCTGGTGGAACATTGTTTCTAGGTGTGTCTGGGAGGGCGTTTCTGGGAGAGAGATGAGCATTTGGATCGGCAGGCTGCATTAAGGAAAATTGCCCTCACCAAGGTGGGCAGGCATCATCCACGCCACCAAAGGCCCGAGTACAATAGAGAGGAGGAGGCCGGGTAGATTTGCTTACTCTTTTCTTGAGGTGGGACATCATCTTCTCTTGCTCTCGGGCACTGCTGTTCCTGGTTCTTGGGCCTTTGGACTGGGAGTGGCACTTGCAACGCTGGCTCCCCTGGTTCTCACTCTTGAGTTTGGACCAAAACCACACCACCAGCTTTCCCCAGCCTCCTGCTTACAGACAGCAGATTGTGTGACTTCCCAGCCTCCAGAATCAAATGAGCCAATCCCTCATAAAATACAGCTTTTTTTTTTTTTTTTGAGATGGAGTCTCCCTCTGTTGCCCAGGCTGGAGTGCAGTGGTGTGATCTCGGCTTGCTGCAACCTCTGTCTCCAGGGTTCAAGCAATTCTCCTCCTGCCGAGTAGCTGGGCCTATAGGCATGTACCATCACACCTGGCTAATTTTTGTATTTTTAATAGAGACGGGGTTTCACCATGTTGGCCAGGCTGGTCTTGAACTCCTGACCTCGTGATCTGCCCGCCTGGGCCTCCCAAAGTGCTGGGATCACAGGCACATGCCACCACGCCCAGCTAATTTTCATATTTTTAGTAGAGATGGAGTTTTGCCATATTGGCCAGGCTGGTCTCAAACTCCTGACCTCAAGTGATCTGCCCGCCCCAGCCTCCCAAAGTGTTGGAATTACAGGTGTGAGCCACCACACCTGTTTGTTTTTTTTTTTCTTTGAGGCAGGATCTCACTCTGCCACCCAAACTGGGGTGCGATGGTGAGATCTTTGGCTCACTGCAGCCTTCACTGTCTGGGCTCAAGCAATCCTCCCACCTCAGCCTCCCAAGTGAGGGGGACTACAGACGCATAATACCACACGGGCCTAATTTTATTTAAAATTATGTTTTGTAGAGATGGGGTCTTGCTGTGTTGCCCAGGCTGGTCTCAAATTTCTGGCCTCAAGGGATCCGCCTGCCTTGCCCTCCCAAAGTGCTGGGATTACAGGTGTGTATTAGTCAGGTTTCTGTAGAGGGACAGAAGTAATAAGATAGACATATGTAGTATTAACTCACACAATCACAAGGCCCCACAATAGGCCATCTGTAAGCTGAGGAGCAAGGAAGCCAGTCCGAGTCCCAAAGCTGAAGAACTTGGAGTCTGATGTTGGAGGGCAGGAAACATCCAGCACAGAAGAAAGATGTAGACTGGGAGGCTAGGCCAGTCTAGCCCCACTTATTTTTTTTTTTTTTTTTGGTGAGGTGAGTCTCTGTCACCCAGGTTGGAGTACAGCGGTGTGATCTCGGCTCACCGCAACCTCTGCTTCCTGGGTTCAAGCTATTCTCCTGCCTCAGCCTCCTGAGTAGCTGGCATTATAGGCATGCACCACAACACCCAGCTAAATTTTTTTGTATTTTTAGCAGAGATGAGTTTTGCCATATTGGCCAGGCTGGTCTTGAACTCCTGACTTCAAGTGATCCACCCGTCTCGGCCTCCCAAAGTGCTGGGATTACAGGCGTGAGCCACGGCACCAGGCCTAGTCTAGTCTTTTCACGTTTTTCTGCCTGCTTTATATTCTGGCCGCACTGGCAGCTGATTAGTTGGTGCCCACCCAGATTGAGGATGGGTCCGCCCTTCCCAGTCCCACTGACTCAAATGTTCACCTCCTTTGGTAACGCCCTCACAGACACACCCAGGATCAATACTTTGCATCCTTCAATCCAATCAAGTTGACACTCATTATTAACCATCACAAGGTGTGAGCCCTGCACCCAGCAATATATTGCTTTTTATATATTTATAGAAATTCAATTGGTTCTGTTTCTCTGGAAAATCCTGATCAATATACACTCCTTCATTTTTCTTATAGCACTGAATTATGGGATAAACCAGGTTGGTTGTCCTGTAGAATGTCCCACACTGTGATTTGACTGATGTTTCCCCATGATTTTAACTTCTATCTCCTGTGTTTCCCAATCAACCCACTTGGGTTTTTGTTTTTTCTTTTTGTTTTTAGATAGGGTGTCACTGTGCTGCCTAGGTTGGAGTGCAGTGGTACAGTCACAGCTCACTATAGCGTCGACTTCCCAGGCTCAGATGATCCACCCATCTCAGCCTCCTTAGTAGCTGGATCCACAGGTGCACACCACCACACCTAGCTAATTTTTAATTTTTTTAGAGATGGCAGAGGTGGGGGGGGTTGCGGGGGGGTCTCACTATGTTGCCCAGGCTGGTCTTGAACTCCTGGGCTCAAGCGATCCCCCTGCCTTGGCCTCCCAAAGTGCTGGGATTACAGGTATAAGCCACCGCACCTGGCCCCAAACAACCCACTTTTTTTATTCTCTCAGTTTTTGCCCTTATTTAATCCCCCACTCTTACTTCAGCCTCGTTAGGAACTTGAGTCTCTGGACCCCTCTACTTTTTCTCTGCCAATAAGCCCTTTCATAATGTTCGTCATCACTCCAACCACTCTACTTTTTAAAAATGGACTTTGTTGAGGAATAACATGCATACAATAAAATGCTTGTATTTAAAATGTACTTTTCAGCGGATTTTAATAAATACATACATCTGTGTAACTACCGCCACCATCAAGTCGCTCTCTTCTTCACAGCCCCCACTCTGTCTCCTCTCATCATGCTTTCCCAACCTACATCAATCCCTCAGACTCCCCCTCTCCTGGCACGCCTGGCTGCAGACCTGCAGGAGAGAACACACACGCCGACCTGCTGGAAACCTGTACATCAGTACTGCCCTCCCGAGGACCCTCGGTCTTTGTCCAGGCAGCAGTGCTCGCCCATGCTCCACAGCAGCTTTTTCTTTTTCTTTTTTTCTTGAGATGGAGTCTCGCTCTTGTTGCCCAGGCTGGAGTGCAGTGGCACAATCTCAGCTCACTGCAACCTCTGCCTCCTGAATTCAAGCGATTCTCGTGCCTCAGCCTCCCGAGTAGCTGGGACTGGAGGCGCCCACCACCACACCCAGCTCATGTTTTTGTATTTTTAGTGGAGACGGGGTTTCACCACATTGGCCAGGCTGGTCTCCAATTCCTGAGCTCAAGTGATCCACCCGCTTCAGTCTCCCAAAGTGCTGGGATTACAGGCCTGAGCCACTGTGCCCGGCCAGTAAGTTTCTTTTTTTCTTTTGAGACAGGATCTCCCTCTGTTGCCCAGGCTGGAGTGCAGTGGCATGATCTTGGTTCACTGCCACCTCAAATGTCTGTCTTTACCACTGTGTAGTAACAAATTTGGCCAGGAGTGGTGGCACATACCTGTAACTCCAGCACTTTGGGAGATCAAAGCGGGAGGATCACATGAGCCCAGGAGTTTGAGACCAGCTTGGGCAACATAGTGAGACCCTATCTCTACCAAAAAAATAAAAAAAAATTAGCCAGGCACGGTGGCATGCACCTGTCATCTCAGCTACTCAGGAGGCTGGGGCAGGAGGATTGCTTGACTCCAGAAGGTCGAGGCTGCAGTGAACTATCATCATGCCCCTGAGCCCCTAAATCCCAAATGATAGGAGTGTCCATCTTATTCATTGTGGGCTTCTCAGACCACTCCTGATGGTTTATGCTAATGAGATGACTTGGGATGGGCCCCTATATAGTTCATGTTAACAAGATGACTGAGGATGGGAACTGGCCATGCTGGAAACCAACGACCGAACACGACACTTGAGCTTTGTGGCTTTGAGCCCCACCTCTGGATGGGTCAGGGAGACTGGTGATTGAGAAAACAATCTCACTAGAAGAGTGAGAGATAGAATAGCCAGCACACTGCGGCCTCGATCTGAACCAGCTCAGGTCTTTCCAAACA
This sequence comes from Homo sapiens, assembly GCF_000001405.40. Lineage (NCBI taxonomy): Eukaryota > Metazoa > Chordata > Mammalia > Primates > Hominidae > Homo > Homo sapiens. The sequence continues at coordinate 69,728,630 of NC_000016.10, read as the reverse complement.
CTAGTGACATGTGGCTATCTAAATTTAATTAAAGCCAGGCGCAGTGGCACATGCCTGTAATCCTAGCACTTTGGGAGGCCGAGGTGGGCAGATCACCTGAGGTCAGGAGTTTGAGACCAGCCTGGCTAACATGGTGAAACTCATCTCTACGAATAATACAAAAAGTGGCTGACTGTGGTGGTGCATGCCCGTAGTCCTAGCTACTCAGGAAGCTGAGGCACAAGAATTGCTTAAACCCAGGAGATGGAGATTGCAGTGAGCCAAGATCCTGCCACTGCACTCCAGCCTGGGCGACACAGTGAAACCCCGCCTCAAAAAATAAATTTTTAAAAAATTAATTTAATTACAATTAAAACTTCACTTCCTCAGTCCACTGGCCACTTTTTTTTTTTTAATTTCCATTTTTTTTCTTTTATTGAGTCCACCACTGCGGCCTTGAATTCCTGGGCTCAAGCGATCTTTTTGCCTCAGATCCTGAGTAGCTGGGACACAGGCGCCTGCCACCACGCCTGGCTGCTGGCCACATTTCCAGTGCTCAATAGCTACTTGAAGCTTGTGGCTACCTTACTTGGGCAGCACAGATAGGGAAAGTTCTATTGGACAGGGCTGCCTACCTAGCCCTTTTTTAAAACGTCCTTTTATACTATTTTGTCAGATGGGGTCTCACTTTGTTGCTCAGGCTTTTCTCAAACTCTTGGGCTCAAGTGATCCTCCTGCCTCAGCCTCCCAAAGTAATTTGTAAATACGTGTAAATAATATAGTCCTCTCTTGTTGCATCAAAATGAATGCAAAAATGTCACGATGGGGCCGGGCGCGGTGGCTCATGCCTGTAATCCCAGCACTTCGGGAGGCCGAGGCGGTAGGATCACCTGAGGTCGGGAGTTGGAAACCAGTTTTCTGGTGCCTCCTTAACTTTTGCACTGGAGGGACAACGGAAGGGCCCTGTGTCATCCTCACCTCCCCCATCTGTGATTCTTCTGATGGTTAATTACCACTTTAAAGCTCTAGTTCTTTTTCCTTCACCTACTGAGAGTATATCTCCTTCTTTACAGTAACTTTTACTTTATAGAGTTTTTTTTGAGACGGAGTCTCACTTCGTCACCCAGGCGGGAGTGCAGTGGCACGATCTCGACCCACTGCAACCTCCGCCTTCCGGGTTCAAGCGATTCTCCTGCCTCAGCCTCCCGAGTAGCTGGGACTTACAGGCGCCCGCCATCACGCCCAGCTAATTTTTCAGTACAGACGGGGCTTCACCAGGTTGGCCAGGCTGGTCTCGAACTCCTGACCTCAGGTGATCCACCCACCTCGGCCTCCCATATTGCTGGGATTACAGGCGTGAGCCACCGCGCCTGGTCCCGTTTTGGCTATTCTTTAATATGCTTCCCTATAACTGCTATCTCCACACCAGCCTTGCCTTAGCTCATGGGAAACAAAACCAATTAGTTCCCCCATTACCTGCCTTGAGGAGCAGGGGTGGTGCAGTGGCATGCACCCAGGGAAGTGTGTTGTATGGGCCCCCAAGTGCAGAATCTGAATCTTGCAAAGGAAGAAACAAATTCGTCTCCACGGAGCATGTCTCCCCAGGACTCTCAGCCTTCCAAATCCGCAGTCACAGTGACTCAGCAGAATCTGAGCCTAGGGCACCACAGTAATCCGCATCCGGCTCTTTTTCTGCTCCATTTCGTGCCAAGGCTAAAAGGGCATGCCCACTTGATCCCTGGACTCTCTTGGGACGACTTCCACCCTGCATCCTCTTGCACCTCAGGGCACAGTGCGCAGATGGGCTTGCCTTAGCACCCCCAGCCAGATTTTTGAGGCCTCTGTCACACACACCCCTACAATCCCCTCCCCCAGCCCCGAGAGACTTTTCTTGACTTCCACCAGTTGCTCCGGCGGGTGAGAGTGGAGAGGCCCCTCCTTCATCCCCCAGGCTCCCTCCCTTCCTGGAGCTGCAGCCTCAGCATCCTCCGCCCAGCACCCCAGGATTCAGGCGTTGGGTCCCGCCCTTGTAGGCTGTCCACCTCAAACGGGCCGGACAGGATATATAAGAGAGAATGCACCGTGCACTACACACGCGACTCCCACAAGGTTGCAGCCGGAGCCGCCCAGCTCACCGAGAGCCTAGTTCCGGCCAGGGTCGCCCCGGCAACCACGAGCCCAGCCAATCAGCGCCCCGGACTGCACCAGAGCCATGGTCGGTGAGTGCTGCAAAGGGCGGGGTGCTTGGCGGTCGTCTCTCGAGCACTGGTGCCTGTGGAGGAGGTTGTAGGGGCTTGGCCCTGAATTTTGTTCCTTGACTCAAAACCCACAAAGGGAAGAGATTAGGGACCTGGGATGAGCCTTGATCGGACTCCGGGAGAAGGAGAGCTTCTGTTTGTATCCGGTGTCGCGGATCCTTCCTCACTCCACCCCACGAACTCTAGTGGGCATTTAGGAGAAACTTGACCTTGGAAGCAGAAATTCCCTCCAAAACTGTGGTCAGAAACTGGCCGTCAGAGGCCAAATCAGGCTTACGGTCACAGCCCATACCTCTTTTGGTCTATAGTATCTAAAACACTTTGAAATAAGTTGCTAACATTAAAATGGGTGATTTCACTTAAAAATGTGGATTCCGAGCTTCTGAAGAAAATGAGAATATCTGGCGATTGGTGGACAGGAGTGGAGGAAACTGATGCCTTTGGTTTGACGGAGACCAGAACCGGCTCCAGGCTGCCAGGCACAGGTTTTGTTTTGTTTTGTTTTGTTTTGTTTTGTTTGAGACGGAGTTTTGCTCTTGTCGCCCAGGCTGTAGTGCAATGGCGCTATCTCAGCTCAGCGAAACTTCCGCCTCCCGGGTTCAAGCGATTCTCCCATCTCAGCCTCCCGAGTAGCTGGGATTACAGGAGTGCGCCATCATGCGCGGCTAATTTTTATATTTTTAGTACAGACGGGTTTCGCCAAGTTGGCCAGCGCGGTCTTGAACTCCTGACCTCAGGTGATCCACCCACCTCAGCCTCCCCAAGTGCTGAGATTACTGACGTGAGCCACCGTGCCTGGCCTTGGGAGGCATTTTCCATTGAGGCCCTTGGATTAGGCAAACCTGATCAGATCGTACTGGATCCGTTTCTAGTATTGGGTCCACTTCAGTGATAGAGCCTTCCCACTCGGCCATCGACCCTAGGGGAACTCAGAGGTCACCCCAGCTCCACCCAAGGCATAAATAACCAGCTGAGACAACTGCAGGGATTGAGAGCTGTTTCCCAAATAATCTCACTCTGAGATTGGACAGTACTAAGATTTAGAAAGCTGTTGCCTCATCTGGGGCAGAATCCTGTGTTTTGTAATTTCCTTCCCTGTGGACCTGGTCCTGCCTCTAAAAATGCGCCTGTACACAAAGAAGCCCATCTTGGTCAAAGTGAGTGGAGGAACAGACTGCCCTTGCAGTTGACAAACTGAAATTATCAGGATCTCTGAGAAAGGGACTAAGCTGGGGATTGGTAGCCCAGCATGAGTTACTGGCAGAGACAGCAGGGAATAGATTCTGACAGCTGAGAGGCTTGCCGCATACACGGTGGTTGCTGTTTCCCTTGTATTTCATTCTTCAGCGTCGAGGCACTGGCACCCTCTCCTCCAATACTAGGGCAGGAACTATTTCCTGACTTTTCAATCTTACAGAATGTTCTGTATTTACGTGTAGCTTAAACACAAAAAAGGGCGGTGGTAATGAGGTGAAAAGGGAAGACTTGGATCTTGTATAATTAGTTTTAGCTGTACCCAGCTAACCAAATCTTGAGGTTAACTAAAGCATCCAGGTTTTTTGTTTGCAACTAATAGATGCATCTGATTTGCACTCATGTTCCCTGGAGCACTCAAGTGAGAAGAGAAGGCAGAAGGAGAATGCATGAAACTGATACAAAGGCTTATCTTTATCATACTTCTTTTTTTCTTTTTGAGACAGGGTCTTGCTTTGTTGCCCAGGCTGGAGTGCAGTGGCATGATCAGGGCTCACTTCAGCCTTGACCTCCTGGGCTCAAGTGATTGTCCCATCTTTGCCCCCGAGTAGCTGGGACTACAGGTGTGTGCCACCACACCCAGCTAATTTTTTTTGGTCAGAGCAGAAGAACTTGAAACCCAGCTAATTAAAAAAAAAAAAAATTTTGGCTGGGAGTGGTGGCTCATTCCTGTAATCCCAGCACTTTTGGGAGGCTGAGGCGGGAGGACTGCTTGAGGCCAGGAGTTCAAGACCAAGATTCAGCTCAAATGGCAAGCTCCTCTGAGGGCCTTTCCGAATGGGCCAGCCCTGAGGTCCTGAAGTTTTCCTCTGTTGAACTTTTTGAGATGGAGTCTCACTCACTCTGTTGCCCAGGCTGTAGTGCAGTGGCGTGATCTTGGCTCATTGCAATCTCCACTTCCCAGGTTCAAACGATTCTTGTGCTGCAGCCTCCCAAGTAGCTGGGATTACAGGCGCCCACCACCACGCCCAGCTAATTGTGTATTTTTAGTAGAGACGGGGTTTCACCATGTTGGCCAGGCTGGTCTCTAGCTCCTGACCTCAAGTAATCCACCCGCCTCGGTCTCCCAAAGTGCTACGATTACAGGCATGAGCCACCACACCCAGCCTTCTGTTGAACTTTGTCCCTTACCTCTCCTAACACACTAATGCCATTGTACCCTGAAGAGGTTATCCGTGTGTGCATCTTGTGGCCTCTCTCAGGGTAAACTCTAATAGTCTAACTCCTCCCAGGTCATGTTGCTCAGCTAGTTAAGTGGCAGGAAGGGAAAATGAACCCTCCAGGGCCCAGAAAACTTTTAAATTGCCTATTCACAAGCATCTTTTTGTTTGTTTGTTTGAGACAGAGGCTTGCTCTGTTGCGCAGGCTGGAGTGCAATGGTGCGATCTCGGCTCATTGCAACCTCCGCCTCCTGGATTCAAGCAATTCTCCTGCCTCAGCCTCCCGATTAGCTGGGATTACAGGCACCTGCCACTACACCTGGTTAATTTTTTTTTGTATTTTTAGTAGAGACGGGGTTTCACCATGTTAACCAGGCTGGTCTCTAACTCCTGACATGAGGTGATCTGCCCGCCTCAGCCTCCCAAAGTGCTGAGATTACAGGTGTGAGCCACCGCGACCCACCCACAACCTTCTTTTGATCATTTTTCTTTTGAGTTGTTTTGGGGATCTACCTATTCCAGGTACTGCACTTTGATGGTTATATTTGTTGCAAATATATTATTCCTGCTTGTGTGTTGCCTTACATGAAAAATTGTAAAGTCACAGGCCTGCTTATAGCTATTAGAGTCTGAGCTCCTTGAAAGAGCAAGAGATGGATATCCTGATTTGCTCATTTTCTGAGAAGTGCCTTGACTGTCTTACTACTTAGAAAATGCTTGTTAACATTGATGAGAAGTCAATAAAATAAAAACTGTTGGCTGGGCGCTGTGGCTCACGCCTGTAATCCCAGCAGTTTGGGAGGCCGAGACAGGCGGATCACGAGGTCAGGAAATCGAGACCATCCTGGCTAACACGGTGAAACCCCGTCTCTACTAAAAATACAATTAGCCGGGCGTGGCGGCGAGCGCCTGTAATCCCAGCTACTCTGGAGGCTGAGGCAGGAGAATGGCGTGAACCTGGGAGGCGGAGCTTGCAGTGAGCCGAGATCGCGCCACTGCACTCCAGCCTGGGCGACAGAGCGAAACTCTGTCTCAAAAAAACAAACAAACAAAAACTGTCAGAGCGGCGATCAGTAAACATTGATAAGACTAATGGCAAGGTAAGTTACAAAGAAAATGCCTGTTAGAGCTGAATATGCTCACTTCCCTCCCAATCATGTTAAATCCATGGGTTAAAGAGGTAGGAATTTGTTGAGGCAGCCTCAGAGCTTCCTTTTCCTTTTTCCAAGCTATCCCAAGCAAGTCAATCACTTCCAGCGCATTGAAATCATCACCAGACACCTATTCCACTGAGTCTTAGTTTTAAGAGTCCAAAACCCTAGGACCAAGTTTGGAAATCCCCTGGTTTGGCATATTGGGCCCTGAAAGTTACACTTCGCTGAATTTAGCCCAAGAGGCACTTGCCTTGCTAGATGTGGTCAATAATAAAAGCAGGAAGAGAGCTTAAGGTTTAAATGTGCCTTTCTAGTTATTTTAGTTATTTCTAGTTATTCAGATGGTGCAAAAAAGTTGCAGATGCCGGCTGGGCGCGGTGGCTCACGCCTGTAATCCCAGCACTTTGGGAGGCCAAGGCAGGTGGGTCATGAGGTTAGGACATCGAGACCATCCTGGCTAACATGGTGTCTCTACTAAAACAAAAAATACAAAAAATTAGCCGGGCGTGGTGGCACGCGCCTGTAATCCCAGCTATTCGGAGGCTGAGGAAGGAGAATCGCTTGAACCCGGGAGGCAGAAGTTGCTGTAAGCCGAGATGGCGCCACTGCACTCCAGCCTGGGTGACAGAGCAAGACTCCATCTCCCCCGCCCCCACCCCCACCCTGCCAAAAAAGTTGCAGATGCCTTCTCTCCCAGCTCCACCCACTGTTCATGGTAGGGTATGAAGTAGCAGCGCACATTATCAGGAGCAACTGTGGGGGTAAGCGTCCTTTCTCTGGCAATTCGCTCTATGCCCTTGTACGCTGTTGTTTGTATTTCTCACTGTTTGTAAGTCTCACTGTCGCCCAGGCTGGAGTACAGTGGTGTGATCACGGCTCACTGCAACCTCCACCTCCCTGGCTCAAATGATCTTCCCACCTCAGCTTCCTAAGTAGCTGGGACTACAGGCACACACCACTACGCTCAGCTAATTTTTTTTTTTTTTTTTTTTTTGGTAGAAACGGGGTTTCTCCATGTTAGCCAGGCTGGTCTCAAACTCCTGGGCTCAAGCAAGCTGCCTGCCTCGGCTTCCCAAAGTGCTGGGATTACAGGTGTGAGCCACCACGCCCAGCCACTCTCTGTGTTTTTAAATTATTCCAGCTTCACCACTTAATGACTACACACTTGGGTAACTTGCTTCTCTCCTGTGCCTCAGTTTTCTCATCTGTAACATGGGGCTACTCATGGTATTGACCTCATAGGGTGTGTCTCAGTCTATTTTGTGCTGCCATACATAATACTTGGGACTAGGTAGTTAATAAAAAAGAGAAATTGATTTCTCACAGTTCTGGAAGCTGGGAAGTCGAAGATCAAGGTGCTGGCAGGTTTGGCTGTCTGGTGAGAGCTGCATTTGGAGGAATGCTGCGTCCTTACATAGACGGTGGGAGGTAGAAGGTGGAAGGGCAGGTGAGCCCCGTGCTGGGCGAAGCCTCTTTTATGAGGGCCTTAATCCCACTCATGAGGAAGGAGACCCCCTCGCCTAATCACCTATCACAGGCCCCATCTGTTAATCCTCTCACATTGGCAGCACCTGAATTTTGGAGGGGGACACGTTTAAAACATAGCAGGTTGTCCTGACAAAGGAAGAAAGTGCAGGCCGGGCGTGGTTGCTCACACCTATAATCCCAACATTGTAGGAGGCTGAGGCAGGCAAAATTGCCCCAGCCTGGGCAACACGGCTCCAAATTTGACCAGCCTGGGCAACATGGCAAATCCCTGTCTCTACAAAAAAAAAAAAAAAATTAGGTGTGGTGGTGCACACCTGTAGTATCAGCTACTCAGGAGGCTGAGGTGGGAGGATAGCTTGAGCCTGAGAGGTCAAGGCTGCAGTGACCTGAGATCATGCCACTGCATTCCAGCCTGGGCAACAGATCGAGACCCTGTCTCAGAAAGAGAAAAAGAAAAAAAAGGAATGCAAAGCACTTAGGGCAGTGCCTAGCACTAAGGATCCACTAAATACTGTTCTTGCAAATTGAAGCATGCTGCCTCTGACAACCTTGTTAATATAAAAGAGGCCCATTTCCCTTCTACCTGTACCTCTTTGCCATTTCTTATAAAGGAAGCTGAGCTGTTAATAGTTCAATGTGATTGGCCTGGCACGGTGGCTCACACCTGTAATCCTAGCTACTGGGGATGCTGAGGCAGGAGAATCGCTTGAACCTGAGAGGCGGAGGTTGCAGTGAGCCAAGTTCATGCCACTGCACTCCAGCCTGGGCAACAGAGTGAGACTGTCAAAAAAAAAAAAAAGTTTAATGTGATCACTGCACATTTTTCCCCCTCATACCAAGGTGCTGCAAGTCTACATACAAATATATGTCATTTCTTTTTTTCTTTTTTTTTTGTATTTTCTTTTTTCTTCCTTCCCTTCCCTCTCTCCCTTCCTCTCACTTCTTTCATTTTAAATAAAAATGGGTTCATATTCACTTGCTTTTTTATCAGTTAATAATATAGCATGGATATCTTTTTGAGTCACTACATATAGTTAATTCATTTTAATTTTTTTAATTTTTAAAATTTGTTTATTTGAGACAGGGTCTCCCTCTGTCACCCAGGCTGGAGTGCAGTGCGGCGATCACGGATCACTGCAGCCTCAACCTCCTGGGTTCAAGTGATCCTTCCATCTCTCAGCCTCCTGAGTAGTTGGGACTACAGGCATACACCACCATGCCCAGCTAATTTTTGTACGTTTTGTAGAGAAGGGATTTCGCTTTTGTCATGTTGCCCAGGCTGGTCTTGAACTCCTGGGCTCAAGCAATGTTCCCGCCTTGGCCTCCCAAAGTGCTGGAATTAGAAGCGTGAGCAACCGTACCTGGTCAACAGTCTCTAAAAATTTTTTTTTATGACAAGGTGTCACTATGCTGCCCATGCTGGTCTCCATCTCCTGGCCTCAAGGGATCTTGCCGCCTCAGCCTTCCAAGTAGCTGGATTACAGGCTCCAGCCACTGTGCCCAGCCAGTTTAACTCATTCTTTTTTATATATTTTTTACTTTTATCTTAATTTATTTATTTTTCTGAGACAGGGTCTTACTCTGTCACCCAGGCTGGAGTGCAGTGGCAAGATCTCAGCTCACTGCAACCTCTGCTTCCTGGGTTCAAGCGATTCTCCTGCCTCAGGCTCCCGAATAGCTGGGATTACAGGTGCCCGCTACCACACCCAGCTAATTTTTGTATTTTTGTAGAGACAGGGTTTCACCATGTTGGCCAGGATGGTCTTGATCTCTTGACCTCGTGACCTGCCCGCCTCAGCCTCCCAAAGTGCTGGGATTACAGGCTCGAACCACCGTGCCTGGCCAACTCATTCTTGTTAACAGCAAAATATCCTGTAGTGTGGATGTACCCATAATTTCTTAAAATGTTCCCCATAGACAATCAGGTTATATCTAATTTTTGCCAGTGAAAAGCATGGTGTAATACACATCTTTGCTCTTATAGCCTGAAGCTTTTAGTCTGTAGAACAGATTCCCCCAAATTGGAGAGCGAGATAAAAGATTTATGTGTCTTTAAAGTTTCAAGAGATTCTGCCTCATTACTTTCCCTAAAGGTTGAGGCAGTTCTTATCCCCACCAGTAAGGTGCCAATTTTTCTGTTGGTACAATCTTAATAACCCTGGGTGTTATTTGTTTTACATTTTGTGGGTAAATGTAAACTCACGGTAAATGTAAACACAGTACCCATGTAAACGAATGGGTAAATGTCTCATTTTAATTTTGCTTTTCCTGACAGGTCACGCAGAGCATCTTTTTTTTTTTTTGAGACGGAGTCTCCCATTGTCACCCAGGCTGGAGTGCAATGGTGCAATCTTGGCTCACTGCAACCTCCCCCTCCCGAGTTCAAGTGATTCTCCTGCCTCAGCCTCCCAAGTAGCTGGGATTACAGGTGCCTGCCACCACACCCAGCTAATTTTTGTATTTTTAGTAGAGACAGGGTTTCACCATGTTGGCCAGGCTGGTCTCAAACTCCTGACCTCAGGTGATCTGCCCACCTTGGCCTCCCAAAGTGCTGGGATTACAGTTATGAGCCACAGAGCCCAGTTGTCAACATTATTTATTAAATCAGCCACTGATTTAAATGCTTCCTTTAATCTTCAGTGCTTTTAAGGGGAAAATACATTTCTGGCTACAGGAGATGGAATGCAATAACCTAATGTCAAACAAAGCCGCCCCCTCCTTTACAGACTGCAACTCCCCTGTAGCTGAAGGTTTGCTGGTTGGTAATGGGTTTTCCGTGTGTGCTTTGTGTGTGTCTCTGTAGGCAGAAGAGCACTGATCGTACTGGCTCACTCAGAGAGGACGTCCTTCAACTATGCCATGAAGGAGGCTGCTGCAGCGGCTTTGAAGAAGAAAGGATGGGAGGTGGTGGAGTCGGACCTCTATGCCATGAACTTCAATCCCATCATTTCCAGAAAGGACATCACAGGTAGGAGGAGTTCCTCCTCCCCTCTTTAATTAGTTCTTTGCGGATCTCCTTGCCTGTGGGTCCTCTGGCCCAGCTTTGGCCCCTCTGGCCCCAGCCTCTCTTTTTCTTCTCTGCAGGTAAACTGAAGGACCCTGCGAACTTTCAGTATCCTGCCGAGTCTGTTCTGGCTTATAAAGAAGGCCATCTGAGCCCAGATATTGTGGCTGAACAAAAGAAGCTGGAAGCCGCAGACCTTGTGATATTCCAGGTATGGGGGGACATCGGAAGGGGTGTCAGGGACATTTGCGTGCTTATTGTCCTAGACATGTACCTAATTAGCTATGAGATCTTAAACAGTTACCCACTTTACTGCATTCTCTGCAAATAAGGGTGATTACTTTAAAGGTGCAGTATTACATGGATTTCACAGATATTGGGAATCTGGCTGTATTACTGTTGCATGTGTAAATGCAACTGCAAGGCCAGGCACGGTGGCTCACGCCTGTAATCCCAGCACTTTGGGAGGCCAAGGCAGGTGAATCACAAGGTCAAGAGACCAAGACCATCCTGACCAACATGGTGAAACCCTGTCTTTACTAAAAGTACAAAAATTAGCTGGGCGTGGTGGCATGTGCCTGTAGTCCCAGCTACTCTGGAGGCTGAGGCAGGAGAATCACTTGAACCCGGGAGGTGGAGGTTGAAGTGAACCAAGATTGCGCCACTGCACCCCATCCTGGTGACATGGCGACAGAGCGAGATTCTGTCTCAAAAAAAAAAAAAAAAGAAAGAAAGAAATGCAGCTGCAGAGATGATGTACAGTCCTTGAGCTTGCTTTCTTCCAGGTACTTAGTCTCCCCTTCAGTTAGCGATTCCTTCAGTTAGCGATTCCTTCAGTTAGCGAATCCTGCGGTTAGCGATTCCTGTTGGACTCTCTCAAAATTTGCAGTTCTCCTCCTTTCTCCATAAGAATCCCAAATACTTTGTAGAATAATCCATGAGACATTGACTTCTCTGCCATTGTAGCCTGCCAGCTGAAGGGGGCTTTGAAACCCTGCTGAATGTGTTCCTGCAGCAAACCACGGCCTTTCTTCTTCGGGAAGCTGCCTTACCGTTTAGCAGACAATGCTGGGATTGTGCGTGCATCTCGTCAGTGATCTTTCCTATAAATGTGACTGTACTCAATGACTTTGCTTTTACAATTCCAGCCAGTCTTTTGATATTGAACATAGAATGTATATGATCCTGGAAACCACGAGGAGGGTGGTACAGGCTGTGTTTTTTTTTTCTCTCTCTCTCTCTTTTTTTTTTTTAGTTATTCAATCAGCTACAAAACATCCAATCCTTGAAGTCCTTTATTTTACCCACAGGCCTGTTGCTAAGAATCAAAGCCACATGCCACTAGCCAGTACCCCAAAGGACGGCTTTAAAAAAAAATTAAATTGGAGACAAGGTCTCACGGTCACCCAGGATGGAGTGCAGTGGCATGATCTCTGCTCACTGCTGCCTCAACCTCCTGGGCTCAAATGATCCTCCCACCTCAGTCTCCCGAATAGCTGGGACTATCAGTGCACACCACCATGCCCTGCTAATTTTTTAATTTTTTTGTACAAATAGGGTCTCACCATGTTGCCCAGGCTGGTCTCAAACTCTTGGGCTCAAGTGATCTGCCTGCCTGGACCTCCCAAAAGGCTGGGATTATAGGCATGTGCCTTTCATATCTTTAAATCATGAATCAAGGATAAGAAAACCTCCTGGTATAGTCCTTACTCTGCTTTTATTAGGATAAGAGGTCAGACAAGACTTTCTCATGGGAAGTCCCTGATGAACCTTAGTCACCCTAATTATTATTTATTATAATTTTTATTTTTTAACATTTTATTTATTTATTTATTTGTTTTTGAGATGGAGTCTCGCTCTGTTGCCCAGGCTGGAGTGCAATGGTGCAATCTCGGCTCACTGCAACCTCCGCCTCCCGGGTTCAAGCCATTTTCCTGCCTCAGCCTCCCAAGTAGCTGGGACTACAGGCATGCACCACCACGCTTGACTTTTTGTATTTTTAGTAGAAACAGGGTTTCCCCATGTTGGCCAGGCTGGTCTCAAATTCCTGACCTCAAGTGATCCACCCACCTTGGCCTCCAAAAGTGCTAGAATTAAAGGCATGAGCAACTGCACCTAGCCACGTTGATGATGATGATGATTATTATTATTATTATTATTATTATTTAGAGATGGAGTCTTGCTCTGTCACCCAGGCTGGAATACAGTGGTGATCACAGCTCCCTGCAGCCTCCAACTCCTGGGCTCAAGCAATCCTCCTGCCTCAGCCTCTCATATAGCTGGGACTAGAGATGTGCACCATCACATCAGGCTAATTTTTAAATTTTTTTGTAGAGACAAAGTCTCACTTTGTTGCCCAGGCTGGTCTCAAACTCCTGGGCTCAAGTGGTCCTCCCACCTTGGCCTCCCAAAATACTGGGATTATAGGCATGAGCAACCACACTCAGCCATCACACTGATTATTAGTTTGCATTTTTGAGTGATTTTGTTTATTCTAAGTGATATGATTTTTCATCCACGATAACAAGGGACAGTCATAAAATGAAGAAGGCCTACATTTTTTTCCACGATGGGGTCTCACTCTGTCACCCAGGCTGGAGTGCAGTGGCACGATCTCGGCTCACTGTAACCTCCACCTCCCGGGTTCAAGTGATTCTCCTGCCTCAACAGCCCGAGTAGCTAGGACTACAGGCGTGCGCCACCACGCCCGGTTGATTTTGGTATTTTTAGTAGAGATGAGGTTTCACCATGTTGGCCAGGCTGGTCTCAAACTCATGCCCTCAAGTGATCCACCCGCCTTGGCCTCCCAAAGGGCTGGGATTACAGGCTTGAGCCACTGCGCCTGGCCAACAGTCATATTGTTGATACCACACCTACTAAAGCAAACTCTTGGGAAAATACTGATTGAAGCAACAGCATGAAGCAAACCTTGTTTGCAATCCTTGCTATTTAGACTTTGCTGCCAAATGTGATTTCATACAAACAAGTTTCATATCAACAAGTCTTCTGTGTATCTAGCTTTACTCGGACCCACTCAATATTTGCATTTTCAGGGAAAAAGAAGACTGTCAAGTTGGCTGACCAAGGACAATAATGATCTCTTTCCTTAAAGTGCTAACTCCCCAGGAGGAATGGGAAAGGTGTGAAGAGGGGCTTCCCACACAGTGCCATCATGGGGAGCGGCTCAGCACTCCGAGCCACCTTCTGGGCTTGGGGAGCCCCTGGTCTTACCTCAATGATGTCTTCTGTCCCACAGTTCCCCCTGCAGTGGTTTGGAGTCCCTGCCATTCTGAAAGGCTGGTTTGAGCGAGTGTTCATAGGAGAGTTTGCTTACACTTACGCTGCCATGTATGACAAAGGACCCTTCCGGGTAGGTGGATGGTTCTGAATGCTCTGACAGCCAGCTTCTGGGTGGTCTGTCCTGATGCAGGGGTGTTTGTTTGTTTGTTTGTTTGAGATGGAGCTTCCCTCTTGTTGCCCAGGCTGGAGTGCAGTGGCGGGATCTCGGCTCACTGCAACCTCCACCTCCTGAGTTCAAGCGATTCTCCTGCCTCAGCCTCCCGAGTAGCTGGGATTACAGGCATATGCCACCATGCCCGGCTAATTTTGTATTTCTAGTAGAGACGGGGTTTCTCCATGTTGGTCAGGCTGGTCTTGAACTCCTGACCTCAGGTGATCTACCCGCCTCAGCCTCCCAAAGTGCTGTGATTACCGGTGTGAGCCACTGTGCCCGGCTCTGATGCAGGGTTTTGAGCACAATTAGATCCTAAGCCTAGGCTCCAGGTCCTTCGGGAGAGACGCATGATCAAGTTTTTACAGATGGAATGACATGATGTTTGGGATTTGTTTTAAAATGCTCCAGAGGCCGGGCGCAGTGGCTCACGCCTGTAATTTCAGCACTTTGGGAGGCCGAGGCAGGCAGATCACCTGAGGTCAGGAGTTTGAGACCAGTCTGGCCAACATGGCGAAACCCCGTCTCTACCAAAAATACAAAAATTAGCTGGGTGTGGTGGCGGGCATCTACAATCCCAGCTACTCAGGAGGCTGAGCCAGGAGAATTGCTTGAAACCCAGGAGGTGGAGGTTACAGTGAGCCAAGATCGCGCCACTGCACTCCAGCCTGGGCAACAAAGCAAGACTCCATCTTAAAAAATAAAAGGCCAAGCACGGTGGCTCATACCTGTAATCCCAGCACTTTGGGAGGCCGAGGCAGGCGGATCACAAGGTCAGGAGATCAAGACTATCCTGCCTAACACGGCGAAACCCCGTCTCTACTAAAAATACAAAAAAACTTAGCCGGGTGCGGTGGCACGTGCCTG